>NC_000013.11:112758230-113063160 GCF_000001405.40 Homo sapiens
TTTGTATTTTTAGTAGAGACAGGGTTTCACCATGTTGGCCAGGCTGGTCTCGAACTCCTGACCTCAGGTGATCCACCCACCCCTGCCTCCCAAAGTGCTGGGATTACAGGCTTGAGCCACCACACCTGGCCACTAAGGACATTTGAAGTAAGAAGAATGGATCAGTAAACACTTCACATTTCTTTTTTTTTCTTTTTTTTCTTTTTTTTTTGAGACAGAGTCTCTCTCTGTCGCCCAGGCTGGAGTGCAGTGGCACAATCTCGGCTCACTGCAAGCTCTGCCTCCTGGGTTCACGACATTCTCCTGCCTCAGCCTCCCGAGTAGCTGGGACTACAGGCGCCCGCCACCATGCCCGGCTAATTTTTTGTATTTTTAGTAGAGATGGGGTTTCACCGTGTTAGCCAGGATGGTCTCGATCTCCTGACCTCATGATCCGCCCATCTCGGCCTCCCAAAGTGCTGGGATTACAGGCGTGAGCCACCGCTCCCAGCCTACATTTCTTAAATCTATCTTGCTAGCTCCTCTCGCACTTGAAATCAAATACTCCAGCAACTAACACTTGTGAAGCATTTTTCAATTTTCCTGCACAGTTACATTATCTCAGAACGGTTCATTACCGTGGGGTGTGTGCTCTTCATAAATGCAAACTGATGCAGAAGCAGCCACCAGCCAAAAAATCGGCTTTAGAACGTACAGTTTTGTAGCCTTCATTTTTTACGTTACATTTTCAGTTAAGATGTGAAAATCATTGAACCAATTCATTTAATAAAAAGTTGAGTAACATTTATATTTTGTCACTTCCGTGGGTAAACATAACACCAAATACTTCTCTTGTAAAAACAGCAACGTGTGCAGGGTATAGAAATTCATCCATTCCCCTGTCCCCTCTTATCCTTGGTGAGGACTCAGAGGTTTGCTGCAGAAACATTCGTGCCTGCAAGCAAAGGAAAGGATTAGAGCAGGAGGCGGCTGGGGGAGCTCTGGGTAACTCTGGGTGGATGAGGCCACATCCTGCAGCCCTCTGGTGAGGTTCTTCCTGTTGCGTGCTGGGGTTTAAACCTGGATCTGTCTTGCTCTGAAGCAGAGGCTCTCACCTGGGAGCAGTCTTGTTCCAGCCACCCGCAACACACTTGGCAGAGTCCGGAGACTTCTGACCGTCATGACGGTGGGGGTTGCTCCCAAGACCCTGCTCTGAAGACTTCCTAACCTGCGTGCTCTTTCAACAATAGCGCGTGGACACATTTTTAACCTGAGCGATGTAACAAATTCAGCCAGCTGTGACGATGACTTTTCAGTTTTACATTAACAGTTCATTGAACTTATACACCAGTAAAACTTCTGTATCACTGTGAAGGGCTCAGCAAATGTACTTTCATTTATTGATGCAGAAATTGGAGATTGGTACTCTTTATCATCTGCTTACTGTGTAAAGGATGTTTCCAGGATGATCTAGAAGGTTTTCAGTGCCTGTTTTGTAAACTTTTAATTTTTTTAATAGAACAATTTTATTTTTTCCTATTTTGCCAAGAAGACAGAATGAAGTCAATTCCGAAATGGCAAATTCTTCTGTTTATAAAATGTTATAAACATTTTATCACCAGATAATCACGTTAATTTTTGTAAACGCCCTTGGGTAGGTTATTCGCACAAGTTATGCATTTTTCATGTGAGTTGCTTTTCACTTAAAAAGTGCATGCAACAGAAAGCACCACCTTGTCGAATCGATGTGCTGAGCTAATTCCTGTCATCATTAACTGGACAGGAACCGAAGGAAGCCGTCTGGCAATATGCCTTAGGGTGGCAGATGCAGCTTGGGGCTTAAAGGAAGAGAAATAGAAAGATTTGACTCTGTTGAAGAGCAGTGTGTCATCCCCGAGCCGGATTCCATTTAACATCTTATAAACAAAACGTGAGTCTTTTCATTTCTCAGTCTTCCGTGTAAGCAATCCAGAAAGTGGGAATAAAAGTAATTTCTCTTGTTTTTCTCTAATTATTCAAAATTCATAGTAGTACAGTTGAGGAAGGGGCACCTCGCTGTGAGTTTCATGCTTCCCTTCGTCCAGGCGCTGCTGTGTCCTGGGTGCTGTGTGTATAGGGCCCCCGCCGAGTCCAGTGTGGGTGGCAGAGACGCATCCAGAAGCCCCCAGTAAGTTTAGCATTACCCATTTGGGTGAGGACTATGGAAGAAGAGTTCCTGGTGATTTCAGTAAAAAAGATGTTTTACATGCCAGATAGAAACATGCTCAAATGATAACAACATGATTTGGGTTGGGTTATTAAGTTGTTTTTTTAATGTTCTTTTTAAAAAAGATTTGATCTCAATGTAAACAAACTTGCCTAATTTTTTTCAGCTAGTTCACACAGACATTCAATATGCATTCATCAGCTGGCCCTGTTCCCTCTTCTTGCTCAGAGGCTGGAAGAACTTCCCATGCACCAGGTCATGTTTGCGTAAATATAATTACACTGTATTATGTAAATATAGTTACCAGCATAGTTGTTAACAGTTCTGCCAATAAATATTTATTGCTTTGATCTGAATTTGATAATCAAACTGAGATTTAAAACACAGTGGCCCGGGAAGAATCAAAGGAAATTGTAACGACACATTCCTCATTCCTTCAGTCCACAGGACTTTTTAGATGTTGTTGGGAGGTGGAGTGGGGATGATGACCCCTTAGCCACAGTTTCCCTTTCTGTAGTTTCAGTTACTTGAGATAACCGAGGTATGAAAATATTAACAGGAAAATTCCAGAAATAAACAATTCCCAAGTTTTAACTTGTGCACCCTTCTGGGGAGCGTGGTGAAACCTGGCTCCGCCTGCTCCATCGCTCCAGGGACTGAACCCTCCCTTCGTCCAGCGTCTCCAGGCTGCGGACGCTCCCCACCCCCCTTATGGCCTCTCGGTTATCAGATCCGTGGTCCAGGGGTCGCAGTGCTCGTGTTCAAGGAACCCTCATTTGACTTCATCATGGCCCCAAAGCACAAGAGCAGTGAGGCAGGCAATGCGGGTACACCTAAGAGAAGCCAGAAGGTGCTCCTTTAAGTGAAAAGTGAAAGTTCTCGACTTAATAAGGAAAAAGAAAATGGTACGCTCAGCAATCTCAGGAGATGTTGTTATGTTGCCAAGATCTCCAGTCAGATGGAATCTTCTCTCTGTGAAACTGGGAACAGCATATTGTTATAATTGTTCTATTTTATTATTAGTTATTGTTAATCTCTTACTGTGCCTAATTTATAAATTAAACTTTATCAGGGGTGTGTGTTCATAGGGAAAACATTGTGTCCATAGGATTCGGTACTCTATTGGTTTCAGGAATGCCCTGGGGTCTTGGAAGCACCCCTGAGGATAAAGGGGACATCGTGCACATAGGTTTGGGTACTATCTCGGATTCAGGAGTCCCCTGGGGTCTTAGAAGCACCCCTGAGGATAAAGGGGACATCGTGCACATAGGTTTGGGTACTATCTCGGATTCAGGAATCTCCTGGGGTCTTGGAGGTGCCCCTGAGGATAAGGGGGTTGCTGCACCCACACCATTGCACACCTTAGTCTGTCACTTGTCAGCCGGTGTGGCCCCGGCTGGAACACTGTGGCTCATTCTAGCTGTGCTTTTAGAAAATTCTTGAGACACACCTGTTCGGCCAGGTTGCATAGTGAACCTGCAGCAGGGGTGGGGCCTCCCCAGGGACATTTTGGCCAAGCTGGCATCAGCTGCCCCAGGCTTACAGGCTGAGTGTCACACTCACCTCCTCCCTACTGGAGTCAACTGCCTAGCCCTGTGGGTGTTTGAGTTCGTGACCTCGATGGAAGATAGAAAGCAGCAGGAAAGACAGTCCCTGTTATCAAGGCATTGTAACCTAAGGTCATGGAGACTCGTGCTTATGAGGTATATGTGGGTTTTAAGTGTGTGGGAAACCTTCACAGGGCAGCTAACTGCAGACCTCCCAAACCCCTCCTCCTCCTCTGCCCCAGCTCAGGGTGGGCTTCTGGGCCGGGTCCTGCTGGCCTCCTATCACAGCGAGGTTGGAATCTGTACTGTGGAGACTGTGGCATTTCTGCATCATTCCTGATGCCCGATGCTGAGATTAGGAAATCGGTCTCTGAGGCTGAGAGGCAGTTTCTCAGAGTATGAGCTGGGACCTGAAAGGCCGCTGTTGGAAAGACAGCAGCAGCCTGCAGGCCTTTGTGAGAACTGTCTCTATGGGCCCCCGAGACTGCTGTGCGCCTGATGCAACAATCACTTGTTGACAGGAGGTGTCTTCAGTCCCGGCCGTGGTTCGGAGGAGACCACGATAAACTCCTTCAGGATACTGCTCCATCATTTTCCTCACCCGAAGATAAGAGCCAGCTACAGACGGGTGTGTTGGGTGTGACGCAGGCTGGAAATGTGCAGAAGTGGTTCATTTTTCTTCCCCTTAACTCCCATGTCCCTGTGGTAAAATTCCATTGCTGTAAAGTCATGAGCTCGAAACCCAGTTATGCTCAGCTAAGTTCCACGGAATAATTTCATTCAAGATCATAAAACGTAAAACATCACAAACAAAAAGTGTCTCTTTACAAATGCTCACGGTATGACGGGCAGCCCTCCAGGAGTGGCGTGGAGGCCGGGGCACTCAGTCACGTGTGTGCCGGGAGCACAGGCCTTCCTCGCCGTGCGCGGCTCCTGAGCTCTGAGTGAGGCAGACGGTGGCAGTGACCCATCCTTTTCTGGTAACTTCTTAGGGGCAAAGAATAAAACCATTCTTCAGTTTGCCCCATTTTATGCCTTTAATTTCAAAAAGCATTTGACAGACGCAGAAAAGCGCATCCCTGAGCAGCCCTGCGCGGTGGCTGAGTGCCTGCGTCCAGGGAGTTGAGTATAAAGATCTTCTTCCTTCGTGATAATTTCTATGCCTGCATGTCTTACCATGCCTGATTATAGCAAATCCCAGGTACACGTTATAACAACAGCTATTACGTTGTAAACCGAAAACAAAATTCTAAGCCCCCAACCAACGGAATGGACCTGCATCTTGGCCAAGGGGACCCCAAGGAAATGGGAAAGGCGAGTTCAGGCTCTGATGGGAAGAGGGGCTCGGACAGGCCTCATCCCACCCTCCTCCCTTTGGACCAGCAGTGACATTAAAACAGAGACCTGAGACTGACAAAACAGACTCTCTGTACCAGTAAGTTTCCAACCTGACTCTAGTGTACCCTCACATGACCGATAGCAGGCCCTGAGAGAAATTATCTTACCTCAAAATACATTTCATTGACATATTTTGAAATGGCCCCTCACAGCTGTCTCTTGTGGGGGAAATTTGCATTCTGTAGAGAATCCACTTCCCTTTCCAGCTCTTTTCTGGAGGGTCTGAACCCTTTTAGGCTCTGCTAAGAGACACTCACCATCTCTTCTCTCTGAAGCCTGCTACCTGGAGGCATCCTCTACATGGAGGAACCTTGGCTTCCACGACCTCCTTATCTTAACTTCACGCTGACTTCAACTCTTCGTGCCGAGCTTCACTCTTTCAAGCAGTCGCCAGTCAGGAAATCTTTGAATCCACCTGTGACCTGGAGGCTCCCCCACCCCCTGCTTGGAGATGTTGCACCTTCCCAGGCCAAACCAACGCCACCTTCCATGTGTTGGTTTATGTCTTTGCCTGTCACTTCTGTCTCCCTAAAATGTGTCAAATCAAGCTGTGCCCCAACCGCCTTGGGCACACGTTCTCAGGACCTCCTGGGGCCATGTCACAGGCCATGGTTTTAACTTTGGCAAAATAAACCCCTAAATTGATTGAGAGCCATTTCAGATACTTTTTGATATAAACGTAAGTTGTGGAAAGAGATGACATGTTTTGTTTGGAGTGTTACCAGGAGTTGTTAGGATCTTGGAAAGTCACAGCTTGCAGTAGCCCTGTTTGGCCGTAGCCCCCATAAAAGCAGGAGTATCTGTGTGGGGTGATGGAACCCTGACCCTAGGCGTCCTGGCACGGTGGTGCCTCTGCATTCACGGTGACATCGCTCCTGGACACTTCGCCTCTGACACCTGCGGGGCCCCGGCCTGTTCCTTATAGGCTCATGCTTGAGTGTTTATCACGACTTAGCTTCCTTGTGTCTGTCACAGACAGTGCACTGTAGTGGTTTGTAGAAGTTCCTGGTGCAGGTAGCCCTGTTCCTTACGATTTCATGGAATGGGGACATTAGGAATATTTGTTTCCTGATGGAGGGGTTCCTGGGTCTGTCAGGGTTAGAAGACCTCCTGATGATGAGCAGAACAGGGCAGGGAGAACTCTGTCTGGAAGGTCCAGGCCTGGGCTGGGCCCCCACCCTGCCTCCCATCCAGACAGAGTCCCAGGTGGGGCCTGTGGGCTGTGACTGCTGCAGGGATGGCATTAAAGGAGCCGAAGAGGACCTGGAAGCCCAGGAAGCTGGTGACGTGCCCCCTGCATCAGGCTGTGCATTAAGTCACCGCATTCAAAGGGTTTGTGTCCCCTTGATGGGCTCGTCTGCCTGGGGCTGGGGCTGCAGTGGGCTGGAAGTGCAGAGTCCTGCGTTCACACTGGATGGCTACTGAGGTGAATGGGACCCAGGCACGTTTTCTTATGGAATGTCCACAGCCTGGTTGTTTATCCCAGAAGATCAGTAATAGTGACACCCTCTGACCATGAGCCAACCTCTTTCCTTAGCTCAGGGCGCTACCAGTCTGGGCTGGTAGAAGCCCCGACACTTGCCTCACTCGGATCCCTGGAGGAGGATTATATGGGCACTGGGGCAAGGCAGGGACATCTTGGCAGCCTCCCCACCGCACGCTTTTCTTGCAAGTCCTTTGAACGGCACCTGCTCCTTAGCTGCTGCCTGGCAACTTTGAGGGTTTCAGTGAGATGGGGTGAGTGCTTCCCAGCCAGCAAAGTGCGTTGACAGTGGCTGGCTTGCCCCCCCTCCCCCCCGCCCCGGCTCTGGAAGCTTCTCCCCCTGGGTCTTCCAGTCTCATGTCTGGACACAGACAGGAGAGGTGAGGAGGAGCAGCAGGGGTGGCCCGGGCAGTTCCTGTGACCTGGAGGCCTGGCAAGTTGTTCTGACGGCCAGGCCCATCCTTGGGGAGGCCTCTGAGGACGCCTGGAACCCCAGGCCCGCCCTGCCTTGTTTTCTGGTCCTGGCCTGGGGGGGTCGTGGTCTCGCTGGTGCAGCCTCCTCCGGGCAGGCCCCGCCTCTGCTCCCTTCCCCTCACTCCATCTGATTCGGCCCCGTTTCCTTGTCCACTCCACGTTCTTCTGAGCGTGTCTCTGGGACATGGTTAAGGTTAAGAAGCGGCCTCTGAACGAGGGAGAATGTACTGAAATTGCCTAAGTGAACTTCAAACACAGGAAGAAGCGCTCAGTCGATGTTCATGGTGAGAACGAGGGTTGATCTTTTGAATGAGTCACGGGTTTGAGAGAGACCTAAGAACCATTCGATCTGAAAACTAGATTCACTTTGAACAAAATATCTCAGGTGCTAAATACTCCAGTTAGTGTGGGGAAATGTCTCTGAGAACGAAAGCTCTGACTGACCGGAGCCTGCTACAGTGGATCTGAAAGATGCTCACGAATAATTCTCGCTGCAGAGCTTAGTAAACCAACAATACAAACGATTTTCTGTAACGACCTCCCGTAAAGCAGCCACTCCCCTCACAGCGCTGAGCAGGCGTAACCGCCAGGGTCCTCCCCCTTCTGAAGCCGCGGCTTCCTTGCAGGCCGGTGTCCGGCGTTGATCCTTTAACTGACCATGGGCAGTTTTAGTTCACGAGTGTGGATTCTTGGGATACGGTCGGGGGCGGATCCCCCTGTCACGGGTTGTAGAAATTGACGCAGCGTTTTCCGATGTGCCCACCTGCTTGAGGAAGGAATAGTGGTGGAGACGGACTTCTTATTCTTCAGATGTGCCCACCTGCTTGAGGAAGGAACGGTGGTGGAGACGGACTTCTTATTCTTCCGACGAGGCAATCTCTGCCTCTCCATGCAAGGTCGTCCAACCTGCCTTATTTTGTTGTTTTTCTGTTTTCTTTTGTTTTAGGCTTTTAGCAGCCTGAAGCCATGGTTTTTCATTTCTGTCTCTAGTAATAAGCAGAAGAGGGATGAGTAAGGGGCTTTACTGGCCCAACCAGAAACAAAAAGTAAGAACCCAAAACTGTATTCTCTCCTTTGGACACCTGTGCTGGGGGGAGAAGCCCCTCACCCAGAGGCTGTCACAGGGCATTCCTGGGACCCTCTCTTTCCCAGACTGTCCTCCCTGCAGAGCTGCGTCCAGAAGGTGCGTCCCGGCTGAATCTATACTGCAGCCTCAGGTCAGTGACTGGCCCGGCAGTGTCTTCTGGGGTCAGGGTCCTTGCAGGACCACCGTCACATGCTTGCATCCGTCTCCCTGTAAGGGAAGGGGAAGGGGGAGGGTTTCCCTCATTGGCTTCTGCCCACCCCCCAGGATGGGGGCAGAAGCACCTGAGGGAGTCTGCCTCTTCCCTCCATATTCACTGTGCTGAAAGCTGCAGCAGGTGCCCAGTTCTGCAGGAAACAGGCTTTGAACATGGATTCCTGTGAGGAGGATGTGGGGGCGTTGGGGGCCACTGTGGGAAGGTGGGGAGATGTGGGGGTGTTGGGGGCCCCTGTGGGAAGGTGGGGAGGGTGTGGGAGTGCTGGGAGCCCCTGTGGAAAGGTGGGGAGATGTGGGGGTGTTGGGGGCCCCTGTGGGAAGGTGGGGAGGGTGTGGGAGTGCTGGGAGCCCCCGTGGAAAGGTGGGGAGGATGTAGGGGTGTTGGGGGCCACTGTGGGAAGGTGGGGAGGATGTGGGGGCGTTGGGGGCCCCTGTGGGAAGGTGGGGAGATGTGGGGGTGTTGGGGGCCCCTGTGGGAAGGTGGGGAGGGTGTGGGAGTGCTGGGAGCCCCCGTGGAAAGGTGGGGAGGATGTAGGGGTATCGGGGGCCCCTGTAGGAAGGTAGGGAGGATGTGGGGGTGTTGGGGGCCCCTGTGGGAAGGTGGGGAGATGTGGGGGTGTTGGGGGCCCCTGTGGGAAGGTGGGGAGATGTGGGGGTGTTGGGGGCCCCTGTGGGAAGGTGGGGAGGATGTGGGGGCGTTGGGGGCCCCTGTGGGAAGGTGGGGAGGATGTGGGGGCGTTGGGGGCCCCTGTGGGAAGGTGGGGAGGATGTGGGGGCGTTGGGGGCCCCTGTGGGAAGGTGGGGAGATGTGGGGGTGTTGGGGGCCCCTGTGGGAAGGTGGGGAGGGTGTGGGAGTGCTGGGAGCCCCCGTGGAAAGGTGGGGAGGATGTAGGGGTATCGGGGGCCCCTGTGGGAAGGTAGGGAGGATGTGGGGGTGCTGTTGGGAGCCTGGCTATTTGCCTAACCACAGAATATCTGTGACTGTCTGATCATCTGCACATAATTGGCTTTTGAAAGGGGTGTGTGACTCTTTTACTCTGAAGAGAGGACATTCTTCTGATACCCAGTCTCACAATAAAAAGTTGCTACCTTTACTTTCCCCACTTGGCCAATGATATCAGTAGCCACACTGCAAACTCTGAAGTCTCTCAGAGCTCTAGTCTAGGACTCCAGAGCGTGAGTGCGTCTGTGGTGGTGGGCTTGACCTGAGGCTCATCCTTGTCACCTGCTCGGTGGCAGTGCCTGCGTGCAGACCCCTCGCAGCACTCAGGTGTGGCCCGTGGACTTGTGGTTTCGCTGCTGGCTGGGGAACCCCCTCCGGCTCCTCACTTCCCCACCAAGCGCTGGTCACAGAAACGCCCTTCTCTGGTCACTGCTCTCTGGCCTGGCTTGGTGGTGGCTTTGGTGGCAGCCCCGTCACCCCTGGGATCCGTGTCCTCCTGTTTCTTTCGTTTCTCCTGAAGGTTTTCCAAGTGCCTGTTTGCTTCTGGGAATTTCCTCTCTGCCTTCCTCCGACTTCCTCATAGCCGTTCTTTTATTCCGGCCTCCCAAGATTGCGTGGAGCCCGGCCACTGCCAGGGCGGCCCTGTGATGAGCTACATGGGACACAAGAGGCAGCCCCAGGCGCCCGCCTCCACCTCTACCAGCAGCGTCTTCGCTTTCACTTCTGCCTTCTGCGGCGTCTTCCTCTGTGGAGTTGGCGTCGGCCACTGGCTGTGGGGCAACCTCAGCCTCTCCAGCGGACGCTGCACCATCCCTATGGTGGAGTCTCAGCTTTGGGGATCCAGGGTGCCTGCCGGATTTCAGACAGCGCATTCACAGACTGTCGCCAGCTGAGCCGCCCTGGTGTCTGGAGTTGTTCTGTGTATGCTGTTATCCAGTTACTGACTCGCAGTCCTGCAGTTGTCTTCATTAGATATATATTCAATATTTTGGAAATATGCCTACAATGCATTCGTTGTCTCGGCCAGTGGCTCGTGACCCTCTGCACTTGGAAGGTATATAATTTCCGTTGCTTAAAAGGCGACACGTATACTAACATGTTTGTTTGTGAATTGGGATATGCTTGCTTAGTTTTCTGGCTAATTCATCTTTAGAAGGAGGGACTCAGTCGTGGGGAATAAACGCAGCGACCCCTCGGTGTTCCCGCTGGGCTCGTGGGTGACGCAGTGTTTTCCGGTGGCTTGGGAAGAATCTGGAGGTCGGGTGCTGAGGCTTGAGCGTCTCTCCTGTAGGTTGGTTTCGCCCGGTCCTCAGGGCGGAGTTGCTGCTCATTCTCATGCTGGGCCTGTTTTCCGATTCCTGGTGCTCTCTTGTCTTCACCTGCAGTTCACTTGCGGGCAGTGGAGGCTGCACTGTGACGTTAGTAACTGTGAAGGTGTGACCCATGGTGGAAAGTTGGTTATGTCTGTGATTGATGGGGAGGTGTTTGTGGTCGGGGGTGGAACTGCTATGGGGGGAAGGTTTGCAAGTCGGGAGACGGGAGCAATGACAGGGCCCCATGGGCTGCCCCCCGGCTCCTCCTTCCAGGCTCCTACCCTTCCCCATGCCCGGCCTCCCCCACTTGCCTTTCTCTTCTTGAGTCAGCACCACTACTCACACCCCTGAGCGTGTGCCAGGGCTGAGCTCCAAACCGGGCACAGGACCTCCCGGCCCCACGGCGTGCCTGCAGCCCCGCCCTCCTCTCTGAGGCTCAGAGGCACAGCAGGTGCAGCACAGCCTTGGCCCTGAGGCTCCCAGCATGGTTGTCCCGGCCAGTGGCTTGTGACTCTCTGCCCGCTGCGTTTGGGGGTGAACTGAAGGAGCCCGTGACCCGGGTCCCTGGCAGCTGTGGCCTCTTTGCTGCGCTTCCTCTTTGGCCAGAGCCAAAACCAGGTTCTCTTCTGCACACTGGAGCAGGGACCTTGGCCTCAAATTCTAATGCCTGAGTTTATAGTTCTCCCAACTTCCCCAGAGCCGGCCCATAGCTCAGTCATGTGAACCTCGACACCACCCTGGTTTTCCAGGTGAGATGAGCCTCAGTGACAGGCAGAAACACGTGGCCATGAGGAATGCACCAGCCTGAGTCTAAGGGAAAGCTGCCGATTTCTAGCACTGATTTGCAGAGGGGTGGGCGAGCCTGCCCAGTGCCCTGTGGTGAAGAGGAGTCTCTGTCCTGAGAGAGGCACCGTGAAGGCACCGTGCTGAGGCCAGCCTCAGAGCCGCGGGGAAGCCAGGTCTGTCTGATCGCTTCCCAGCACTTCCCGTGCCATCCCACGCGGCTGTAAATGGACACACGTTAGCCACAGCTGCTGCTTCACAGGCAGCCTGGTCAGAAACGTACTCCTGTCGAAAATGGAGGGTGAATCGCATGAAATCAGCGTTACGTTTGCTCCTGCTGCATTTCATGAGTCCAGCGGAGTCTGTTCCAACTGCACCCCCCAATCCTGGACGTGCTGTGGGCTCCAAGCGATGCTTTGGTCACCGGCTCTTTTCCTCTGTGTCTCGACTCTTAGGAAGCTCTGTGTTTCTTCCCACTGTTGTGAACTATCAGAATTAGGCATTCCAGAGTAGGCCAAGAATGATTTGGGGTGAGAATTTATATTTTTATTTCAGTTCTGGACCCAGTAAACTATGGTCTAGGTCCGCTGGCACCCCACATTTCCCAGGTCGACTGTGTTTCCAGATCAAAGGGATGTCCCTGTGCTTTTGTGGATCATTGTGACCCAAGTGATTTTGTGCAAAAAATATCTTCATGGCAGGAGAATGCCACTGAGAGCCTTGAAAATACCTGAGATTTGTTTGAGGAAGAAAAGAAAAAAGGAAGGAGAGAAATCCAGTCGTTACCATGAGTGTGACGAGAGTGGGGAGAACCAGTGGAGCTTCTGATCCTGTCCCAGCAGATGCCAGTGGCTCGGACCAAGGAGGACAGAGGGATGGGCGTGCCCACGTGAAGCCTCACCCCAGACCCCAGACCCTGCTTACATGCCGGGACGAAGGTGGGAGAGAACCGTGCATCTCAGCACGGCGGTGGAAACGTGGTCCACCTGCGGAGGGCCTGTTTGCGTTTATTACACCCGAGCAAGGCCCGCACGCCCACCAGAGGGGCCAGGGTGCCCCTGGGAGCCACTGAGAGACGGGGGAGGCACAGGCTCCACGCGCCGCTTCCCTGGACTGCTAGGAGGCGGCGATGGCGAGTCAGGAGGAAGCCTATTTTTAGAAACGCTTAAGTGCCCACGATCTTCTGACCATCAAACAAGAAACGTTGCTGTTTGAAGCTATACACGGACGGCAGAACAAGAAGTGGCTGTGTCACTGGATACCTGTACATTTGAATACCGGCCATTAGGGAGAATCGCCCTGTAAACATTGATCCAGTGATTGAGGCCGGTCGGCTTGCTTCTGTTCTGCCCCGCGGTGTAATTCAGCTAATAGGTTTTGTTTGTCTCAGCTGAAATGTGAAACTTCCATTAGGTGTCTAACCCTGGCTAAAAGTGGTTTTCAGCCTATTTTTAAAAAATCTCCTTTGTCCCTGCATGCATTCTAACCCCATTCTAACCTGATGCGGGCAGCCACAACCCAGGCCCTAACAGAGTTCATGGTAAGGATGGTGAAGGCGTGACCCACGGTGGAAAGTTGGTTATTTTGGGTAATCCAGCGATTTTCTGATTGAACTTCGAATGCGGAAACATCTTGCCCTTACTGGGGCAACGAGGGGAGGCAAGGCGTGCGCCAGGCAGAGACACCTTGGAATCCCACCCAGCCCAGATGTGTCTCCTGGGTTCTGGGACGGGCGCAGGTGACTGTATTTGCGCTGGTGGGAGGAGTTGCCCCCTTGGTTAAATCCGGAGGACACAGCTGCATGGTGCTTGCCCTCAGCCGTTTCTCTCTTCTTACTTTGAGAATAATCTCTTTTTTTTCTAGTTTCTCTTTTCTTAGGCATACTCCTTTGGAAACTTACTGGGCTCACTTTTACCCACTATGAGACCCTATCTGTCATGAGTAGTGCAAGGTTAGAGATAACCAGGTCCACATGCACTTGTGTCTTTCTGTAGTGTGAGGCCTTTGTTGACGTTATTTCAGTCACAAAAGCCGGGAACTGCTGGTGCTTCCCGTCACTCGGGTAGTCCCAGCCGCGGGCACACAGGCTCAAGCCACTCCTCACATCAGTCAATGTTGTAAACCATAGTAATAGTATACCTAATCAATACATAAATGTTATAAACACTCCACAACAAACAAAGTAACATTTAATATCAAGAGAAAAAGGGAGATAGGAGGAAACGTTAATGAACCAGTCCGGTGGGGAGTGAAGCAGACACCGGGAGCCCTGGGCTGGGCGGGGTGGTCCGTGGTCTTACGAGGAGGACTCAGGTGGCAGAGCCTGCGGGGCAGATGCCAAGTTCTTATCACAAGTGACTGCGAGGCGGCAGCGGCTGAGGCAGAGTCCTCCCATGAGAACTGAGTGCTTTTTGTGTCCTTACCTGGTTGGATACTGTCCTATTTTTTTTAATTTGTTTATTAAGCAAATCACCTTATCTTTGTTGGCAAAGTGCCCTATGAAATGTAAAACAAAGTCTTTTTCTAAGACGGAGTTTATTATGTCAACAGTGCTCTATATACTATATATAAAAACTAAACTTTAAAAATGTTGCTGACACGAAAATTGAGAGAAGCCTACGTTTGTGCAGAAGATGGGCAGGTAGAAGGTTCCAGCGGTGAGGGGTGCTGACCTGGAGCGGCTGCGGTGGGGCCATGTGGCTGGAAGCAGGGCAGTGAGCAGTGCTCAGCCTGTCGCGAGTGTGTAGGAAGAGAGCTTTGTTGAAATATAACTTACATATCATAAAATCACCCACTTAAACAATTTGATGAGTTTTATTATATTTACCAAGCTACACAACATCACCACAATCTAATTTTAAAACATTTTCATCACCCTCAAATGAAACCCCATGCCCAGTACCAGGCCCTCCCAAGTGCTTGTCATCACCCTCAAATGAAACCCCGTGCCCAGTACCAGGTGCTCCCAAGCCCTGTCCCCAGCTCCCCTCCCGTCATGCCCCAGCCCAGCCCTGGGCAGCTGCTAATGCACCTTCTGTTGCCCGCAGATTTGCCCGTGTGGACGCTTCTCGTGGATGGAGTCAAGCAGCCTGGGGCTTTGTGACTGGCTCTGCCACTTGGCGGGGTCACCCCGCATTTCCCTGGTGACTAAGGGTGCTCTGCGTCCTCTCCTGGGCTTGTTGGCCATTTGCAGGTCTCTAGAGAAATTCCGCCTTGTCTTTTCTATTTTTGAGTTTGAATCATTCTGTATATATTCCAGGTACAATCTCTAATTGTTTATGATTGGCATCTGATCACGGATGCTCCATGTAGGGAATGGCTCTGCCATGAAAGCCCAAGAACCCTGAGTGTGTCCACGTGGGCCATACAGGGAAGGCCTGGTCCATGGTGATCTCTGTCTGGGAGGGACTCAGGAGCCTCCCAGAGCCCCGAGGGCTGTGGCCTGTGAGGTGCTCCCTTGTGCCATGGCCCATCCATCTCTCTCCCCAGAGGGTGCCATGAGGCTGTTTCTCATCGCCTCTGGGTTCTGATGAGCTGTGGCGCCTCCTGCCCTGCCCTGCCCTGCCCTGCCCCACCATCGCCACCCTCAGAACAGAATGCAGGCTGTAAACCGCTTAGTGGTGGCCTGGATTGGCCTGCAGCAGTTTGCGTGGTGTCACCCTGCCCTTCTGTTTTCATGTATTTTAATTTATTTGCTGCTTAATCTGAGCAAAGGAAATGCCGCCTCTCTCTGTATCGACCAAACCCACCATGGCTTTCTCTTCCCACGGGTGAGTCTTGCTTTCCCGAGCTGTACGGGTCCCAAGCCGATGCCAGGCATTCAGCCAGTGGCCAGGAGTCCTTCCCCACTCTCCCTGCCCTCTGAAAGAGCAAATGAAGGGAATCCTTGAACCTCTGGGAAGCTGTAGCCCTTTTGTAAATGTGCAGCCCTGTGGCGGATGGGGGTCCCAGGAAAGGCCCAGGGCTTTGTCTGCAGAAACAGCTTTTTCCTGTGCTCTTTTGGGTAACTGGTCCTTCCTCAACACTGTTGATAGCAGCTGTGGCGCTGGGCTCCATGCAGCCTGCAGCAGAACAGGGTGTTTTTAGTCGTGGTGCCCTCTGTGTGGCACCTGCCAACGCCCCGCGTGTGTGAGTGGCGATCTGCGTCTGTGGGTGACGCGCATCACGGGGTGTGGAGAGGTGCACCTGTGCGGGATTTCCACGCCACCTCCACCCTCCACCCTCCACCCTCCACCCCACCTCGTGCCTTCCCAGGGAAGTCCTGCCTGTGCCTCTGCTGCCTTGGGAAGAGAAGGGGTCCCGGAGGAACTCACAGAGCGGTGGAAGGCATCAAAGAACCTCAGCTCCTCAAACACAGTGCCCGCTGCCTCCCTGCTTCCCGTCCACCTCACGGGGAACTAGGAATTCCCTCCTGTGTCTGGCGGAGAGAGAACCTGGCTAAGCATTGCGGCCGAAGGTTGCAGCCTCCTAGGAAATGTCCAATACAAAGGATAGACTGCAGGCTATTTTGATTTTACTCATTTTTTAACAGAACTTTTATGAAAGCAGATTTTACTTGGGTCTGGTGCCAGGATTTGTCTTTACTTGTCACATCAGCTGATGCCTCCCAGGTTTCGTAAGTCATCTGTTCTAAACTGGAAGCCAGGTGTCTTACATCAAAGCTTCCGGTATCTCCAGTTGCAGAAATTAGAAGAGGGTGGTTGAGGACCATGTCTTCCTGGGTGACGCCCTTGAGAAGATGTCACACCTGGGCCCTGTTTATTATATTTGGAGAAATGGGAGACGATGATACTTTAGAGGAACACAGATCCCATTCCAGCAACTATTTTAATCAGGGACTCTCAGGGGAGGGTGAGATTCCAACTTACAAATTGCAAATGTGCGATGTGCTGCACCCACTCACAAAAGACGTGTACCAGATCACAGTTGCGGCTCATTTCAAGGTAAAGCAGCCCTGAAAGACATGCAGAACCAGAGCGGTTGCAAGACCCAGACTGAGCAGACAGGGGAGGCTTCGCCTTCCTGTGTTTGCATGCACAGCCCGGACTGCATGGTGACTTACAGTGTATTTCTCATCCCAGGTCACAGTCTCAGAGTGTGAGAGCCCTGGGTCTCTGGGTCAGGTCTGAATGAACGCTCTTTCCTATGGGCCTTTTCCTGTCACTGCCCTGTGTATGTCAGACTGGCTAAGCAACACACATGTCTACCGGCATCGGTGAAGAGCGTCGTTGGCGTGCGAGGCTGTGTGTCTGAGCAGCTCCTCCCACCTTCCCCCGTCACGGGAGCCGCAGAGTTGCAAGACCCTGGGGAATGGAGGCTTTGTTGTTCGGTGGGTCCCACTTCATCGGGGTAGGCGGCAAGGCCAGCGGGCTGCAGCGTGTGCCTCGGATGTGGCGTCTGAGGGACAGCGAGTGGGTTGCCCGCAGGGGCCTTGCTTGCACTGGCTTAGAGAGCTAACAGCGTTTGGTGGGACTCAGTTTATCGTTCTTTCCCTGCTTTGAGGCAGGCCCTTGATGTGCAGGTGAAGTGCCCGTGGGCTGGCCGCGTAGCTTCCAGGTGTTTCTTCTTCCAGTGGGGTTGGCAGAACACGGCGTGAAGCTCTGCTGTGAAGATGCCGAAAACAGCGCCCCTCTCTGCTGAAGGGCTCGTTATCCGACTCTGCCTTAGCCCCGTCCTCTTCCTTCCTACCACACAGCGGGAGGCATGGGATGCACACAGGCGGGCTTCCACAGTCGGGGGGCCGCTGACAGGAGGAACCCCTCCCAGCAGCTTCAGGGTGCTTTTGGCCCAGCAGCCTGGGGCCTCCAGGACATGCCTCCTCTAAAGGGGTGTTAGGTAACTGCAGTTTTCTCCTCTCCTACTTACCGTTGCCAGAGTTTTTAAAAAGAAGGAGGCGAATACTTTCAAATGACTTATATAAAAATCTATATTTTAAATTTATTTCTGTAAGAAAAAAATTGGTTGGTACAAATATAGCAAAAATGTTAACATTTGTGAGATCTGGGTGATTTATTTCCTTACTCCAGTTTTCTGCACGTTTGAATTATTTCATAATGCCCCCCCCGCCTGTAAGTGGGTGTATCTGGAGAGGTGTCATCCTTCCTGAAGAGGGACAGTGGCTGAGCCACTTGTGACCAGGGAAGCCCAGCCCACACCTCCACGGCCCTGGCGCAGGGCGGGCGCGACTTAGTTCACGACAACCTAGTTTCTGCCCCCAGTTCCAACTTGGGGTCAGCCAGAGAACAGCAAGTACGCCCCCGTCCCCTTCTCCCCTTGCCAGCCCCACAGGCTGCTGCGCCTCCCGGGCGTGAGCCCACGCCGTCAGGCCCACAGCTGCCCTCCCAGCCCTCTTCCCCGGACCCCTTCCCGCCTCCCTGGCCCGGCTGGAGTCCCTGGGAGCCCGTGGAGGCGGCTGACCTGCAGGCTCGGAGTCCGTGGCTGCTGCTGCTTGTTCCAGTGGCTGTCGTTTGTTTCCACGGGGATTCATGTTGACATCTGTTACTCGTCCTCAAGTGAGCCCGTCTGCATGAAGGCACACCTTGGGGCTGCTGAGTCAGCCACATCCTTGACAGTTCCCCACAGCCCCTGTAGTGTGTCCTGTGTGTGAGCAAAAGCGCAGGCCAGATCCCAGACCCTCCTTCCATCCCCGGACTGGGCGCATTGGAGCAAATTCCTCCATGCTGCCTGCTCCGTCCTCTCCCTTGCCCTGTTCCTTTCCATGCTTTATTAACGGGGAAATGTGGGGAGGGTCAGAGGGCCAGTGAGGCCAGTGCTGCCCCTCAAAAGGCAGGTGTCTATGCTGCGTGACACTGAACGCTGCCTAAACCATCTGGATAATTGATCGGGTGTGAGTTTGCACGCTGTGCTCCGGCCTGCCTGGCGATGGTTCTGGGTTTGGTGTTGCGCTCTGTCAAGTAGGAAGTGATAGTAAATTCTATTTTATTTATTTATTTTTTTGAGACAGAGTCTCAATCTGTCGTCCAGGCTGAAATGCAGTGGCACTGTCCTGGCTCACTGCAACCTCCACCTCCCAGGTTCAAGCCATCCTCCTTGCCTCAGCCCCCCAAGTAGCTGGGACTACAGGCATGTGCCACCACTCCTGCCTAATTTTTGTATTTTTAGTAGAGACGAGGTTTCGCCATATTGGCCAGGCTGGTTTCAAACTCCTGACCTCAGGTGATCCACCCACCTTGGCCTCCCAGAGTGCTGGGATTACAGGCTTGAGCCCCCGCGACCAGCCGAGATGACCTGTCGGGTGAGAGGCTTCAGCTCCTGGCCTGAGATTAATATCTGACCAAATGCTGTGGTGCACACTGAGAGTGTCGCATCGTAGATCTTCTGAAACGCAGCGTCTTGCCCCTTGAGCCTCTCTGCACCGCGGGTTTGGAGTTCATGCTCCTGTGGCAGTGGCCTCAGGGGTGTTTGCTCCTTAGGGAAATTTTCCTCGACCACTGAACACAGGTCCTGGGCACCTGTCAGAAAGCCACACTGCCAGGCACCACCAAGCTCAGGCGCTGGCACCTGTCAGAAAGCCACACTGCCAGGCATGTGCACAAAGACTGTGTGTTTTCAGGCAGCAGTGGATCAATCCCAAATGTCAAAACTATCTTTAAAAAAATAACTAAGGCTGGGCATGGTGGCTCACGCCCGTAATCCCAGCACTTTGGAATGCTGAGGCGGGCAAATCACCTGAGGTCAGGAGTTTGAGACCAGCCTGGCCAACACGGTGAAACCCAGTCTCTACTAAAAATACAAAAATTAGCCAAGTGTGGTGGCATACACCTGTAATCCCAGCTACTTGGGAGGCTGAGGCAGGAGAATGGCTTGAACCCGGGAGGCGAAGGTTGCAGTGTGCCGAGATCACGCCATTGCACTCCAGCCTGGGGGACAAGAGCAAGACTTCGTCTCAAAAAATATATATAATAACATAATAATTAAGGGAAGGAGCCACAGAGGCTGCCCAGGTAGCTGCATTGATGCAATTTGTGGTGACATTTTCTCTGAGGCTGCTGTGCTGTGCGGTTACAGCTGCCCCTCTGCGAAGCCCCCTCCCGCTGGAAGGTGGGTGGGAAGGCTGCCGGAAGGCTGCCAGGATGCTGTGCGGTGCCAGGTCCTGAGCACACATATCAGGAGAAGGGATGTGAGACTTCCTCCCCCGTGGGCTCCATGCAGCCAGGAAGCCCTGCCGCTCCCTCCCCATGCGCTCCCCACACGCCGCTCACCGTGCCTTTCTCCCCCAACGCCAGATGTGGAATTCCTCTCGGAGGTGCTCTTATGGCACCCTGCACGGAGAGGCCTGGGCCTGGCCCCGAAGAAGGCACAGCCCATGTGCAGGCGCCTCTGTCTGGAAGGCATGCTGCGTCCATTTTACTGTTTCCCCAACCCTGTGGCACTCCTTCCTGTTCCTTCTTCTACAGTCTTCCGTGTGAATCGTGGAAATGAGTCAGATGGGCATGTTTAACATCATACCACACATACCTTTTGCAAAAATGTATTTTTTAGCGGCCAGGTGAGCAGCTGATGTGGTGGACAGAAAGCTCACCGGAGGCCCCAAGGCCTTGCAGCCTCCACGTGCCTCTCATCAGTGTGTGAGGTGCAGTAGGCGGAGGTTTGCTGAGCTTAGCGGCTCTGTGAGAGGAGGTCGTCCAGGTCAGCGGCTTTGAAAGCCCCGGCACACTCCAGCTCCCATGCAGTTATGCTGTGTAAGAAATGGCAACAGGGCCAAAACCTTGTAACTCTCTTCAGAGTTGGACGTAAAACACTGAGGTAGCTAGAAATACATTCTAAGTTGAGGTAATTTGGGGCATGGTGGCATGCCTGCAATCTCAGTGCTTTGGGAGGCTGCACAGGGAGCATTGCTTGAGCCCAGGAGTTCAAGGCTACGGTGCACTGTAACTGTCCCTGTGAACAGCCGCTGGAGTGAGTAGCCACTGGAATGAGTAGCCGCTGGTTTGAGGAGTAGCCACTGGAGTGAGTAGCCGCTGGAGTGAGGAGTAGCCGCTGGAGTGAGGAGTAGCCACTGGAGTGAGTAGCCGCTGGAGTGAGGAGTAGCCGCTGGAGTGAGTAGCCGCTGGAGTGAGGAGTAGCCACTGGAGTGAGGAGTAGCCGCTGGAGTGAGTAGCCGCTGGAGTGAGGAGTAGCCGCTGGAGTGAGTAGCCGCTGGAGTGAGGAGTAGCCGCTGGAGTGAGTAGCCGCTGGAGTGAGGAGTAGCCACTGGAGTGAGTAGCCGCTGGAGTGAGGAGTAGCCACTGGAGTGAGTAGCCGCTGGAGTGAGTAGCCGCTGGAGTGAGGAGTAGCCGCTGGAGTGAGTAGCCGCTGGAGTGAGGAGTAGCCGCTGGAGTGAAGAGTAGCCACTGGAGTGAGTAGCCGCTGGAGTGAGGAGTAGCCGCTGGAGTGAGTAGCCGCTGGAGTGAGGAGTAGCCCCTGGAGTGAGGAGTAGCCACTGGAGTGAGTAGCCACTGGAGTGAGTAGCCGCTGGAGTGAGTAGCCGCTGGAGTGAGGAGTAGCCACTGGAGTACGAGTAGCCGCTGGAGTGAGGAGTAGCCACTGGAGTGAGTAGCCGCTGGAGTGAGGAGTAGCCACTGGAGTAGCCGCTGGAGTGAGGAGTAGCCGCTGGAGTGAGGAGTAGCCACTGGGGTGAGTAGCCGCTGGAGTGAGGAGTAGCCGCTGGAGTGAGGAGTAGCCGCTGGAGTGAGTAGCCGCTGGAGTGAGGAGTAGCCGCTGGAGTGAGTAGCCGCTGGAGTGAGGAGTAGCCACTGGAGTGTGTAGCCGCTGGAGTGAGGAGTAGCCGCTGTGCTTCAGCTGGGACAGGGCAGCAATACCCCATCTTTAAAAAAAGTAATTAATTATTGTTTAAAAGTAAATAGTTTTCACTTCCTCGGAGATTTTCAGGAAGAGCTTTATATCTAAGTTTCTAGAATTTACACAGAAGACTGAAACAGAGAAGCACTTCTGACATCTAGGAATGACTTTTCCTGCCAGGCGCAGTGGCTCACGCCTGTCATCCCAGCACTTTGGGAGGCTGAGGCGGGCGGATCACCTGAGGTCAGGAGTTCGAGGCTAGCCTGGCCAACACACCATTTCTACTAAAAATACAAAATTAGCTGGACGTGGTGGCGCTTGCCTGTAATCCCACCTACTAGGGAGGCTGAGGCGGGAGAATTGCTTAAACCTGGAAGCGGTGGTTGCAGTGAGCCGAGATTTTGCCATTGCACTCCAGCCTGGGTGATGAGAGCAAAACTCTGTCTCATTAAAAAGAAAAAAAAAAAAGAATGACATTTTCCTCTAAGGTAGTAAAGAAAATCACTTGAGTCATTAAAGCATTAAACCAAAGGCAAGCTGAAAATCAGAGCAAGTTTGATGGTGGTAGTTGTACAGATGAGTGATATCTCTTGATGCCAAGGTGACTGTTAGGTTTCTAGAATGAGAAAGTGTGGAAATAATGATCTCGTGTGCAAACCATGCATGCCTTTCATTTGGCAAAAATACTTACAACATTTTTACTGAGGTATAATTCACATACTGTAAAATCCTCCCTTTTAAAGCATGCAATCCGTTGGTTCCAACTGGAAAATATTCAAAGTCGTGCACCCACCACCACCCTCCAACCCAGAAGGTTTTCATCCCCCAGTCAGAGGCGGTCGGCAGCCACCACCGCCCTCCAACCCAGAAGGTTTTCACCCCCGGGCAGGGGCCATCAGCAGCCATTTGCCCAGCCCCCGGCAGCCCCCGTCTCTGCGTTCGCCTTTTCTGGGCATTTCCTCAGAATGGACTCACAACATGGTGTTGCTTCACACATGGGATGCTTTCTGTCCCCACGCGTGTTGCTGTGGGTGTCGGCGCTTCCTTCCTTTCCGTGTATCCCTTCATCAGTGGACGCGCGTTTGGAGGCTGCCACCTTTGTCTTCCATGAACAGCGCAGCCGTGAACCTTCTCGCCGAATTTTTTGTGCCCCTCCAGGAGTCGCTCGAGATGTTTCCTTTGGTCGGTTTGTGTCCTATGGTCAGTCACATCAGCACAGGGTAGATTTTTACTTCAGCTGGAACTTGATGCCAGCCCTCCAGGGGACTTGCCACGTGGCTTTCTCGATGCAGTTTGGACAATGGGTTGTTAATGAGTCATTAGGAAACCTGTTACTTGACATAGACAGTTTGGTGCCTGGTTTCAGCTTTGCTTTGCTGATGGAAGCCTCTGGCCGTGGGTGGGTTCTGCTGCGAGGAGTTGCACAGGGCTGGCTGAGCTGTGTGGCTGATCCTGTCTGGGAACGCGGAGAGAGAGAGGCTGGGGTCTCCATCCTCCTGCCCTGGAGAGCTTCCCGACTACCCGTGTCTTTGCTCTGAATCCTGAAAACAGCCCCGTGTGATGTGACCCCGTCTTTTGTTTGTTTGTTTGTTCGTTTGTTTGAGACGGAGCCTCGGTCTGTCATCCAGGCTGGAGAGCAGAGGCGCCATCTTGTCACTGCAACCTCCACCTCCGGGTTCAAGCGATTCTCCTGCCTCAGCCTCCCAAGTAGGTAGGACTACAGGCGCCCACATGCCCGGCTAATTTTTGTATTTTTTTTTTCAGTAGAGATGGAGTTTCACCTTGTTAGCCAGGCTGGTCTTGAACTCCTGGCCTCAAGCGCTCCGCCTGCCTTCGCCTCCCAAAGTGCTGGGATTACAGACATGAGCCACCATGCCCGGCAGGGACCCCGTTTTGTCTATGTCCCCGTTTATGCACAGTATGTCTGGCCCTGGATTCAAGACCGGTGAGGTTCAGAAGTTACACGATTGAGGCTCCTGAGTTTGTTTTCGTTGCTAACTGTACAGAGAACCAGAATCCTAGGGCTGGGAGGACCACGAAGGTTGGGCCTCCTAATCCCTTCATGTCGCTGCTGACAACATTTGACGGACGCGTGGTGTGAGGCAGCCGCAGCCACAGAGCCAGTGAGCAGCAGGGACCGGGCGCCCTGTCCCCAGGCTGCTGTTAGTGACGGTGTCTGCATCCTCTGGGGGTCCAGCGTGTTTTCGGCTCTGTTCCTTTTGGGCAGTTTAGTCTTCCTAGAATTTGACCATGTGTGGGCTGCTCTGTCTATGGAGTAGCTGTTCTTTTATTCATTTGCTTTCTTAATAAACTTGCTTTCACTTTGCAAAAAAAAAAAAAAAAAAAGAATTTGAACATTTGTGGAGAATACAACACAAAGAGCTCCCTTTGGTTTGAAGTGTGAACCTGAAGAGACATGTATGTTTCCGACCTTCCTGATGCCCTGGGTGAGGCCGTCTAAGTGACCTCATGGCTTCAGGTCCTTTCCTGTTCCAATCTGGTGTCTGTTATGCTGACGAGGCCATCAGGCAAGGCCGCGCACTTGCCAGGCAAGGCCCACTGCATGTTGGCAGGCAGCCTGTTTTCTGAAGCCATGGCACAGACAAGAATACTCATTCCTACTTGTGTCGGGTTAAACGCCGCTACACTGTTGGGCTGTATCTGAGTTGTTTTTGATGTAATTATTTAATGATAAACGTCTGCTCGCCGGTGTTGAGACTTTGGAGTGGGCTTCATCCATTCATCCTGATCGTTCCTCCATGAGACAGGGTCCCTTTGTTGCTGGCTGGAAGCGGCCGGGAAGCGTGGGCTCGCTGTGGCATGGGCAATGCCACACGGCTCCAGGGAAGCGTTCAGCTTTCCAAACCAGTGTCTGGGCTCGTGGCCACTCCTGAAATTCAGTTGCCGTCTTTGAAGCTTCGAAGAAAGTTTCTAGGATTTTCACTTTTGTATTAAAAGATATCTGTATGCTTTTCTCTCTTTTTCTGGTTCACTTATATTCTTATTCAGTGCAATTTCCTGATTTCACGAGAATGAGAAGCATCTATTTGGCTATGTTCTGTGAAAACAAAGGAGCCAGGGACTTTGCTTAGCCTTTATAGGCAGCAGTTTATTTATGAAGCTCTTAGGATGCTTTTAAAGTCCACATCCCTGTGGTTTGTTGGCTTCACCACAAAATAGAGACAGCAGGGAAGGCCCCCGTCAGGCAGGGAGACCCAGTCCCGGAGGAGGAGGGCCCGTCCTCGTGGGGAGGGGCAGCCAGGCTGTGGCATGGTCAGGGCAGTGGGGCTGTGCTGCCCACCTGGCTTTGAGTCCAGGATGACGGTTACTGCATGGCCAGCAGGCTCGCGGGGAGGCCACGACCCAAGGTCGCGCTGAGGAAAACTGCGTCTGGCTCATTTGAGGGTGGAGTGTTCCTCCCTGGCCTGGTGGCTGCCTTGTACGTCTGTCCCCAGGAGCATGGAAGCCTCGGCTCCCCGTGGAAACACTGGTTGATAGTCTCAGCCAAACATCTCTGAAAACACAGTTGGGGCACATGGAGACTGCTGTGGTCTCTTTCCGTTATTTTACTTAGACTTTTCTGCAAAGCTGAGTCCTAATAAAAGAAATTGCAGGTGAATTACCGATGGAATTTATTAAAGCAAATGTGCAGACATTCACACAGCTCCTGTCCGGGACGTTCTGGGTGGGACAGTGTGGAAAGACTTCCTCTGAGAGGTTGGTAGGGGAGCAGAGGAGCTGATGACATCAAGTCCAAAAACAGCCCCATGAGGTTTATAAACAAGAGCACCACGCAGACAGGGACTCCAGACTGTTCAGACCCTGCCTGCCTTTTTTGGCTTTAAAAAACGAGAGTTCCCTGAAGCACCGAGGGGCAGCCCACACAGAGAGGACTTGGCCCTGAGCATTTACAAGTGTCTGTGCTGGGCCGGGCCCCTGGCCTTGTTCTGTTCCCGTTGCCTCATTTCATGCTCCAGGACCCTGAGAAAGTGCTGGTGTCCCCCTCATGGGTGAGAAGCTCAGCGGGAAACTGTCCCCGTGCCTGCGGCGAGGAGTGGCCCAGCAGCCAAGGGTCAGCCCTTCGACGGCAGTGCCCGCTCGTCCTTCCCGTCCCACTGCACCAGCATTCCCCTCATGGAGGAGGCTTCCGTCTCCTCTTCAGCTGTGTTTCTCATGCCCCAGAAAGGCTGATGTCTTGCAGTTCCTACAGAGAACTGGGGCGTGGGACGAGAGCCACACGCTAAGGCCCCGTATTCCGAGGTGGGCTCAGGGCCATGGCCAGGGCTGCGTATTCAGATGTGGCGTTTGGATTTCCCGTTACGAGCTAAAGTATTTTTGTGGTTTTAGTGCTGACATCAAATGGCCCGCCTGAGTGTTGTTGAAATATTTCTTGTCAGAGCTGTTTCCTTAACTCCTCCAAATACAGTGTTCCGAGTAATACAGAGATGGTCAGGCCCAAGTCAGCTTTGCAGGAGAGCCTTCCTGTTCCTGAGCAGACACCTAGCAGGGTTGAGCGACTCTTACCCATCTGCAGATGCAGGGCCGGTGACCCCACAGTGGGGCAAGAGCCTGGAGAGCTCTTGGCTTTGCCCAGGAAGGAATTCAAGGGCAAGCAGGAGGCGGAAGAAACAGCTTCATTGAAGAGGCTACAGCTCCCTGACTGCCCCTGCAGAGCGGGGCTGCCCTGTTAGGCGGAGAGGAGTAGCTCAGGGCAGATTTAATTGCATGCAGATTAAGGGGTGGTTTATGCAGAAATTTCTAGGAGAAGGATGTAACTTGTAGGCGATCGGGTCATTGCCATGGAAAGGGGCCGCAGCTCCTGGCTGTTGCCATGGCAATGGTAAACTGATATTCACACCGCGGGCATGTCTTATGGAAAGCTGCCTCTGCCCCAGCCCTGTTTTCACCAGTCCTCAATCTGGTCCGGTGTCCAAGCCCCACCTCTGGAGTCAAGTCCCGCCTTCTACCCCAGTATCATAGTTTTTCTTTCCTCTTCCATTAAAGACCTTTCCCAACATCACTGTCTCTTCTGTTTTGGAAGCCTTACGATTTGGCCACACGTTCTGTTCTTTTTTTTTTTTTTTGAGACAGAGTCTCGCTCTGTCCCCCAGGCTGGAGTGCAGTGGTGCTATCTCGGTCACTGCAAGCTCCACCTCCCGGGTTCACGCCATTCTCCTGCCTCAGCCTCCTGAGTAGCTGGGACTACAGGCGCCCACCACCACACCCGGCTAATTTTTTGTATTTTTTAGTAGAGACGGGGTTTCACCGTGTTAGCCAGGATGGTCTCCATCTCCTGACCTCGTGATCCGCCCATCTCGGCCTCCCAAAGTGCTGGGATTACAGGCGTGAGCCGCCGCGCCCGGCCGCGTTCTGTTCTTATGTACACGCCCTGAGCTGTTTCCACTGGCAGTCAGCTTTGAAGTTCACTGTGTGGCTCTCACAGGAGCGCAGACCCTCCTGGTGCTCACCAGAAGACCTTGGCCCATGAGGGCTGCGTAAGACAGGGTGGCTCGGGCCTGGGGTGCTGGGCCCCAGGTCTCCCTGCAGCCCTGAACGATGCTCTCAGCAGCAGGTACAGGTCTCCGTTCCGACGAACGTGCCTCAAGGCAACACTCTGGGCAAGAGCTTTTGATGCAGGTTCTGAGGCAGCTGCCTAACACCGCTCTCCTTTCCGCAGTGTGCAGGAGAAGAGAATTGGGTGGACAGCAGGACCATCTACGTGGGACACAGGGAGCCACCTCCGGGCGCAGAGGCCTACATCCCACAGAGATACCCAGACAACAGGATCGTCTCGTCCAAGGTAACTTGGCTTGGGTCTGAGTGTCCATAATGTGTCTAAAAAGCAGCTGCCGGGGGGTGTTAGTGCTTCTCGGTTTCAAAGAGCGGCTCTGCTCCTGGCCCTGCTGTCACAGCCACCAGCCACCCCCAGCAAGGGCTTCGGATCAGGACCTCACCGAGGGCGCTACTCTCTCCCTCTCGGTGACTGCCCACAGGAGGCTTTCCACCTGCCCAGGGCTCACAGCGCAGTGTCTCCATTCTCGGGTGACCGTGCCACAGAGGCAGTGCAGGTCTGAAGTCCAGGATCCAAACCCTACCCAGGTCCCACTTCTGAGGCGCCTGGCCACGTGCTTGTCGTGGGCCACCCTGGCCAGAGTCTCAGTGCCAGTAAGGTAGAAACGATACCAGCCACCCCGGAGAAAGAGCCAACAAACGCAGGCTGGACAGCAAAACCTGGGGGGAAATCTTTGAGCTTGTTCACGAGGTGCAGCCCAGGTAAAGCGTAGGAAGCACAAGCAGAGTGCCGCGGTCTAAACGAAGCGTGTTTCTCTCCATGGACTAGAGCGTGGAAGTGCACACACATTTCCCACGTTCAGAGAGTGACCTGGAAACAGGTCTTAAGAACAAGGTGGAAATTTAGCTGCTGCCATTAAACATGGGGTAAACTGTGCTTTCCAGGTAATGCGGAACGCACGTGCCTGCGTTCAGACTCCATTTATCTTCACCGTCCTTCAAAATGGATGAGCTAAACCCACGCACACGCGTGGACGGGCTGCACATGGGGTAAACTGTGCTTTCCAGGTAATGCGGAACGCACGTGCCTGCGTTCAGACTCCATTTATCCTCACCGTCCTTCAAAATGGATGAGCTAAACCCACGCACACGCGTGGACGGGCTGCACATGGGGTAAACTGTGCTTTCCAGGTAATGCGGAACACACGTGCCTGCATTCATACTCCATTTATCTTCACCGTCCTTCAAAATGGATGAGCTAAACCCACGCACACGCGTGGACGGGCTGCACATGGGGTAAACTGTGCTTTCCAGGTAATGCGGAACGCACGTGCCTGCGTTCAGACTCCGTTTATCTTCACCGTCCTTCAAAATGGATGAGCTAAACCCACGCACACGCGTGGACGGGCTGCACATGGGGTAAACTGTGCTTTCCAGGTAATGCGGAACGCACGTGCCTGCGTTCAGACTCCGTTTATCTTCACCGTCCTTCAAAATGGATGAGCTAAACCCAGGCACACGCGTGGACGGGCTGCACATGGGGTAAACTGTGCTTTCCAGGTAATGCGGAACGCACGTGCCTGCATTCAGACTCCGTTTATCTTCACCGTCCTTCAAAATGGATGAGCTAAACCCAGGCACACGCGTGGACGGGCTGCACATGGGGTAAACTGTGCTTTCCAGGTAATGCGGAACGCACGTGCCTGCATTCAGACTCCATTTATCTTCACCGTCCTTCAAAATGGATGAGCTAAACCCACGCACACGCGTGGACGGGCTGCACATGGGGATGCCTGTGGCGGCCCACCATTCACACGTGTGCCCTCACCTGTAGACGCATTTAATTTACATTGGGTGTCCTGCCGTGTAAACTTCTGTGGAGACCTACTTAATTCACACCAAGTGTCCTGATGTGTAGACCCCTGCGATAGACCTACTTAATTCACACCGGTGTCCTGACGTGTAGACCCCTGTGGAGACCTACTTAATTCACACCGGGTGTCCTGATGCGTAGACCCCTGTGGAGACCTACTTAATCCACACCGGGTGTCCTGATGCGTAGACCCCTGTGGATACCTACTTAATTCACACCGGGTGTCCTGATGCGTAGACCCCTGTGGAGACCTACTTAATTCACACCGGTGTCCTGACGTGTAGACCCCTGTGGAGACCTACTTAATTCACACCGGGTGTCCTGATGCGTAGACCCCTGTGGAGACCTACTTAATTCACACCAAGTGTCCTGATGTGTAGACCCCTGTGGATACCTACTTAATTCACACCGGGTGTCCTGATGCGTAGACTCCTGTGGATACCTACTTAATTCACACCGGGTGTCCTGATGTGTAGACCCCTGTGGAGACCTACTTAATTGACACCGGGTGTCCTGATGCGTAGACTCCTGTGGAGACCTACTTAATCCACACCAGTGTCCTAATGTGTAGACCCCTGTGGAGACCTACTTAATTCACACCGGGTGTCCTGATGTGTAGACCCCTGTGGATACCTACTTAATTCACACCGGGTGTCCTGATGCGTAGACTCCTGTGGATACCTACTTAATTCACACCGGGTGTCCTGATGTGTAGACCCCTGTGGAGACCTACTTAATTGACACCGGGTGTCCTGATGCGTAGACCCCTGTGGAGACCTACTTAATTCACACCAAGTGTCCTGATGTGTAGACCCCTGTGGATACCTACTTAATTCACACCGGGTGTCCTGATGCGTAGACTCCTGTGGAGACCTACTTAATCCACACCGGGTGTCCTGATGTGTAGACCCCTGTGGAGACCTACTTAATTCACACCGGTGTCCTGACGTGTAAACCCCTGTGGAGACCTACTTAATTCACACCGGTGTCCTAATTCACACCGGTGTCCTGATGTATAGACCCTTGTGGAGACCTACTTAATTCACACCAGTGTCCTCATGTGTAGACCCTTGCGGAGACCTACTTAATTCACACTGGGTGTCCTGATGCGTAGACTCCTGTGGAGACCTACTTAATTCACACCGGATGTCCTGATGTGTAGACCCCTGTGGAGACCTACTTAATTCACACCAAGTGTCCTGATGTGTAGACCCCTGTGGATACCTACTTAATTCACACCGGGTGTCCTGATGTGTAGACCCCTGTGTAGACCTACTTAATCCACACCGGGTGTCCTGATGTGTAGACCCCTGTGGAGACCTACTTAATTCACACCAAGTGTCCTGATGTGTAGACTCCTGTGGAGACCTACTTAATTCACACTGGGTGTCCTGACGTGTAGACTCCTGTGGAGACCTACTTAATTCACACCGGGTATTCTGACATGTAGACCCCTGTGGAGACCTACTTAATTCACACTGGTGTCCTGACGTGTAGACCCCTGTGGAGACCTACTTAATTCACACCGGTGTCCTAATTCACACCGGTGTCCTGATGTATAGACCCTTGCGGAGACCTACTTAATTCACACCGGTGTCCTCATGTGTAGACCCTTGCGGAGACCTACTTAATTCACACCGGGTGTCCTGATGCGTAGACTCCTGTGGATACCTACTTAATTCACACCGGTGTCCTGATGCGTAGACTCCTGTGGAGACCTACTTAATTCACACCTGTGTCCTGATGTGTAGACCCCTGCGGAGACCTACTTAATTCACACCGGGTATTCTGACATGTAGACTCCTGTGGAGACCTATTTAATTCACACCGGGTGTCCTGATGTGTAGACCCCTGTGGAGACCTACTTAATTCGCACCTGGCATCCTGACGTGTAGACTCCTATGTAGACCTATTTAATTCACACCGGGTGTCCTGGCGTGTAAACCCCTGTGTAGATCTACTTAATTCACACCCAGCATCCTGACCTGTAGACCCCTGTGGCGACCTACTTAATTCACACCCGGCATCCTGACGTGTAGACTCCTATGTAGACCTATTTAATTCACACCAGGAGTCCTGATATGTAGATCCCTGTGGAGACCTACTTAATTCACACCTGGCATCTTGACGTGTAGACTCCTATGTAGACATACTTAATTCACATTGAGCATCCTGACATGTAGACCCCTGTGTAGACCTACTTCATTTACACCAGGTGTCCTGATGTGTAGACCCCTGTGTAGACCTACTTAATTCACACCGGGTGTCCTGATGTATAGACCCTTGTGGTAGACCTACTTAATTCACACCGAGTGTCCTGATGTGTAGACTCCTGTGGAGACCTACTTAATTCACACCAGGTGTCCTGATGTGTAGACCCCTGTGGATACCTACTTAATCCACACCGGGTGTCCTGATGCGTAGACTCCTGTGGAGACCTCCTTAATCCACACCAGGTGTCCTGATGTGTAGACCTCTGTGGAGACCTACTTAATTCACACCGAGTGTCCTGACGTGTAGACCCCTGTGGAGACCTACTTAATTCACACCGGTGTTCTGACATGTAGACCCCTGTGGAGACCTACTTAATTCACACCGGTATCCTGACATATAGACCCTTGCGGAGACCTACTTAATTCACACCAGTGTCCTGATGTGTAGACCCTTGCGGAGACCTACTTAATTCACACCGGGTGTCCTGATGCGTAGACTCCTGTGGATACCTACTTAATTCACACCGGTGTCCTGACGCGTAGACCCCTGTGGAGACCTACTTAATTCACACCGGGTATTCTGACATGTAGACCCCTGTGGAGACCTACTTAATTCACACCGGGTATTCTGACGTGTAGACCCCTGTGGAGACCTACTTAATTCACACCGGGTGTCCTGATGTGTAGACCCCTGTGGAGACCTACTTAATTCACACCGGGTGTCCTGATGTGTAGACTCCTGTGGAGACCTACTTAATTCACACCGAGTGTCCTGACGTGTAGTAGACCCCTGTGGAGACCTACTTAATTCACACCGGTGTCCTGATGTGTAGACCCCTGTGGAGACCTACTTAATTCACACCTGGCATCCTGACGTGTGGACTCCTATGTATACCTATTTAATTCACACCGGGTGTCCTGGCGTGTAAACCCCTGTGTAGATCTACTTAATTCACACCCAGCATCCTGACCTGTAGACCCCTGTGGCGACCTACTTAATTCACACCCGGCATCCTGACGTGTAGACTCCTATGTAGACCTATTTAATTCACACCAGGAGTCCTGATATGTAGATCCCTGTGGAGACCTACTTAATTCACACCCGGCATCCTGATGTGTAGACTCCTATGTAGACCTATTTAATTCACACCAGGAGTCCTGATATGTAGATCCCTGTGGAGACCTACTTAATTCACACCCGGCATCTTGACATGTAGACTCCTATGTAGACATACTTAATTCACATTGAGCATCCTGACGTGTAGACCCCTGTGTAGACCTACTTAATTCACACCGGGTGTCCTGCCATGTAGACTTCTGTGTAGACCTACTTAATTCACACCGGGTGTCCTGATGTGTAGACCCCTGTGGAGACCTGCTTAATTCACACCGGGTATTCTGACATGTAGACTCCTGTGGAGACCTACTTAATTCACACCGGGTGTCCTGATGTGTAGACCCCTGTGGAGACCTGCTTAATTCACACCGGGTATTCTGACATGTAGACTCCTGTGGAGACCTACTTAATTCACACCGGGTGTCCTGATGTGTAGACCCCTGCGATAGACCTCCTTAATCCACACCGGGTGTCCTGATGTGTAGACCCCTGCGATAGACCTCCTTAATCCACACCGGGTGTCCTGATGTGTAGACTCCTGTGGAGACTTACTTAATTCACACTCAAGCATCCTGGCATGTAGACCCCTGTGGTTCTTAATTATTTATGTGCTCTTGAAGAGTTGCACATTTTTAAAGAATATTTTACAACAGAAAAGGTCACCTTTTCAAAGCCTTTTTTATGGGATTAATTTGTAACTACAGGATTGCAAAAAATTTTAATAGCTTTAACCTCTAGAAACAGGATATGTAAATGCTGAAAAACAAAGTCCCAACCAGATAAGTCCTGTGGGTGGTTTCCCAGTCATGATTCATGGAAGGAGAAATGTACTGATGAGAAATCACATCCAAAATATTGTCTCTGCAGTGGTAATACTTACAAAGTCGACGCAGTCTCAGGCGGAGCTCACTGAAGATGGTTTCCAAGCTTATATGTACTTCACCCATCCCCCACCCTCCAGCCCAAAACAAATCCCAAACATACTGCTTAGAACTCAGCCTGCGCAGCCCAGAGGTACAGAGAGGCAGGAAGCACCCAGGTGTCCACATACGGTGCCATTGTGGACTTGTAGGGCAGGATTCCAGGATATGGGTGATGGGCGTGTGGAACCGCGGCGCCCCCTGCACAGTGTGGCTCATTTGAGCCGGATGGGGGCCGTGAAGGCATCACCCAGCCTGCCCCCTGGGAGCTGGCTTCTCCCTTCCTGGGGCGGAGCTCGCCCGACAGCCCCACATGCCTGGTTCTCCCTGCAGATGAGGGTGCTGTGTGGGGTCACAGGGAAGAAACCAGCAGCAGCGGCAGAGCTTGATCCAGGCATTGGAGGAGGGTCCTGGTACCCCTGGCAGGGGCTGGCGGGAAGCTGCACTTCTGTCATTGCCCATGGCGGCTTTGGAGGAGATGACAGAGCATGGCGAATTCTGCCTCCCACTCCTGACCCCTCTGCTGTGTCATTCAAGTTTTGTCCTTTTCCTACTGTCCGTTTCGAACGTCACTGCAGGCAGTGGCCTCGGTGGCTTCGCTCCGCCTGGCCCTGCTCCCTGGCTCTGTGCTACCCTCTCTCCCCCTCGGCTGGGCCCTTCCTCTCCGCTGCTCCCTGTGGAACTGGAGCCCCTCAAGGTCTCTTCAGTTTCTGATCCGGGGAGCCCTGCAGGTTGTCAGGATGGGTTTTGTGGGCTTATTGCTGCTTTCCAGGACCTTTGAGAAGCCGTAAGTCTCCTTCCTACCAGGAAGCCCTCACTCAGGAACGCACAGACCGGGGTCAACAGGCTCTCAGGAGCGCCGTCTGCGTGCAGGTGGAGGGTGTGGCGGGGCCAGGAGAGCACTTGGCCGCCTTTCATCTCAACCTCTGAGGACAGAAGGGGGCTCTCAAATCCGCCCATGCATTGAGATCTTCGCTCTTCACAGAGGTGGGATTAGTAGCTTAGTCTCAGTTTCAAGTGGATGAGGTTGTGTAATTTCAAGGGAAAATTACATCCGGCAATACCTCTTTTGCTAATGGAACTCAGGAAGGAAAGGCCCTCAGAAAGGCTGGAGTCTGGAATCTAGGCAGGTAGCTGGCCTGACAGTAACCTTGATCCAGGTAAACCAAAGTGGAATTCTCGAGCCTGGAATTGATGACTCATAATTGTTTTCATTTAACAGCTCAGGATGTGTGAAAAAAAAATGCTGTTTAATTTGTAAGACCTAAGTTTACGACTGATTTTGGAGAATACATTTGTGATAATGTATCTATGTTTTCCTGGGGTGGCGGAGGAAATGATTTCTACCTAAAAAAAAGAAATGCTAGTAGTTAAGACTTTTTAAGTGCCACAGAAGCTTGTTCTCAGCAAGTTTGCTTTTATGAAATCAAAGGATGAAAGCCTTTGTCATGGAAGAAGTCGTAATAGAGGATGAAAATGCTGTCGGGTTATTTTTAACTTCTCATCTGTTTGACGGAAGTGCAGTTACTGGTGATAGGTGATGATAGAGTTTGTTTCCTTCTTGGGGGAGAGACTTTGGGCAGTGTCAAAACCTGAAATGACAGCCCAGCACGCCCCGTTCCCTGCTTCCTGTGCTGTGCAGAGCTCCCCCAGGCCTGCTTGCACCCCCCACGTGGGGAATCCTGAACTCCACAAAGGGATGGATCACTGCATGCCTCCTTTTCCAGATTTGTACTTTGGGGCACAGAATTCACATGGTTCCCAGCTTTGCCCACAGGAGGCTACAGAATTAAATGTTGGCTTAGACTATACTGTCCCTCCATGCCTTCAAGAAAGTTGAATCCTTCTGGTAATTGGGGAGAAAAAATTCCCTCTGCAATTCGTAGGTATAGCCAGTGTTTTCATGACTTCTATTTGTATAAATGATTTCCATGTTTATTATATCATGTAATCTCTAAAACAACCCTGTGAGCCCACCAATACTGATTATTACCAATGTATCCATGAGGAAGCTGAGGCTTAGAGCTCAGTCATGTGCCTGAGGCCACAGAAGAGGATAGAGCCCCTGTAGTCTGGCACTGGGCTTGGACTTCCTTCCGCAGAGCCAGGGGCCCTTTCTTTTCATTTTTGAGACAGAGTCTCTCTCTGTGCCCAGGCTGGAGTGCAATGGTGCGATCCTGGCTCACTGCAACCTCCACCGCCCGGGTTTAAGTGATTCTCCTGCCTCAGCCTCCCAAGTAGCTGGAACTACAGGTGCCCACCACCACACCTAGTTAATTTTTATGTTTTTAGCAAAGATGGGGTTTTGCCATTGTTGGCCAGGCTGGTCTTGTACTCCTGACCTCAGGTGATTCACCCGCCTCGGCCTCCCAAAGTGCTGGGTTTACAGACGTGAGTCGCCGCGCCCATCCAGGGGCACGTTTCTTAACAGCCCCTCTGGGTGCTCACGAATTTCCGGCATCAGCAATCCACCATCCTGGCATAATTTTCTGTGTTTTGCATCCCTGCCTCCCGGTCATAAACAAAAGAGTGACCTCAGTTCCATGCGAGTGGCTGCTTGTCCCAAGCAGATGGGTGTCCGGCGTCCCCGCCTTTTTCAGGACTGTCAGGTGGGCCCTGTGGTGCTGGAGCTGTGTTCAGGTGAACACTAGTTGAGGCTTCAGACAGCTTGTAGGTGCTCCTGCGGGCGCCTGGGCTGCTGGCAGGGGACAGTGCCCGGGTTCGTCTCGCAGCCAGAGGCCAGAGGCAGGCCAGGTGAGGCCATGCTCTTCCCTGTCTGCACACCACACTGCTGGCAAGTAACACAAAACAGAGACTGGCTACCCCAAGGGGCAGGAGGCAGCGGAAACCTGAGGCTCAGACACTAGTGAGGCGTTCCAGCTCAGGGCCAAAATCAGAGCCAGGGCAGCTGTGGACTCTGGCTATGGCGTCTGTCGTACAAGTGAGAAACGAAAAGAATGACTGTCCCGTGTCATTCAGCAAAACACATGGTGTCTTTGGAGGTGAAGAGAGGTGCCAAGCACCACTCGGTTTTCCCAGATTTCCTGTAGGAGGAAAACCACTTGGTTCTATGCTGTGGCTTTCACGCCAGGAGCTCCTAGGATTGAGGACGTCTACTGATTGTATCACAGTCGAAGGGCCCAGTGTTACATTACATTGTGTCCCCAGGCAAATACTTACATTTTTACAATTCAACAACGATGAGCGAAGGATAACTGTCCACCATTGTCAGCCTTCCCACTCTAACGTGTGGAATAAAATGCTCATTTCAGTTGATTGTATCCCGATGGTACTGCTGTGTCAGTGCAGTCACGACCCTTTAAATGAGTTCCCTGGGATTTCACTTTTCTTGTTAGACATCACCAGGAATTAATAACCCTCCTTTTGACAATAGTAGTGGTCAGCAGTAATAACTTACTCTGTGAAACATAGAGATTACACAGCATCATGGGGCTTGGCTGCAGCCCTCAGTGCCTGATTAGAATAAAGCAATTGAGGCCAGGCGCAGTGGCTCACACCTGTAATCCCAGAACTTTGGGAGGCCGAAGCGGGCGGATCACGAGGTCAGGAGTTCTAGACAAGCCTGGCCAACATGGTGAAATCCTGTCTCTACCAAAAAATAAAAAATTAACTGCGTGTGGTGGCGGGCGCCTGTATTTCTAGCTACTCGGGAGGTTGAGGCAGGAAAATCGCTTGAACCCGGGAGGCAGAGGTTGCAGTGAGCCGAGATTGTGCCAACGCACTCCAGCCTGGGTGACAGACAGAGTAAGACCCTGTCTCAAGAAAAGAAAAGAAAAAAAGAATAAAGCAATCATGCAGGTGGTTTCAAATTCCAAAGCTGTACAGTAACATTCAAATATGGCAAGGCCCTGCCAGGTGCGGTGGCTCACGCCTGTAATTCCAGCACTTTGGGAGGCTGAGGCAGGTGGATCACCTGAAGTCAGGAGTTCAAGATCAGCCTGGGCAACATGGTGAAATCCCGTCTCTATTAAAAATACAAAAATTAGCCGGGCATCTTGGGGGGTTGCCTGTAATCCCAGCTACTCGGGAGGCTGAGGCACGAGAATCGCTTGAACCTGGGAGGCAGAGGTTGCAGTGAGCCGAGATGGCGCCACTGCACTCCAGCCTGGGCGACAGAGTGAGACTTCATCTCAAAATAAATAAATAAATAAGTTATGGCAAGTCCATGAGTTTGCACAGCCTTCCAGGCCTGATGGAAGTAGATCTGCATGTTTGGAAGGATTGCAGATCATATTTTATCTCATAAATATTACCAGAACTTCCTCGTGTAACATGGGAACTTTCAAAACCATAGAGAGGAGCATTGTAAATCTCTGTGGCTCGTCTCCACTGTCACAGTTCCCAGCTTGTGGCCAGCCTGTTGCATCTGCACCTTCACTGTAGTTCCAAGGGTCCTTTGGAAGGAATCCTGGACAGCGTGTACTTTTCATCTGAAAGTACTTCAGTAAATGAAAGGTGGAATTTTAAGTAGACTCTTTTTTCATTAATGTGACTTTGTTACTGAGTGATGTATTATAGAAATTTGTGGAAACGTATAATTGTAATAAATTTGTTGGCTTGGATGCTGGAAAGTAAGACTGGCCTCACATGGGTGAGCTAAGGTATTTCTTTAATGTATCCTTTTAAAAGCTAATGGAGAGTAACTGACTTTTTCATTGTGGCCCATTTGAGAGAAAATATATCTTTCTCAAATATTTAAAAAGGTCGATCACATGTGTAATGTTTGCCAAGTTGTATACACAAGAAAACTAGAACTCAGAATCATTAAATAATTTGCTGAAGTTTACATGGTTTTTAAATGGCAGGGTCAGGATCGAATATGGGGACTGACTCTGAAGTCTATGTGTTTCATAGTATGCTAAAGAGTAAATATTTCCAGAATTTCGATAGAGTACCTAAATTATCTTGAGGTGGGGTTAGCAAATTGTGAATTAAGATTGTGGTTTTTGTAAAGGAAGAAAGTGCCTATACTTTTATTGGCAATCTGGTGTTTTTGTTTGCTTTTTTTCTGAATGAGAAACAAAAGAAATGAAGAGCTAGCCATGTGTTCTCTACTCTGTCTCAGTTTGTATGGCTACTTTTCCATCCAGAGCTCTTGCCTTTTGGTTCTCAATTTGGTTGCATTCCCATGAAGAAAACCTAGTGTGGCAGGCAGAAGGATGGCCTCCCACAGATGTCCACATCCTGATCCCCAGAACCTCTGACTATGACACTGTCTGTGGCCAGGGAATCAAGATTGCCAAACAGCTGACATTAAAATAGGGAGGTGATTATAGAACTATTCATGTGGCCAAAAGTAACCACAGAGGCACTTGTAAGTGGAAGAGGGAGGCAGAACAGACTGTCCGAGCTACGACTGGCTTCAGAGGTTGAAGGGGACCAAAGGATGTAGGCAGCCTCTGCAGGAAGCAAGAAAAGGCAAGAAAAGTTTCTCCCTGGAGCCTCCAGGAAGGAACCAGCCCTGCTGATACTTTAATTTTAACCCAGTGAATCCCATTGCAAACTTCTGACCTCCAGAACAGTAAGGTAATAAATTTGCATTGTTTTAAGTCACAAAGTGGAATTTGTTATAGCAGCATAAGAAACTCATACACCTGTCCTAACTACTTTGGGGATTTATAATACAGACTGTACGGAGATTGACGCGGTGTCAAAGGACCCGTGACCTTGAGACATGCCCATAGAATCATACACCTGCCCTAGCCACATCGGGGATTTGTAATACAGGCTGCTCAGAGACTGACGTGGTGTGCAAAGGACCCGTGACCTTGAGACATGTCCATAGAAACTTTCCAAACTGAAGAGCAAAGAGGAAAAAAGAGTGAAGAAACAGAACAGAACTGTGGACAACTACAATAGGTGAAGCAGGCCAGGCACGGTGGTCACGCCTGTAATCCTGGCGCTTTGGGAGGCTAAGGTGGGCAGATCACCTGAGGTCAGGAGTTTGAGACAAGACTGGCCAACATGGTGAAACCCCGTCTGTACTGAAAATACAAAAAATAAAAATTTTTTTTAAAAAAATTAGCCAGGTGTGGTGGCAGGTGCCTGTAATCCCAGCTACTTGGGAGGCTGAGGCACAAGAATCCCTTGAAGCTGGGAGGCAGAGGTTGCAGTGAGCCAAGATAGCACCACTGCACTCCACCCTGGGCAGCCAGAGTGAAAACTCCATCTCAAAAAAAAAAAAAAAAAAAAAGGTAAACCATATATGCATAATGAAAAAAACAAAAGAAGAGAGAAGAAATATCTCCAGTAAAAGTGGCTATTTCCAAAATTAATGGCAGATGCCAAACTACCGATCCAGGAAGCTCAGAGATAAATACAAAAGCAGAATAAATTTTTTAAAAAGGGTACACCTAGACATATCACATTTAAATTGCAGAAAATTAGACTCAGAAAAAATCTTGAAAGAAGCCACAGGAAAAGAACATTTTACCTGCTGAGAAACAAGGGTAAGAATTATATCAAACTTTCTTCCAGAAACCATCTAAGGAAGAAAAGAATAATGTAAAATATTTAAAGTGTTGAAAGAAAAAGCCAGCAACCCAGAATTCTGTATCTCATAAAATTATCCTTCATTCGTGAAGGAGAAATAAAGACTTTTTCAGGCAAACAAAAATTGAGCGAATTCATTGCCAGTAGACCTCCCTTGCAAGAAATGTTAAAAGTTCTTCAGAAAGAAGGAAAATTATATAGGTCAGAAATTCAGGTCTACTTAGGAAAGAAGAACACAGCACTAAAGTGTGAGTTTTTGTGCTGTTACAACAGAATACCACAGACTGGGTAATTTATAGAGAAGAGACATTGATTTCCCCACAGTTCTAGAGTCTGGGAAGTCCAAGATCAAGACACTGGCAGGTTTGGTGTCTGGTGAGGGCCCCATCTCTGCTTCCAAGATGGCTCCTTGAGCACTGCATCCTCTGGAGTGGGGGAAGGCTGTGTCCTTATGTGGCAGAAGGCAAAAGGGCAAAGGGGCAAACTCCCTCTGCCGAGCCCTTTTATACAGGCACCTAATCCCATTCATGAGGGAGGAGCCCGCATGGCGGAATCAGAACTCTTGAAGGCCCCGCCTCCTGGGACCGTGACTAGTTGTCACATTGGCAACACCTGAATTTTGGAGGGGACACATTCAAACCATAGCAAGAAGGAATAAGTGAAGGTAGTAAAATTAAATATTTTGCTTTTTTGTTGTTTTTTATTTCTTTTAGAGACGTGATCTCACCATGTTGCCCAGACGGGTTTAGAACTTCTGGGCTCAAGGGATCCACTGCCTCAGCCTCCTGAAGTGCTAGGATTACAGGGCACAGCACCCAGCTTGCTTTTCGTGTTCTTAATTGGTCTAACAGAGAGTACTTTATTCAGAATGATAATAGCATTTACTCAGTGGTGATTGCTCAGGGGTGAATGAAATGTATGACAGCAGTGCCCTGGGGGGCAAGAAGGAACTGGGCATGCTGTTGCGAGGAATCTGCGCCACACACACAGTGCGGGTTATGTGAGAGTGGGCGTATATTGTGGCCTCTAGTGCAACCACTAAGTAATTTTTTTAAAAAATAAGTATAGTTGATATTCTAAGACAGGAGAGAAAATAGTCACATCAAATGCTTAATTAAAACCCAAGATGGCAGGAAAAGAGTATAAGTCACAAAAGAAACAAAGACTATGAAGAAAGGAATAAAAGTCAGTTACAAATATGGTAAATATTAATCCAGCTATATTAATAATCACTTTAAGTGTGAATTGTCTAAATAAACCAAATACAGAAACTGTCAGAATAGAAAAAACAAGACCTAACCATATGTTGTGTGCAGGAAAGGCACTTTAAATATAAAAACACGGGTTTAAGAGATAGAGGAAGATGTACCATGCTGCTACTACTCAAAGGGACACAAGATTAGCTATATTAATTTCAGACAAAGCAGACTTCAGAACAAGAGAAGTTACCAGGGATAAAGAGGGGCATTGCCAAACAACAAAGAGGTCAGTTCTCCAAGACAACATAACAATTCTCAAAGTCTCTGTAACAACAGAGGGTCAAAATATGTGAGGCAAAAACGGATAGAACTGGAAAGAGAAAGAAAATCCACTGTTATATTTGGACACTTCATGACCTCTGTCCACAGGCAGAAAATCAGTAAGGACACGGTTGAACTGAACAGCACCATCAGTCCCTTGGATCTAATGGACCTTTATGTCTCACGCGTCCATGTGAAGAGAGTCCACCAATAGGCTTTGTGTGAGCAACAAGGCTGTTTATTCACTTGGATGCAAGTGGGCTGAGTCCGAGAAAGGAGTCAGCAAAGGGAGATGGAGGTGGGGCAGTTCTATAGGATTTGGGTATGTAGTGGAAAATTACAGTTAAAGGTGGTTATCCCTTGTGGGCAGGGGCGGGGGTCACAAGGTGCAGGGTGGGGAGGTCATGAGACTCATTGTCCAGGGGGGAATGTCACAAGGTTGATTGATTAGTTGGGGTGAGGCAGGAACAAATCACAAAGGTGGAATGTCATCTTTTGTGGTTCTTCAGTTGCTCCAGGCCATCTGGGTGTATATGTGCAGGTCACAGGCTTAGCTTGGGCTCAGAGGCCTCACAATTTATAAAATACTTCATTCAACAATAGCAGACCACACATTCTTCTCAAGTTCACATGGAACATTTGCCATGACAGATCACATTCTGGGCCATAAAATACACCTTAGCACCTTTTCAAAGAATAGAAATCATACCAAGTACTCTTTCAGACCACAGTAGAATTAAACTAGAAATAAATAAATAACAAAGTTAACTGGAAAATCCCAAAATATTTGGAGATTAAACAAAACACTACTAAATAACACATGAACCAAAGAAGTCTCAAGAGGCATAAAAATATTTTAAGCTAAACAAAAAATATAACTTATCAAATCTTGTGGGATGCAGGAAAAGCAGTGCTTAGAGGGAAATTTATAGTATTGACTACATAGATTAGAAAAGAAGAAAGATCCAAAATCTACAAGCTTCAACATTAGGAAACTTAACAAAAAATTAATAATCAACATTAGAACAGAAATTAATGAAATTGAAAACAGGAAATCAGAGAAAATTTTAAACATCAAAAGCTGGTTCTTTGAAAAAAAAAAATCAATAAAATCAATAAAACTTTAGCCAGGCTAAACAAGAGGAAAAGAAAAGAGACACAAATTCCAAACATCAGAAATAAAGGAGGGGCATCACTACTGGTAACATGGCTAATAAAAAGATTAAAAGGAATATCATGAACAGCCCTACACCCATAAACTTGGTAACTTAGATAACATTGGCCAGTTTCTTGAAAAACGCTATCTACCAAAACTCAAACAAGGAGAAATATAATCTGGGTGGGCCTACATCAATTAAAAGAAATGGAATCCGTAATTAATACTCTTCCAAAACGGAAAGCACAAGACTCAGATGTTTTCACTGGTGAATTCTACCAAACATTTAAGGAAAAAAAAAAAAATCAATTCTCTACAATCTCTTCCAGGTAATAGAAGCGGAAGGAACATTTTCTAATTCGTTCTATGAGGCCAGCATTACCCTAAAACCAAAACCAGAAAAAGATATTACCAGAAAGACGATATCACACACCAGTATTTCTCATGAACATAGAAGCAACGATTCTCAATAAAATATTAGCAAGTCCAATTCAACAATGTATAAAAAGAATTATACACCATGACCAAGTGGGTTTATCCTAGGTATGCAAGGCTGATCCAACATTTGAAAATCGACTAATATAACCCATATTTACAGGCTAAAAAAGAAAACTTACATGATTATATCAATAGGTGCAGAAAAAGAATTTGACAAAATTCACTACCCACTCATGTACTGCAGCAAACTAAAAACAGAGGGGAATTTCCTGAGCTTCATAAAGAGCATCTCCGAAAAGCCCTACAGCTGACGTCATACTTAATGGTGAAAAACGAGATGGTTTCACCCTAAGATTGGAAAAAAGGCAAGAAATCCCTTATCACTGTTCTTATTCAGCATTGTACTGGAAATCCTAGCTAATACAGTAAGAGTAGAAATGGGAATAAAAGGCCTACAGCTGACGTCATACTTAATGGTGAAAAACGAGATGATTTCACCCTAAGATTGGAAAAAAGGCAAGAAATCCCTTATCACTGTTCTTATTCAGCATTGTACTGGAAATCCTAGCTAATACAGTAAGAGTAGAAATGGGAATAAAAGGCCTACAGCTGACGTCATACTTAATGGTGAAAAACGAGATGATTTCACCCTAAGATTGGAAAAAAGGCAAGAAATCCCTTATCACTGTTCTTATGCAGCATTGTACTGGAAATCCTAGCTAATACAGTAAGAGTAGAAATGGGAATAAAAGTCCTACAGATTGGGAAGGAAGGAATAAGACTATCTTTGTTCACAAGTGATATGATTGTCCATGCAGAAAATCCCAAAGAACCAACAATAACAAAAAAACTTCTGGATGTTAGAGGCGATTATAGCATGGTTGCAGGATGCAAAAATTAATCGCTATCCTATATGCCAGCAATGAACAGTTGGAATTTGAAATTGAAAACAACACTATTTACATTTAACCCCCCCACCCACCAAATTACACAGGTATAAATCTAACAAGATATGTACAAGGTCTAGGTAAGGAAAACGACAAAACTGTAACGAAATCAAAGACTTAAATTAATGGAGAGATGTTCCATGTTCATGGATGGGAAAACTCCATGTTTTTAAGATGTCAGTTCTTCCCACTTTGACCTGTCCTAATCAAATTCCCAGCAAGTTAATTTCTAGATATCACCAAACTGATTCTGCATTTATATGGAAAGGCAAAAGACCCAGAATAGCCTCGCAGTATTGAACCAAGTTGGAGAACTGACACTAGCCCACTTTAGGACTTACTGTAAAACTACGGTAATCAAGACAGTGTGGTGTTGCTGAAAGAATAGAGAAATAGCGGCTGGGCGTGGCGGCTCACACCTGTCATCCCAGCACTTTGGGAGGCCGAGGCGGGCGGATCACGAGGTCAGGAGATTGAGACCAACCTGGCCAACACGATGAAACCCCATCTCTACTAAAAATACAAAAAAAATTAGCCGGGCGTGGTGGTGGGCGCCTGTAGTCCCAATTACTCAGGAGGCTGAGGCAGGAGAATGGCGCGAACCCAGGAGGCAGAGCTTGCGGTGAGCCGAGATCGCGCCACTGCACTCCAGCCTGGGCAACAGAGCGAGACTCCGTCTCACAAAAAAAAAAGAAAAGAATAGACAAATAGATCAATGAAACATCATAGAGAGCCTGGGAGTAGATCCACCCAGTAAATCCACCCAGATAGTCAACCCATTCACCCAGATAGTCAACCCATCTTTGACAAAGGAGCAAAGGCAATTCAGGGCAGACAGAAAAGCACTATTTCTTTTCAACAAATAGTGCTAGAAAAACTGGACATGCAAAAAAAAAAAAAAAAAAAAACCCAGCAACAGTGACTCTAGACAGTGATCACACACCGTTCAAGAAAATTAGCTCAAAGTGAGTCATAGACCTAAATGTAAAATGTATAATAATGAAACTTGTAGAAATGTAGGAGAAAGTCTAGGTGACCTTGGGTTTGGCAACAAGTTTTTGGATAACACCAAAAACACTGTTCATGAAAGGAAAATTGATAAGTTGGACTTCGTGAAGATTAAAAACTTGAGCTTTGCAAAATACAGTTAAGAGAATTAAAATATGAGCCACTGACTGGGAGAATAGATTTGCAAAACACACATCTGATAAAAACCTGGTATCAAACAACACATGGAAAATAAGGGTGTTTGGATGGGTAGGGCGGGATGACCTAGGGAGGACATGGAAAGTTAGTTTCTTTTTTAAAACTCCAGAGACTCTCTTCTGGAGCTCCCCTTGCCTTTTTTATTACAGTCAACCTGAGATGGGAACTGAAAATATGGCCGTAGTTGTCATGAACTGGGGGGAGCCACTACTCTGTTTTTACCCTCATTAAGGAACTTTATTGTGAAAGGTAAAATCACTTTGTAAATGTGAATTAGAATAGAAAATGGAAATTCCTTATATACTCTCTAAGCCACTGGAAACTTGAGGCAGAGAAGTTTTAAAAGACGCACATGGATTTCCTCTGAAATATTTGTAAACACCAAATTCAGAACATGTTGGTTAGTTTAGGACCATACCAGGCTTTAGTTGTTACATTGAATTGTAAATAACTTATATTCATGAGCCTGGAATTAAAGAAATTCTTGGTATGAGAATTTGACAACTACTTCTGGCTTCCAGGAGCCAGAACCCACCTTCGAATGGGATTTTGAAATAAGCCCCGTTGAAGAGACACACAGATGGCAGAGGCCGCAGCACAGGCTGTGAGACCTTCTTCAGGTTTCGGTAGACTGTCTTCATTACGGCGTAAAAACATGTCAGATGAAATTTCAGAAACTATTTCCAAACTCAGTGAAGGTTCGTGACATCTGGGACGTTGTTGTTTTCAACACAGAAGTTGAATGAAACTGCTACAGAAGCAAAATGAGAAGTGTGGAGAGGAGATGCTGTGGTGGCTGGGCATTCTCCCTCCTTCCCCTCCCTCCCCTCCTTCTCTCATTCCCCTCCTTCCCTCCCTGACCTCCTTCCCCTCCTTCTCTCATTCCCCTCCTTCCCTCCTTCCTCTCCCTCCCCTCCCTGCCTTACTTCCCCTCCCTCCCCTCCTTCCTCTCCTTCCCCTCCTCCTCCTTCCTCTCCTTCCCCTCCTTTTCCTCCTTGCTTCCCTTCCTTCCCTCATTCCCCTCCTTCCCTCCTTCACCTCCCTCCCCCCATCCCCTCTCTGCCCTCCTTCCCCTCCTTTTCCTCCTTTCTTCCCTTCCTTCCCTCATTCCCCTCATTCCCCTCCTTCCCTCCTTCACCTCCCTCCCTGCCATCCCCTCTCTGCCCTCCTTCCCTCCTTTTCCTCCTTCCCTCCTTCACCTCCCTCCCCCCATCCCCTCTCTGCCCTCCTTCCCCTCCTTTTCCTCCTTCACCTCCCTCCCCCCATCCCCTCTCTGCCCTCCTTCCCTCCTTCACCTCCCTCCCTGCCATCCCCTCTCTGCCCTCCTTCCCCTCCTTCCCTCCTTCACCTCCCTCCCCCCATCCCCTCTCTGCCCTCCTTCCCTCCTTCACCTCCCTCCCCCCATCCCCTCTCTGCCCTCCTTCCCCTCCTTTTCCTCCTTCCCTCCTTCACCTCCCTCCCCCCATCCCCTCTCTGCCCTCGTTCCCCTCCTTCCCTCCTTCACCTCCCTCCCCCCATCCCCTCTCTGCCCTCCTTCCCCTCCTTTTCCTCCTTCCCTCCTTCACCTCCCTCCCCCCCATCCCCTCTCTGCCCTCCTTCCCCTCCTTTTCCTGTCCTTCCCCCTGAGGCCTCAAAGCCCCTGTGCCTGAGCTGTGGACAAGAAACACGCCTGCCTCAGAAGCTGCCTGGAGCTGGGTGAAGGCTTCCATTCAGCTCGCTGTCATGCTCTCACTCAGAGGAGAGATCATGCAGAAATTACTGAAGTAAAATGCTAATGTGTTGAGTTAATGATCACAGGTTTACGTTTTATAAAAGACATCTTAATAATCAAACTATTGTTGAGCTACCTTGCGTTTTATCTTGAATTCTCTGGAGTTAGGTAATTTACATACGTGTTTCAGAGTACACACTTTGTTTAAGCTGTCTTAGCTGTCAACAAACACTCTAAATTATGAATTATGAGTTTTATATCTAAAGCTAAACATTTTGTACTGTAAAATCCAGTGCTACTTACTATGCCCTAGAGTAACACTACAAGAGTAAAATCTGATCTCAATGATGGATGTTTGTTTTTCTTTTATGCAGTACACATTTTGGAACTTTATACCCAAGAATTTATTTGAACAATTCAGAAGAGTAGCCAACTTTTATTTCCTTATCATATTTCTGGTGCAGGTAAGGCCGGTCATTGTTTTCCATCTCATCACATATAAATCTAAATAAGTGACATTTTATTCTCAGGTAACTGCCACACGGCTAATGAAAGAGCAAGGACATGGTGCCCCTCACCTATGATTAATTTATTTATTTTCTTAAGGAAGGGCAAAATGTCTTGGTTCTGTGAGATCCACACAAGCTAAACTACACACGACGCTACTTTGGGTTTAAGTTGGTGACAGCCTTTCCTGCCCCTTTCCTTCTAGTACCAGAGGGGAAATCAGAGCTTTGTCATCATTTGGACAAGTTCACTGCCAAGCTATGCATCGTTACACTTAATTTACTCTTCCTAAGTGTGTGTGGATGCTCTAAAGAAAATCCAGGCCGGGCACAGTGGCTCGCCTGTAATCCCAGCACTCTGGGAGGATCACGAGGTCCAGAGATAGGGACCATCCTGGCCAGCATGGCTAAACCCTGTCTCTACTAAAAATACAAAAATTAGCTGGGTGTGGTGGTGCACACCTGTAGTCCCAGCTACGCGGGAGGCTGAGGCAGGAGAATCACTTGATCCCAGGAGTGGGAGGTTGCAGTGAGCTGAGATCGTGCCACTACACTCCAGCCTGGCGACAGAGCGAGACTGTCTCAAAAAAAAAAAAAAAAAGAGAAAGAAAAAGAAAGAAAGAAAATCCAAAGACAGTACACATGAAAAGAGAGTTTAAAGGAAAGAAAAAAAAGAGTGAAAAAATATCTCGGGGTATGAGTTAGGGAGCAATGTGCCAAATGTGTTTTAAGAACAGCACTCTAATTTTTCTAAATCATACAAAATGCTACTGAAGGACTTTAAAAATTTTTCCAACATTAAATTATTCAAATCATGTAATTAAAATGTGACACTGAGGCCGTGGGGTGAATTAATACAAGGCGTGCCCCGACTTCAGACTGGGTCTGCCACTCTCGGTGGTTTCCTTGAGCATGTTCCTTAATTTAAAAAAGGTGCCCTCATTTTAACAGTCAGTGAAATAGGACGATTGACTTGCTATCTCCCGTGGTGGGCAGTCAGGTGCCAGCAAAGGTCTTTAAATAAGTCAAAGCGAATGGGAAGTGCTGGCTCAGGGCAAACTAACCTGCCTGAAGTCACTCATTTGTGTTTTTGAAGATGATTTTACAATTCTCTCTTTCTGCAGTTGATTATTGATACACCCACAAGTCCAGTGACAAGCGGACTTCCACTCTTCTTTGTCATTACTGTGACGGCTATCAAACAGGTAAGCATTTTACAGACGAAAAAGAAGCAATCGTCATCTTCACCATGTGAATTGCCTTTCATTCAAAGCGAGGTGATTGGTTTGTTGTAGCTAGTTCACAGAAAATTCAACCAAGTTCTAGAAATTCATTTTTATAACTGCGTTAGATTGATACTTGAAGCGAAATAAGAGATGTTATATAATTTAGTTGCTAGTCTGGCACCATGCGAGTTCGAGAAGAAATCTGTGGTTTTCACATCCCAAATCACCCAGAGATGATCTGATCAGATGAGTCACTTAACCTTTCTGTATCCTTGACTGTCTTGACCACCACAGAACATGCTGTTTATGGACTCCAGCAAATGGGATGCTGTTTTTTGTTTGTTTGTTTTTGGTTTTGCTTTTTTTTTTCATAGCCCCAGTAAATAAGGCCAGTGACTAACATGGAGAAGAATACATCTCAGTTTTACTCTCTACGTATCCATTTTATCACCCCCAGATTCCCTGTACACGTGTTCAGTCCCTCCCCATTTTCTCCTCCCCGTCCCTGGCAAAGACTCATGTTTCTGTCACCGTAGAGTCGCCTATTCTAAACATTTCGTACTCACGGCTCATAGGCGGTGTTTTGTGACTGGCTCTTTCACTCAGCATGATGTTTTCAAGGTTTCTCTGCATCTGAGCAGGCGTCAGCGCTTCATTCCGTCTGATGAATGAGTCACGGTCCCCTGCACATACCTGGCATTTTGTGTATCACGCGTCCTCTGTGGATGGACATTTGGGGTGTTTCCACTCTTTGGCTGTTCTGAATAATGCTGCTGAGAACATTTGTGTTTCACACCCACCAGATTGGCTTTCAGATGTGAAAGGCTGGAGAGGGCATGGCGAGGGAGGCACCACGGGCCGCCGGCAGGAGCGTGGCGGAGCCACCAAGCACAGCAGTTGGCAACATCTGACACAGGCAGAGATGGGGACACACAGGGTCCAGTGCAGATGATAAACATGCAGCTGTGCAGTCAGTACATGGGGCCTGTGTGTCTTCACTAGGCCAGAGCCGGCCGTGCCTACCGGGATACGTGAACTAGGATATTCATGGTGGCTGTCATTGATTAGCAAAGGACTCGGGCAACCTGGTGTCCCTCCGTAAGGAAATGGACAGCTCCGCCGCGGTGCATGGCAGAACACAGCACAGTAACGAAACGAACTGTGCTGCCTGGAGAACAGAACATGAGGGAGACTCACGCTTCCCAAGGACGCGCTGCCTGTGACTCAGGCAGTTTAACTCCTACCTGGGATAAGGCCTCACTTCATGTCGGTGGCAGGCTCTTGCAAACTTCAACTTTAAGCAAAACGATGGGTTTTCTCATCAACTTCACAAGGAAATGGTGCTGAAGGAAACGATGTTACTCGGGGACCTGCCATGTGTCCTCGGGCCCAAAGTCACAGTTTCCAGGAACCCATCGTGGAGATTAGGTGAGGGCGTCCCGTGCTATCTGTGATACATCTGTGTGGTAGGAGCAGAGGCTGCAGACAGGAAGGAGACCCCTGAGCCTCTCAAGGGGAGCAGAGAGAAGGGGCGCGGGGGTGCAGAACAAGGGGCTGAGGCTCTATGGCTCTGTTCTTTCCAGCCTGGCCCCAGGAGGCAGGCGTAGCACTGTTCTTCAGCGTCCTCTTCTCTGCATTTGTTAAGGATTCCATCCCTCCCGGGACTCTACTGAGCAGGAAACTCCTGAGATCTCCAGGAGTGTCCTGGAGGAGAGGAGAGGAGAGCGTGGAGTAGGGAGGGCGGCTCTGAAGACGCATCTGGGCCAGAGAGGCAGCGGCCGGGGAGCCCGAGCCCCCATGGATGCAGAGGCTGCCTCTCTACACTGTGCAGACCACGGCCCCAGACAACATGTGGTGTCCTCGGCCCGGCTGTGCCCCATCCCTGGCTGTGTCCCCTCCCATCGGCCTGGCTATGTCCCCTCCCTGGCTGTGTCCCCTCCCATCCCAGGGCAGTGGGCGGGCGTTTTGGGGATGTTAAGAGGGGGTCAGGGCAAGGCGGCAAATGAACAGAGCTGCAGTTCTGGGCCCCATCACCAGCACCCCTGCCTCTGCCCAGAGGGGTCTCTTCCTCTCCCGCGCGTCCTGCTACCCAGCTTTCACTCTGGGGATGGCCTTGCTTCCCCTACTGCTGGTCTGGACCTGTGTGTGCCAGAGCCCCCCCACCCCCTCGACCTTCCCCCACTACTGACCTCCTTGTCCCTCTTCCTTGGGAACAGCGCCTCTGTCCGCAGCTGGGACTTTCCCAAATGGCCTCCCCACACTGTGGCTCCAGCAGGGCTGTTTGTGCTGGGGTCCCCATGCTCCCGGCCCCTCCTCGCTTGCCTTGGAAAGCCCCCTGCACTCACAGAGGCCTCCCTGATTTTCTCTTAGGTCCCCGCCTCTCTTTTCACACCATCTCCCCGCTGTCTCCGCTGGGCACTGACGGGCATCTCACTGTACCTGGCTCTGCCGCCGCCATCGCCCAGGTCCTGCCAGAGCGGCCTTTCCCTGTGGCACCCAGCCTCCCCTGCTATGTGCAGGGCCCCTCCGATCAGCCCATCACATGCATGGGCCTCCACGTGTCCTTCCCGTCCCAGCCAGGCTGGCTGGTGGGCAGTGCCAGCCCCTGGGGACTCCCTCACCGCTGGGCATTCCTGGGCACCTCCTCTTTGGCGTCTTCCCGCAGCCCGGGCGCTAGGCTTTTCGGGGATCCTGGGTGTCTCTCACCTGCATTGAACTTGCAGTTATTTCTGTTTCTTCTCCACCAATCCTGAGAGCAGCAGCTCTGGGGACAAGGTCTTTCGTCTGTGGGCCCCTGGTGCCTGGCACTTGCTGAGCATGCAGTTGGTGCTAAATAAGTGTGTTTAATGAACCCAGGAATCATCTACCCACTGCCACCTTCCAGGAAGACTGTTCTTCAGTTTCCCCAGAAAGAGAGTATTTCAGCGATTTGGGAGGAATCTCTGAAAAGCAATCAGATGCCACAGTGTCACTTATTAATGGTCACAGCTGGAGAAAGCTCGCACGTTTGGATATCCATGCGTCCCAGGCTTCTTAATTCTCCAGAAGCTGGAGGTTTTGGGTTACTTGTTTATGCTCCCTTCGGAGGAGACTCCAGTCACAGGGCCACTGATGCCGCCACGTGGCCCACAGGGAGGAGGTCCCCAGTGAGCCTCCTGCCCCACAGGCTCTTGCAACCTACCTGCAGCGGGCCCGTGGCACAGGCTTCCTGCCGCCATCCTGTGTGGTTGTGTGTCTCAGCACACATGCAGTGGGCCCGTGGCACAGGCTTCCTGCTGCCATCCTGCGTGGTTGTGTGTTGTGTGTGGCAGAGCTGTGTTTCCAATTTCGACACTCATTAGATGCGGTGGACGTGGACGCCCATAGGCCCCTGGTGTGCAGTCTCTCACATGCTGGGGATTGTTACTGAGAACGGCATTCCCCATCCTTATCTAAGGCACCTGCACCCAGCAACGCCAAACACAAAGGCACGTTTGTCATCCCAGGAATCATCTGTGTGCAGCATCTCCTATTGTCGCTTCTTTCAAGATGCCACCTGACTGTCCAACCAGAGGGTGTGCCTTCGTAGTTGGAATCGGAGTGCACGTGTCTGCGCCAGTGGAAGGCATCCAGGTCCGTCAGCGCGGCCGGGGTCAGGGTTAGCTCAGGCTGCTTTTCCAGCCCCCTGCCTGTGCGTGCACGGGAGTCACGATGGGATGTTTCCCGCGTGGGTTACTCAGATGCGGAAACGCACAGAGAGCCTTAAGGCTGCTGCGGGTGTCACAGAGTGAGCCGGCGTTTCACCGAGAGTCTGGGCTGCCAGATCTCATAACAATCAGTTTTTAATGAAAGAGAAGAATGGCCAGTGGGGGCTTTTCCAAGTGGAAGGTTGACACTCAGCGGGTGGAAATGTAACTGGCTCCACGTCTTCGGGGCTTTTCGGTGTGGATGTGAAGAGCCTGGAAGGCTTGCTCATCATTTCATTCAGACACTTCTTTTTTAGGAATTTATCCTAAGTCCATGTCATGAATAGGCACAAAAAGTACAGTTGTATAGTACTTATACACACTTCGATGAGCATCTTTCTCCAACGTCTTCGAAGTTCTACAACTGCAGACATTTAAAGCAGCTCGCGTTGCCATGGAACATGCCGATGCTCTGTCAAGGATAGTGTGTGTAGTGCATCCTCATGCTGAAAAATACACCCCCACAGGCTTGGATTATGCTTAGACATAATTAAACACAAGCCTTCTGTCTCTCCCTCCCTTTCTCCTCCTTCCCTCTCTCCCTGCTTCCTCTCTCCCTTCTTTCCTTCCTTTTTTTAGGGTTATGAAGACTGGCTTCGACATAAAGCAGACAATGCCATGAACCAGTGTCCTGTTCATTTCATTCAGCACGGCAAGCTCGTTCGGAAACAAAGTCGAAAGCTGCGAGTAAGTGACACCCGACACATTTACGCTGGTGAAGTCCAGTAACTGTTTAAAAAATAAGTTTTACCCAGGTGCAGTGGCTCGCGCCTCCAGTCCCAGCTACTCAGGAGGCTGAGGCAGGAGGATCGCTGAGCCTGGAAGTCGGAGGCCACTCAGGAGGCTTCACCGTGCCTGTGAATAGCCACTGCTCTCCAGCCTGGGCAACCGAGAAAGACCCTGTCTCTTAAACATTTTTAAAATACAAATAATAAATGTTTTTAAGTTTTTATTTTCTTTGGCAAAACAGACTGAGATGTTTTTTATTGGGTGTAGGCCCAAGCTCCCTACTTCTTTTTTTTTTTTTTACCTTTAATTTTTATTTGTTTATGTTTAATAGACTTTTTAGAGCAGTTTTAGGTTCACAGCAGCATTAGGTGGATGTACCCACTGCCCCTTCCAACACACACACACACACACACACACACACACACACACACACACACAGCCTCCCTCTGCCAGCATCCCACACCAGGATTGGTGGAATATAAAATCATTATCACTGCCCCCATCCCCACACACACCCTCCCTCTGCCGGCATCCCATGCCAGGATTGGTGGAATTTAAAATTATTATCACCACCCCCATCCCCACACACAGCCTCCCCATCACCAGCATCCCACGCCAGGATTGGTGGAATTTCATCCCACACCAGGATTGGTGGAATTTAAAATTATGGGAACACACGAACCAATCAAGACAGAGAAAGATTGGAAACACTGTTTCTAAAATTTGTTTTAGAATAAAGTATAATAAAATCATATCAATATAAACTCGACTAGGTGGAAATTTATGAAAATTGGAACAGAAAACTTCATTGAAGATTGCATTTTTTTAAAAAAAATGTATTTATTTATTTTTTAAGAGACAGAGTCTTGCTCTGTCACCCAGGCTGGAGTGCAATAGCATAACCTCAGCTCACTGCAACCTCCGCCCCCGGGTTCAAGTGATTCTCCTGTCTCAGCCTCCCCAGTAGCTGGGATTACAGGCGCCTGCCACCACACCCAGCTAATTTTTGCATTTTTAGTAGAGATGGGGTCTTAACAAAATGTTGGCCAGACTGGTCTCGATCTCCTGACCTTGTGATCCGCCTGCCTTGGCCTCCCAAAGTGCTGGAATTACAGGCATAAGCCACCGCATCCGGCCAAAAAATTGTTTTTTATTGATGTATAATAGTTGTACGTAGTTGGGGGTCCATGTGATATTTTGATGCCTGCACACCAATGTGTGATGATGAAGTCGGGGTAACTGGGATGTCTGTCACCTCAAACATTGATTCTTTGTGTTGGGAATATTACAGTTCTTCTTGAAGGCTGCATTTTAAATCTGTTTCAAATGAATTATCTGTGTAACTAATATCTCAATATGTTTCAAAATATGTGATTAAATTATTTAAATGAGATAGTTTCAAGCTTATACTAGTCATTTGGAAGCACCTTTATAGGTAGAAACCATGAGTGTGGTTTTTCACGTTTGTGTCAAGGTAGCGGTCAGCAGCCTGCTCCAGTCCCCCATCTGATGTGGATCTAGGTGCCAGGCCCACACCGGCCCCTTCCTGCCCCCACTGGTCCTCGTGCACCCTGCCTGGCTCTTTCCAACTCCCACGCCTCCCTCCCTCGTGCAGCCCCACTGCCTCCCTGGCTGTTTTCCCAGCTGAGCCGTAGGAGGTTTGGTGAGGGAGGCAGGGAGCACCCCAGTCCTGTGCATGTGGAGAGCCAGGTGCGTTCCAGAAGCCTGGAGGGAGGGCCTCCAAGCAGCCCAGCCAGCCTGGGCTCAGTGAACCTCTCCGGACAAGGCCGCAGCCCTTCCCTGTCCAGTGGGACGGGACCCCAGGAGGCACTCAGAGGCCCTTCAGAGGAGCCAGCATCAACCACTAACCCCCCACCGCTCACCTTGCTCTCACTGTTCTGTGTATCACACACGTCACCAAATGTACTTTTAAGCATTTAAACATTTTCACTTATAAACGTGCTATCCAGGTGTTTAAATGCTTCTGAGACAGCTTTTCCCTTCAGTGAGTTCAGATGAGTGATGTTTCCCTAGAGGTCGGGGGTTCAGAGAGCAGATGGCCCTGGCCTGGGGAACAGCCGCGAGCTCCATGCCTGTGTCAGCAGGCATCCGGTCCCAGGCCTTCAACGCCATTTCCTTTAATGATTATATTTCCCTTGCAAAGCCTTCATACTTGTAGCTAAACATCTTTCTTAAAAAATAGACCTAAACAGTGTCTGCCCACAGAAAATTGAATTTTTAATGTATCGGTCTTCTGTGGGAAATGCCAGCTCTGTATCCTGTGTGTCGTAACCAAGAGGATGCTAAACAGGCTACTCAGGACGAGAAAGAAAAGATCAGGCTTTTCCTACAACGGCAGACATCCAGCTTCCATCGGTCGTAATGGCTCAGGCCTTTGAGAGTGCTAGAGCGTCCTAGAAAAGCAGTCCTTTAATTAGTTTTTCTTTTTTAATTAAACTTTTTATTTCGAGGTAATTACGGGATCACATGTGGTAGTAAGAAATAAAACACAGGCATCCTGTGTTCCATTTGCTCGGATGTGCTGCCCAGCTCTAAGATTTTGTCATCTCAAGGATATGATATAAAGAGAATCCTGCAGCCTGTGACCTTTTGGGGTTGGCTGTTTTCAGGCAGTCTAATTCCCTCGGGATTCACGAAGTCTGTGCACCAGCCATTCCTTCCCTTGTATTGCTAAGGAGCGTTCCATGATGGGGGCGTACTGCAGTTTCACCATTCACAAGTTGAAGGGCTTTTCGATTTTTCTAGTTTGGGGCTGTTATCAAGAGAGCTGCTATGAATATTTGTGTGCAAGTTTTCTTGTGAATTTAGTTTTCATTTCTTTTGCATAAAAGCTCAAGAGTTGGATTGCTGGGTCATCTAGCATATCCACGTTTGGTTTTGAAAGGAACTGCCAAATGGTTTTCCAGCATGGCCATCCCATTTCATTCCCACGCACGACGTTGCCAGCATCTTCACCAGCACTGGGTGTTACTGCTGTTCCTGATGTCTCGGTGCAGCTTAAATATGTCCCTGACGGCTCTGTGGGACATCTTTTCACGCTCGTTTGACATCTGCATATCCTTGTCAGTAAAAATAACTCTTCATGTCTTTTATCCATTTTTCTAGCTGGATTCTTTGAGCTTCTTTTTACTGTTAAATGTTGAGAGGTCATATAATCTAGATAGTAATACTTTGTCAGATATATGATTTTTAATACTCAGCAGGATATTTCACAAAGCAAACGTTTTTAATTTTGTTCAAGTCCAATTTCTTGATTTTTTTTTTCTTTTTTTTAAAATTATTATTTCTTTTGAGACAGAGTCTTGCTCTTGTTGCCCAGGCTGGAATGCAGTGGCGCAATCTCGGCTCACTGCCACCTCCACCTCCCAGGTTCAAGCTATTCTCCTGCCTCAGCCTCCCAAGTAGCTGGGATTACAGGCGTGCACCACCATGCCTGTCTAATTTTTTAGTGTTAGTAGAGATGGGGTTTCACCATTTTGCCCAGGCTAGTTTTGAACTGCTGGCGTCAAGTGATCTGCCTGCCTCGGCCTCCCAAAGTGCTGGGATTACAGGGGTGAGCCACCACGCCTGGCTGATTTTTTTTTTTTCTTTTGAGGACTGTACGTTCAGTGTCCTGAATGAAGCATTCTTTGCCTGGTCCTAGACCCAAAGACTTTCTCCCATGTTTCTTTCTAAAAGTGTTATAGTTTCATGTTTTACATTTAAGTTCATGATCCATTTTGAGATGATTTTTGTATAAGGTGTGAGGTTTCAGTCAGGTTTGTTTCTGTCCTTATTATTTTGCCCGTGGCTGTCTTGTCGCCCCTGCACCAGGGGATGGCTGGCTGTCCCTTTTCCACGGAGTGGCGCTTGTACTCTGTCCCAGTCAGTTAAACACATTTGCATGGGTCTGTTTCTGGTTCCCTGGTCTGTCCCATTGGTCTCCATGCCCATGCCCACCAATCCCACACTGTTGGTCACTGTAGCTGTCTCAGAAGGCTGGACATTGGGGATACGTATTCCTTCCCCCTCAATCTTCTTTTTCAAGGTTGTTTTAGCTATTCTAGAGCCTGTGCCTTCCCATATAAGTTTTAGAATTAGCTCATTTATATCTATAAAAATCCTTGCTGGGATTTTGATAGGGATTTTACTAAACCCAAAGGTCCATTTGGGAAGAGTAACCCTCTGATTTTAAAGTCTCACAAATTCGCAGTGTGCTGTGACCATCGTGTAGTGGGACAGAGACCTCTGTTTGCAGTGTAGACAGAAGCAGGTGACGCCCTGATCCTGGCATGCCTCCCGAGTGGCAGTGAGACTGGCTGGAGCCCTGCAGTGACTCACTCAAGGGTTCTGATGATCGTTTCCCCTTCAGACATGCAGCCCAGATCTGCAATGGCTTCCTCACCCTTCAGACACACAGTCCAGATCTGCGATGGCTTCCTCACCCTTCAGACACACAGTCCAGGCCACTGAGATGCCTTCCTCACCCTTCAGACACACAGTCCAGATCTGCGATACCTTCCACACCCTTCAGACACACAGTCCAGATCTGCGATACCTTCCACACCCTTCAGACACACAGTCCAGGCCACCGAGATGCCTTCCTCACCCTTCAGACACACAGTCCAGATCTGCTATGCCTTCCTCACCCGGCAGACACACAGTCCAGATCTGCAATGCCTTCCTCATCCTTCAGACACACAGTCCAGACCTGTGATGCCTTCCTCACCCTTCAGACACACAGCCCAGGCCACTGAGATGCCTTCCTCACTGATGAAATAAAATGGATACAGACACAAACTAGACCATGACCTTTAATTAAAAACCCACATGATCAACTTTCTGTGATTGATTTTTACTTTAGTTTTTGAAACATTGTTGCCACTTTTGCTTTATTTGTCCTCATGCTTTGATGATCTGGGCAGCGCCTTGGTTCTGTTGATCAGGAAGCTCTCAGAACTCGATTACCTGGTTCATAAAACGCCTAGATTTAGATCAAAGCTTCTCACAGGAGTACTTCCCACTTGGCCACGCTCACAGAACACTCCAACTCGTCGTCTTGGTCTGAATCAAAGATAACCTTGTTACAGGTGTTTGTCTGTGTTTTTGCTGCGGAAGTTAGAACATTGAAACCTGACCTGGTCTTTCCTTGGTCCCAGCAGAATGTCTGGCAAGAGTCTTTTCCTGAAACCGTGTCCACATCCCCGTGTCTTCCTGTGAATAGATGAGCAGCTTGAGGGAAGCGGTCCCACAGGACGGGCAAGCTTTCACGGAGGGGCTTTCCATTGACCATCCTTTCTGCTTTGTCCTGTAGGTTGGGGACATTGTCATGGTTAAGGAGGACGAGACCTTTCCCTGCGACTTGATCTTCCTTTCCAGCAACCGGGGAGATGGGACGTGCCACGTCACCACCGCCAGCTTGGATGGAGAATCCAGCCATAAAGTAAGGGGCCTTTTCATTAGACTCCAGGGCAGGATCTTCCTGTCCTGCTTCGGACTGTGCCCATGCGGCCACAGAAACTAACATCCTGTTTGAAAAGTCACCGTTTTCATGTAACCCAGGGAGTTACACCAGCCATGTTTTTCCTCACTTTTCCTTCCTCCTATTTTCCACTTTCTTCTTTTTCCTTTTTAAAAATAAATTGTATTGTGTATATTTGAGGCATATATTATGATGTTATAAGATACATATTTTTATAGTGAAATTGTTATTAGAGTGCAACAAATTAACACACCCACATCTCACTGATTTCCCATTCTCTCCCCTGGCACCCATGCAGGAGCAGCCATAACCTACTCGATGCGGCAAAACCCTGAGCCCAGCACGCTCTTGTCCACTCAGTGCGGCAAAAACTCTGAGCCCAGCACGCTCTTGTCCGCTCTAGTCCTCGTGTTGTACGTTGGGTTTTTGGACAGTTCATCCTAAATAATGCTACCTTGTGTTTTTTGACCTACACCTCCCCATTTCCTTTTCACTTTTTCTTTCCAGTCTCAATGTCTGTAACAACCAATTACCTCAGGTTAACAAAAATAACTTCAGTGTTAACCTGTGTCAATTAGCTAATGTACCAAATTCAGGATTTAATGAATAGATTGTTGGAATTTTAAGAATTTTCATTTTATTAGTTAAAATTAGTGTGAAAACTGGCCTAGAATTATGTGAAAAGTCACACACGATTCTAGATTTTGCCTGTTACTTCAATGAGTGTCTTTTTGTGAATGTATCTTAGTCAGGATTTTCTGAAATTACTACATAAGTAATTTCCTGCACTCAGTATAAAATTCTGCACAGGCAGTTGATGCTACAAGAATTTTAATTGTCAATCATACAAGAAAAGATATAGCACCATTAATTTTAAGATTCTTCTTATTTAAAAAATCTTGAAGTTTCTAAGGAGTTTATGAAAGTGAGCATAGCTCAGTGGATTCAACTAAGTCATCAGCTCACAAAATTGCAACTCTAAAATGGTATTTAGGTAATACGTATGGATATAGGCCATTTCTACTATGAGATAGAGACATTTTCTTTACAAAATCACTGAAGGATATGCTAGTCTTTCATAGATAATTCATGATATGTATCATGAATTGATAGATGAAAAACCTATGGATCTTTTTCAGTTAAATTAGCTTTCACATTTTCTGTGTAGCATATCCCAGGAGAATGAACACGCTAACCTAAAAGATTGTCAGCAGTTTCTAGGGGGTCGGAATCCCTGGATGATTCAGGTATTCGCTGTAAGCGGGTGTTGGTCCCTCTGGAACCTGGGAGGAGGTTAAGGTTCCATCCACCCAGAGACCCTGTGAGCCCTTCACACTCTCTGCAGCCAGTCGCTGCCTTTACACCCCTTCCCTGCAGACTGTGGCTGGTCAGGCTCAGATGAGTCCCAGCCATGCTAGTGAACAGATGCTGTGGGTCTCCAGATACACCATGTTTGTCCAGATGAAATGTTGTAGCAGTTGTGGAAGATGTTAAAACAGCTATTGCACTTTGACCTTTTGTGGCTTTGCAGTTTGCATTATAGTTTTGTGTTCTCTAATGTCCTTTTTGTGCATTTTGTTTAGCTTGAGGGACTGGAATTATTTGAGCCCTTTCCTTAAAAGCAGAGTAGGGGCGTGGGAAGGGTCCACCCGACCTCTGTTTGGATCCCGTGGGGCTCACGTGACTGCACAGGCCTGTTCACTTCTCTGGACTCTTCACATTTGTGAAATGGGGACAACCCTATCTCTCAGGGGCTCTTGTGAGGATAAGATTAGAAAATTCCTACTGAATTTAGAAAATAAGCGCCCCCTGATTTGTGTGCTTGGTGACGGGGCAGTGACTGTTGGTGTGCTTGGTGACGGAACAGTGACCGTTTGTGCGCTTGGTGACACGGCGGTGACCGTGTGTGCGCTTGGTGACAGGGCGGTGACCGTCGGTGCGCTTGGTGACGGGCAGTGACTGTTGGTGCGCTTGGTGACGGGGCGGTGACCGTTGGTGCGCTTGGTGACGGGGCGATGACCGTTGGTGCGCTTGGTGACAGGCGATGACCGTTGGTGCGCTTGGTGACGGGGCGGTGACCGTTGGTGCGCTTGGTGACGGAACGGTGATCATTTGTGTGCTTGGTGACGGAGCAGTGACCGTGTCCCCCTGATTTGTGCACTTGGTGATGATGCAGTGATTGTTTCTCCCATTTGTTCTGACTCCTGTGTTTTATTTGTCCAATACTCTTCCACTAGAAAGAAACACAGGAAGGGATTCAGAGATGCTGTTGCCTCTTCGCAGATCCCTGGGCACAAGTTTCTCCTCTCTCCTCCCAAGGCAGGGCCGGTGCAGCCCTCATGCCCACCTCAGGTGGGCCTTCAGCCGACCTGCTGGTGCTCACAGATGCTACTGAGGTCACCAGGCCTCAAAATGTGTTCTGAGAGCAGCAGCATCGGCATCACTGGGCACCATATTAGAAGTGCAGTTCTCAGGCCCTCCCTAGACCCACTGCATCAGAAACTCTAGGGCTGAGCCCAGGAATCAGGTGCTTCAGAAGCTCTGGGTAAAACTCACGTTGAGACAGGCTTGAGGAGCCCCCCGGCCCAGGCCATGTGAACAGTTAAGTAGAAGGCCTGTGCCACCCAACAGCAACGGGCACAGGCAGGTTGTTGCCGAGAAGTGAAAATGAAGTGAAGTGATCCTGTGACCGCTCCCCGTAAACAACAGGGCGTTCTGTAAAAGGAAAGGGATATTTCAGGTCCTGGATTTGTTTCCTAATTAATAGCTACTACTATGACAGATAAATCAGTGTCTACCCTTGAAGAATTCGAGCATTGCTATCTGTCCTGTTAGTTTTAAGTGGAGGACACTGGGTAAGAATGGAAGGATGAGAATTTTCTGGCACCTGATAGGTGCAGGAATAACAGTAGTACCTTATCTTTCTGTAACTATTAAACATTTACAAACTCATAGGGTCAGCCAGGCTTTGTAATCACTTGGTTGGAGGCACCAGCGTCTGGGTTTGTGTTGACCGTTTTGGCGGTGAGCTCACATGTCTTGTGCATTTGTAGACGCATTACGCGGTCCAGGACACCAAAGGCTTCCACACAGAGGAGGATATCGGCGGACTTCACGCCACCATCGAGTGTGAGCAGCCCCAGCCCGACCTCTACAAGTAAGCGGGAGCTTTGGGTTCTTTAGAAACGGTTTTTTATGCCCTCAACATTGCTCTTGCTTTTTCACCCCAAGTAGTCCAGCCATGTGGTGGTTTGGAAAGAGAATGTAAATCACTGCTTAAAGATTAAGACTGAGTCAAAAATACATTACTTATTTATTCTCATAGACTTGTACCACTCAGATTTGTAGCTTTTTATACAAATATTTGAAGTGGCTTCGTGGAACCATATTTGTGGGAAAAAAAAAGAATAAGTTTTCTTTATTTTACGGAAGACGTTTGTAAACTGTGGGTTAAGGAAAATCACCGAAGCCATGAGCTGATCAGAACAGAAAGTACGACAAGGGAAGGGGCTGGAGCGGGGCTGCTTTAGCCGCACACGGAGCGGGCCAGGTGAAGACGTGTGGCTCACAGAAGGCAGGTGGGCCAGGCGCGCGCTTCCCGGGGGCCGCTGGGCGCGTCCGGTCAGTAACGTGGCTTTTCTGTCGCCAGGTTCGTGGGTCGCATCAACGTTTACAGTGACCTGAATGACCCCGTGGTGAGGTGAGTGCCTCTGCGGATGCCTTGGCCACGGTCACCTCCCTTGTTGCGTTAGAAATGCATTCTTTGACGGACAAGGGTTTCCACGGCGGCTGCTCTGGTAGATTTGGAAGGTGGAGTTCCGCTTTCCCACAGGGCCGGGCTCCACTCTCGTCTCTGGTTTGTCTCAGGCACACATCTGTGAATGTTGACAAGTTAGTGATGCTCGTGAAACAAGTTTTCGCGCAAGACTCTGCCGAGAGGGTCGTCTCACAGGCCAGGAGGCGTCAGGGTCCCGTGGAGCAGTTTCAAAGTGAAGGGCGGAGTACAGCTTCCCTGGGAGAAATGCCCTTTCATGATTCGGGTACTGATTTGTCTTCAGATATGAAATTGAAAGACTTCTAATTTGGAGGCCGTTTTTGGGAATCTGTTCATCCACTCACCATCATTCTGGGGTGCATTACTGGCTCAAGGCCTATCTGAGGCTCACACCTACCTGAGAAGGTGGAATCGGTAGCCGGGGCAAGGCCGGGCAGCTCACGGTTGGCTGCTGTGCCTTCCCATTCACCAGCATGGACCCAGCGGCAGTCACATCGCATACCCATGAGGAAACAGCGACCCTCAGACACCTCATCTATGGCCCCGAGGCAGCCTCGGCTGAGAGCCAGCCTGTGCTGAGCCCAGCTCTGAGCAGCACCCACCTCCCAGGCCTAGGGATATTTTCTCTGACATTATTTCAAGATCTAGCATTTGTTGCTGACGAGATATTTGAATGTCACAGTTTAGGGAATTGGCTTTCACTGGATTTTAAAGTTGCATCTTCTTCATAAACTCCACTTGTTAGGGAAATGATTTTTCTTCCATTGTAAGCACTCTCCAAGTTGTTGATGTCTGGGTAGGTACAGCATTGTGTGTTAAACAACACATCTCCCAGACACAGAAACACACTCACTGGGAAACTACTGCAAAGTGAATAGTTCCTGAAATGCTTAGCTCCTTGTAAGTCTCCAGGAGCTACTGTTTTAAGAAAACCATTTGTGCACTTCTTAGCATGTGCTTGTTATCATTACCCATCAGCAGGCTAGGAGGTGCTTTCGAGAACTGATAGTGACCTTGCCTTGGTTTGCCTACGTATATACTGTTCTAAAGGTAAATTCCTCCTTACTTTGGAGAAATCTCTTGTATTTCTGTGTGCCGTGAGAATTAATTTGTGTTTGAACAGACTTAGGCTTATTCATATTACCTATGGGATGAATCCAAAATAGTAAACATTGCAGGCTTTTCATCTTTATAGTTAGACCAAGTTTATTGCTGAACAACTTGGGACGATAATTGCTAATGTATTTTGCATTTTGATACTAACTCTGGTTTCACTTTTATTTTATATATTTTATTTTATTTTATTGGAGACAGAGTCTCGCTCTGTCACCAGTCTGGAGTGCAGTGGCACTATCTCAGCTCACTGCAGCCTCCACCTCCCGGGTTCAAGCAATTCTCCTGCCTCAGCTTCCTGAGTAGCTAGGATTACAGGCGTGTGCCACCATGCCCAGCTAATTTTTGTATTTATAGTAGAGATGGGGTTTTGCCATGTCGGTCAAGCTAGTCTCAAAACGCCCTCAGGTGATTCACCCACCTCGGCCTCCTAGAGTATTGGGATTATAGGCATGAGCCACCGCGCCTGGCCTAGTTTCACTTTTAAATATTTATGGTATTCCATAGACTTTTAATATTTAGATTATTGAAGATGTTTGTAAATTTGTGATGTGGACAGTTAAGAATTACGCACCCAAATTCTCAATCCATTCAGAGTGACGTTTCTTCTTCCTTCTGTCCTAACTAGAAGCAAAGTACTTTTCCAAGTAAATTATTTTTAGACTTCCCTGAGTCACTTTTTAAAAACGCTGTTTGTTTTCGTAAACACATGGCAGGAATTATTATAAGTGTGTTGCAAACAGAAGCTGACAGTCCTTATAACACAGCCAGACAACCCATATGCAGCCTGGGAGCTCCATCTTTAGTGATTGCCGGGGAGGACGCGCGTGGAGCCCTCAGCCGCAGCCTGGGGTAGACAGCCCCACTCTGCCTGTCTTCAGCCGGATGCAGTTCTGAGGTCTATCGACCAAATATACTGCATGCATTTTACATTCATAATATTCAGTAGGTTCTTAATTTTCCATGATAGAAGGACAGTAAATACAATGATAAATGAAAAGCAAACTTCAGCAAACACTTTTGACCCTTTACCCTCTGAAGCAATCCTCTGAATGTTATCAATAGCAAAATTTATACATTTGAATCTTGCTGCTTATTTCTCCCTTACTACTTAGGAAATGAGAAGAGATTATTTTTCCATCAGCAGGGAACCCTGTTATATCAAGAATATAAGCCCCTGATGGCAGAGACCCTGCCTGCTGCTTATGTGGCTTCAGTGCACAGAACGGGGCTTGTTCTTCCATGTGTGAGATTTTTAAGTTCTTTGGCTGTTGCTTGTTTTCCCCCCAAAGCAGCCATGCATGGATTGTCCCAGATTTACATGTCCCCCCCATTCAGAGGAGCTTTGCAGTGTGGCTACCAGTGTTTCTAATGGCCAGATAGAGTATCAGCCTTTGTCTCCAGGAATAAGACTGTGTTTCATGGGACTCCCTGAATCTCACTGAGGATGTAATAGAAACAATTGAGGCTGGGCATGGGGATGCCCAACTGTAATCTCAGCACTTTGGGAGGCCAAAGCTCAAGTTCACCTGAGCCCAGGAGGTCAAGGCTGCAATGAGCTATGATCGTGCCCCCAGCCTGGGCGACAGAGTGAGACCCTGTTGCAAAAAAAAAAAAAAAAAAGGAAACAGTTGAAAGTTGAGTGACTTTTATTTTATTTCACATCCACCCCTCTTTAGCCTTTCCAGAACATTCTGGGACCTTCCAGTGCAGCTGTTCTCAACCTGAGGCTTGTTAGGAGAGGGCTGCTGGGCCCCACCCCAGGGTTTCAGGTTCTGACTCGGTAGGCCTGGGACGATCTTCCTGACTAGTGTGATGGTTCCTGACTGGCTCCAGGTGCTGCTGACGGCACTGGTGGGGCCACCTCAGGGACCCCTGCTCTAGAGGTCTCTCGGGGAGTGTTGCTGAGGCTGCCGGGCGCAGCTCAGTGGGTCTGGATGGGGCCTGAGGTCCCGCATGCGCCAATGGGAGGCCCTTGCCGCTACTCCTGGAGCCATGTGTTCGTCCCCCAAAGATAAGCCCACATCTGTTCACATGGACCTGGGCTGACTTAATCATCTGAATATAAGCAAACCTCCGTGTATGCCATCTCCTCTGAAAATGAGATCTGCTGAGCAAACAAGTGGGTTTCACGTCTGCCTCTTGCCCCCCGCCCTGCCCACTTGCCTTCGTGTCCGCATCATTTCTGATCATCGTATCTTTACAGGCCCTTAGGATCGGAAAACCTGCTGCTTAGAGGAGCTACACTGAAGAACACTGAGAAAATCTTTGGTAAATATTTAATTAATTATTAACCATTGCCCCTAACATTAAGGATGCATGAAGCAAAAGTTAAAACCCGCAGCGGAACCCGAGAGCGTTTCTTGGCACCTTGAGGTGCTGGAGGCTTTCTGGCCGCGCAAGTTCTGCCCCACTGAGATTTGATCAGTGAATAAGTGCAATCCTGAAGCAGCAGCATCAGAGAATACGGCTTACGGATTAAGGCCTCTAGTTTTGGATTCAGAAACAGAACATTGCATCCGTGAAGGAATTTGTGAAGTTTAGTTGTGCAGGAAATGTTTTTCATGTCTGCGTTTCTTGACTAGGATCTCCCATTTCTTGTGGGTTATTGTCTGTTTTAATTGAGGTAACCTTTAGAAGTATACAAGTGTGCCCCACTGTCAGAAAATGCTGTGCAGGTGTTCCTCAGTGTCCTTGGGGGACTGGTTCCAGGATGCCTGCAGATGCCAAAATCCACGGATGCCCAAGGCCCTATTTGCATGTAGCCTACGCATGTCTGCCCCTGTAGTTCACATCATCTTAGATTACTTCTGATACCTAGCACGATGTAAATACCCTGTACTGTTTTTATCGTCTGTATTTTGTATCATTGTATTGTTATTTTTATTGGGGATTTTTTTCAAATATTTTCCATCCCCAGTTGGTAGAACCTGCAGATTAAGAACTCGTGGACATGGTGGGCCCAGTGTATATTAAGATATGAACTCTTAAAAAATGAAGCATAGATTGCTTCCTATGCATGAAGAAGGGTCTTTATCCTAAGGAATCAAGTGCTAGTGTTATGTGGCTATGGACACTAGCTTATGAAATTAAAAATAGGATTCGCTTTACCCAAGAATTGATTTTCCCCGCAGCTGTGTGTAACTCACCATAAGGCAAGACACACTTGCGCCCTGGTCATCACCCTTGCTCTTCCTCTCTGTAGGTGTGGCTATTTACACGGGAATGGAAACCAAGATGGCATTAAATTATCAATCAAAATCTCAGAAGCGATCTGCCGTGGAAAAGTAAGGCTGGATGCGCGTGAGAACCTGCAACTTAAAAGTGTCATTACCCACTGTAGAAATGGAAGTAGCTTCCTCTTGGCCTTATTGGCAGTTCCTTTGCCACTGTACAGCATCTTAGTAACTGCAGAGCTGACCATTCAGATGGTCTTTCTTATTTTGTGGTGAGGTGGATGGCCACACCCCTCCTTCCTGCTCTTTCTAACGCCTGATACCAGGTTCACAGCGCTGCCTCTTACGGACGCCCTGACGTTCCGGTTCTGAAATCAGTTCAGTATCCAACAGCTCCTCTCACCATTTCATGAAAAACTCCAAATGGGCTTACTTTTAACTCTGGGATTTGGTCAAAACCACGTATTCTCTGCTATGGTTTTACAAAGGAAAGCGTTAGCAGAGAGAACAGAATCATCTTTTCATTAAACAGTAAAGTCCTGATGATAAATATGTCAGGATGGTAGCTGAATTTGTGCTGGAAAAGAAAGGCTTCTTCCTGAGATCTGCTAAGACCTTAGTTAAGGATCTGTGCTTTTCCTGTACTGAGGACACTTCCTTTCAGAGTTATTTACTTTTCTCCCCCTCCTTTCCTCCCTCCCTCTCTTCCTTCCTCTCCTTTCCTTCCTTCCTCTACAGTGGTGGGTAGTCACTAAGTTTTGAACTAATTTGTTGATGCTTAATGGTAGAAATTGATTTCTGGATGTACTTTTCAATGACGGAAGTCCAGGCAGTGCAGAAGCATGGTCCGCAGTGTGGCTGTGAGCAGCCCTCTCTCTCCTGCTTGTGGCACTTTACCCCGTCTTGGTTCTTACCTTTGACCTCTAGAAGTACGTGCCAGGGACCATGGCATGGACGCAAGTGCAGAGGACCCACCGTGGTGCGTTGAGGGCGAACACATCACTGTGCCCTTCCTATTCTGTTTCTTCACGAGGTGTCATCTTGATATCTGTGAGAAGGAAGTGCAGAGCTCATTTCCTCAGGGACCAGTGATCACCTCTGTCCTTTTGTTTTAGATCGATGAATGCGTTCCTCATTGTGTATCTCTGCATTCTGATCAGCAAAGCCCTGATAAACACTGTGCTGAAATACATGTGGCAGAGTGAGCCCTTTCGGGATGAGCCGTGGTATAATCAGAAAACGGAGTCGGAAAGGCAGAGGAATCTGGTATGGAGAATCACTGCCCTTGTATGATCCGAGGTGACCTGTGGGCCATTATTACGAAAATGTGGTGCAAGAAAAAGATGACGGTGAATTTACTGTAGGCAAAAAGCAGCTTGATTGATTCAGTCTCTGTGATAGATGCATTCACTGAAATTTAAAGTCTCAGTGGACACCAGCTGCTCCTGCCATCTTTGGATCTGGAAAGGTACAGGTTCCCACAGTGAAATCATCAGGACAATACCTTAAATACTTGCACTGTGTCCTTTGTTTAGAGAGTGCTGAGAAAATGCTTGTTAATGATTATGAGATAAATGGCACATATTTGTGGTAAATACTTGGAAAAAAGGGTCTGCTCCCAGTCCAGAGCAGGGCCATGTGCAAACCGAGACCTGTGTCCACTGAGCCTAGAGCAGGACTGTGTGCAAACCCAGACCTGTGTCCACTGACCCTAGAGCAGGGCCATGAACAAACCCAGACCCATATCCACTGAGCCTATAGCAGGGCCGTGTGCAAACCCAGACCTGTGTCCCCACTGTCCAGAGCAGGGCCGTGTGCAAACCCAGACCCATATCCACTGAGCCTGGAGCAGGGCCGTGTGCAAACCCAGACCTGTGTCCCCTCCGTCCAGAGCGGGGCTATCTCTGCATCATCTGTCCTTCCCACAAAACTAACATGGCCCCACAGATCAGGATAAAAGTATACTGAAAAGTCATTTCACCAGGCTTAGTTTTTACATCTGTAGGTTGTTACCAAGTATGTTTTGTTATAAGAGACACAAAGAGATCCCATGAATATGCAGAAGTAAAATTGCCGCTGGTGTCTGGTTGGCGTGTCTCCTGTCATCGGCACATGCTTGTCTTAACTCGTGATTTAATCTCCACTTGCTGGCAGGACAGCCCCACAGCTCAGCCCCTGGACCCGGCAGGTCCTGGCTCAGAGACCAGGTGACCCAGTGGCTGCCTTCCGCCCATAGTCCTTGTCTTTGGACTCTGAAATCTTGTATTTAGTAGTAGCGCTCGTATAACTTATGCCTAAGCCTGAGGTGTTAGAGCAGCATGTTGGAGGCCTGCTGTCCCTCCTGGTGGAGGTGCTGACCCGCACCTTCTGCTCTTGCAGTTCCTCAAGGCATTCACGGACTTCCTGGCCTTCATGGTCCTCTTTAACTACATCATCCCTGTGTCCATGTACGTCACGGTCGAGATGCAGAAGTTCCTCGGCTCTTACTTCATCACCTGGGACGAAGACATGTTTGACGAGGAGACTGGCGAGGGGCCTCTGGTGAACACGTCGGACCTCAATGAAGAGCTGGGACAGGTTGGTGTCTCCTGAGTCATCTGCTGTGATTTATTAACATCTGGGTGAGTCTGCTTCACGTTCCTCAGGTCCTGTGCCTGTCATCCGAGCGTGGCTGTACCTGTAGCTGGCGTAAGACAGCAGCAGGGTTGTTTTGAACCCTATTTATGAAACAGTCAGCCGTGCTGTTACATTTACAACAGATGCAGAATTACCTGCACTTGCTGACTCCTGGAAACTCATTGGAGCTTCCTGGGCAGAACTCTTTCTGTGTGCAGGTGTGAATCAAGGCTGGTGGGTAAAAGTGGCTTTGCCAGCCTTGCACTCTGCTTCTGCACCTGATATTCAAGTCTCATGGCGAGCTGGGTATTTTCACTTTAAAGATGAACAAACCAGATTTTCAGTGACTTGGTGGATTGCAAAGAGTTCAGACGCCTCCATTCAGATCCTGCTGCTGCATGATGGCTGCGGGAGCTCGGGCTTCACCGCCACACCTCGAGTGTCTCAGTCTGTGAAATGGAGATGATAACAGATGCTGGCCTTACAGGATTGGGTTGCAGATTAAATGAGATAATGGACACAAGGTGCACAGCACAGAGTCTGGTGTGACCACCGCCCTGCCACCGCACCACCGGGAGGCACACACCAGACCTGCTGGCTTGAAGGGAGCTAGGGAAAGACCCATTCCCTGGGTTTCCCCAGCCTAGAGCGGTGACCTTCCCTACCTTCCCAGCCTTAACGTTGCAGAGTGCAGGGTTGCCGGAGCAGGTACCAGTAAACGGTAATTGGATTTTTCGGAAGAAATAGCGATTTTGAAGGATATTTTAGCAAACAAGGCCACTTTAGACAGGTAGCTGAAATCTCCATCTCGCTCCCAGATGACAGCCTGTAAATAGACTTAGACTCTGGCAGATACAGAGGCCTCTCTCTGCCTCCTGTGAGGAAGGCCAACAAACGGAAGGATCATGTTCCACATTTGATGAGTTTGACTTTTGAATGTGTTCCTCCAGCATGTCCCATACTCCTCACAGTGCTTTATTGTTTGAGTCAGCAATGCGCAAACTATAATTTAGTTGTTCAATAGTCAGGTATTTTTATCTAGGAATATTCTATCTCCTTTGCAACAATAGATGGTACATTTTGTGAGCTTCTGATAAATTCTTTGGGAAAGAACTTTTTTCTGTAACAAGGAAAGTGCCCAGCAGCGTTGAGTGTGGGGGAAAGCGCCCAGCAGCGTTGAGTGGGGGGAAGCGCCCAGCAGCGTTGAGTAGGGGGGAAAGCGCCCAGCAGCGTTGAGTGGGGGGAAAGCGCCCAGCAGCATTGAGTGCGGGGGAAAGCGCCCAGCAGTGTTGAGTGCAGGGGAAAGCACCTAGCAGTATGGAGTGGGAGGAAAGCACCCAGCAGTGTTGAGTAGGGGGGAAAGTACCCAGAAGTGTTGAGTAGGGGGGAAAGCACCCAGCAGTGTTGAGTGGGGGGAAAGCACCCAGCAGTGTTAAGTAGGAGGGAAAGTGCCCAGTGGTGTTGAGTAGGGGGGAAAGCGCCCAGCGGTGTTGAGTGGGGGGAAAGTGCCCAGCAGTGTTGAGTAGGTGGGAAAGCGCCCAGAAGTGTTGAGTATGGAGGAAAGTGCCCAGCGGTGTTGAGTGTGGGGAAAGCGCCCAGCAGTGTTGAGTAGGGGGGAAAGCGCCAAGAAGTGTTGAGTGCGGGGGAAAGTGCCCAGCGGTGTTGAGTGCAAGGGAAAGCGCCCAGCAGCATTGAGCACGGCAGATTTCTTCTCTGCCCTCTTCAGTCCATCTCCTTGGAGTTCTGCAAAACAGAATTTAATTTCTGTTGTTCTGTCCTGACCAAAACCAGGCTCCAGCTTGGAGGCTGACCTCCTCGTACACAAAGAAGTGTGTACTGTTGCTCACGGGGGACACACTGAGGTCAAGACGGGTGGACAAGCCCAAAAGGCAGGTTCATCTGACCGCAGCTCTGTGGGTAAACGCCTGTGCCCACTGTCGCTGTGCAGTACGATAACACGACTTCTTTTGTATGTGAAATAGATTCACCCACCAGTCAAGCGTCTGTGTCCACAACAGAAACAACCATCTGCCATGGAGATCCTGTGCCAGAAGCACTTCGTGCACCTTCTCTGTGTCCTGTGCACACTTTATGCACCTTCTCTGTATCCTGTGTGCTCAGTGCTATTGCGCCGTTTCTCAAATGAGAAACTGAGTCAGGAGCAGGCAGTGCCCCGTTCTGCGATGCAGTGCTGCCTCCCGAGCACGAGTGCCTTGGAACACAAATCTTGCTTCAGGCCAAGTTAGCAGGCAGGCGTGCGTTGTAGTGAGGGCCATCTTTTGTTCCTAGAGCTGAGGGTGATGGCAGCATTGACCAGCACTGGGCTTAGGGTTGACTGTCCCACCACCAGAAAAGAAAATTGCAGGCCAGGACCCCTGATGAACAAAGTTGCAAAAATCCTCAACAAAATACTAGCAAACCAATTCAGCAGCATACAAAAGGATCATACCCCACCTGTGGGATGCCAGGGTGGCTCAATGTGTGCAAATCAGTAAGTGTAGTGCATTACGTCTGCAAAATGAAGGACAAAACCATATGATTATCTGTGATGCAGAAAAGGCATTGGACAAAATTCAGCATCCTTTCATAACATCTCTCAACAAATTTTAGGTATAGAGGAATGTACCTCAACACAATAAAGGCCATAAATGAGAAACCCACAGCTGGCAATGGAGAAAAGGTGAAAGCTTTTCCTCTGAGATCAGAAAGAAGACAAGGCTGCACACATTCACCCCTTCTATTTAGCATAGCACTGGAAGCTCTAGCCAGAGCAGTGAGGCAAGAAAAAGAAAAGGCATTCGTATAGGAAAGGAAGAAGTGAAATTGTTTGCTGATGACACAATCTTATATATAGAAAAGCCTAAAGACTCCACCAAAAAGCTTTTAGAACTAATCAACAAATTCACTAAATTTGCAGGATACAAAATCAACACCCAAAATCAGTAGTGATTCTATATACCAGACAAGAAACTATTTGAAAAAGAAATCAAAGACTTTAATAAACTTGCTTAATAGTAACAAAGCAAACAATCTTATCTCTGCGTCCCGAGCTAACAGAACTGACTGGATTTGTGTCCAGAGGTTTTAAGCTTTTGTTTCCACGTTCTTAAAACTGGGATAATAACACAGTTGATGTGTTAATAACAGTTGAAGATTAAATGAGGCTCTGCCCAGTGGCTGGCACACCCTGAGTGCTCAGTAAAGGTCTTTTATAATTAATTTTTTTTATTGTTCACTTTCATGGTCATGTTTCCTAGAAATATGCCACCTATTTAGTTATAGCTAAACAGGATGATAAACCAAACCTCTTAACATTTGTTATCTCATTCTTATCCATTTTACCCTTTTAAAAATGCTTTTAGGGCCAGGCACAGTGGCTCATGCCTGTAATCCCAACACTTTGGGAGGCTGAGGTGGGTGGATCGCCTGAGGTCAGGATTTCAAGACCAGCCTGGCCAACATGGCGAAACTCCCATCTCTACTAAAAATACAAAAATTAGCCAGACGTGGTGGCAGGTGCCTGTAATCCCAGCTACTCTGGTGGCTGAGGCATGAGAATTGCTTGAACCTGGGAGACGGAGGTTGCAGTGAGCCGAGATCATACCACTGCACTGCAGTCTGGGTGACAGGGTGAGACTCCGTCTCAAAAAAAATAAATAAAAATAAAAATGCTTTTGGGATTGAAAAGCGTTTATTCTAAGTTACTTCAAAGTCCTGTATAAGAAGGGTACACAGGTTGAATATCCCTTATTCAAAATGCTTGGGAAGAAGTGTCCCTGTGGACGCGCCCAAGCTCAGTCTCAAGATGCTGCCGTGCGTTCCAGAACTCCTACCTTCAGTTATTCACGATAAACGTGTGACCCATGAGCTTATCTAAAATCAGAGTTTAAGACGGGTTGTATCTTTAACACATATCACAGTTTTCTCTGAGATTTGTTTTGTCCTTATTTGCTTGAATTTTACCTTCTCAACCTTACATGGTATTGTAGGTTTTGACCTCCAAGACTGTATAGAGTAAGTTCGTCCTCTCTGTAGCCTTGGTTTTTTATTGTTGTTGTTAAGATTCGGGACAACCCACTTACACTCTGTCTTCCCAAACAAATGGAGCCCTGGCCCCACCCATGTCTCTGTCCCGGGGAATGGGACTATGAGACCATACTCTGTTTTGCTCCCAACCCAGAGAAGGTATCCCGAGGCCTCCCCACCCATCCTCCTGAATTGCACCTGCCAGGACTGCAGGGTCCTGTTGGACGCTGGGAAGGAGGATGAGGCAGGAGCATGGCTCAGCCCAGTGAGGGGGTCTGTCTGGGGGAAAGCCTTTAGAAATCCACCGCCTATTCAAGTCACAGTGGGAGCTGGGGAGGAAACACGGCTGCTGTGTGTCTGAGTCGGGGACGTGCGGGCCTCCCTCAGAGCGCCCTGACTTGCTGTGCCCTGCCCGCAGGTGGAGTACATCTTCACAGACAAGACCGGCACCCTCACGGAAAACAACATGGAGTTCAAGGAGTGCTGCATCGAAGGCCATGTCTACGTGCCCCACGTCATCTGCAACGGGCAGGTCCTCCCAGAGTCGTCAGGAATCGACATGATTGACTCGTCCCCCAGCGTCAACGGGAGGGTAGGTGGCAGCCCCCACGCCGTCCAAGTGTGTGAGTGAGTGGGCGGCTGTGCATGCTGAGTCCACCCCTTTTCACTCGAGTGTCCAGGAAAATCCAGGCCCTCTCTACGGACTTCAGTGGGAGGGATGGTCAGAAGGTGCGATGTGTGTGGTGTCCCGTTAGGACACATCTGCTCAGTGATACCCGTGTTAGAATTGGTTATGAAAACCATAGAAGCAGGGCAAACACACATGCATGCACCCAGACACCATGTGCACACGGACACACATGCACACACGCTCACATGCAAACACATGCACTCACACACGCCCAGATACTGTGTGCACACACACACATGCAGACACACGCACTCACACATGCCCAGACACTGTGTGCACACACAGACACACATGCACACATGCAGACACACACACTCACACATGCCCAGACACCGTGTGCACACACAGACACACATGCACACACGCTCACATGCAGACACACTCTCACACACTCCCTGACACTGTGTGCACACATGCTCACATGCAGACACACACGTACTCTCACACACGCCCAGTTACCGTGTGCACGCACAGACACATGCTCACACGCAGACACACACATGCACTCTCACACACGCCCCAAATGCCGTGGCTCCAGATCTCAGCATCTCTGGGCAGGGCTGAAGTCCCAGGCTGATGCTGTTCCTGAATTTCCCCGCACACAGGGCAGCCTCGGGGATCAGGTCCCAGCCGGCTGTGGCCCTGAGCACATCACTTCACCTTCCTAAACGCTGATTCTGCAGCTGCAGGCGCAGGATAATAGCTCCAACTTCTTAAGGGGTTTCAGGGTGAATGTGACAATGTGAGTCAACAGCAGGAGCGCCACAGGTCACGCCTAGTCTAACACACGCTTTGGTTAGGAGAACGTCCCCATCGCACAGGCACCAGGGCAGAGGCACAGCCAGGGTCCAGGGTGTTTGTGAATGTCTGTGTTCGTGGCACCGTGTGACTCAGTCTCCCTTCCTGGACGCTAGCGGTCACTTGCCATTTCTGAGCGCACGTGAAGCCTCTGTGGTTTCTAGAAGTGTCGGTGCTGAACGCACGCCCGTTTAGCCTTCCTCACCCGTCAGTCTCAATTACAAAACAGAGTGCTTGAGAACGATGGAAAGCTGTAATTCCATCCCACTGTATAACCCCTCACCGCCCACAAGCTGCCTTCGTGGCCGCGGGGACCCCCCCCACCCCGCTTCTTGTTATCTCTCTGCGCCTGTTTCCCTCTATCTTCAGTGGACGCACCGTGATTTGGGGGTTCTGGGAACTGCTTTTTTATAGGAGCGCGAGGAGCTGTTTTTCCGGGCCCTCTGTCTCTGCCACACCGTCCAGGTGAAAGACGATGACAGCGTAGACGGCCCCAGGAAATCGCCGGACGGGGGGAAATCCTGTGTGTACATCTCATCCTCGCCCGACGAGGTGGCGCTGGTCGAAGGTGTCCAGAGGTACGTCGCGGGCCAAGGGTCTGCCTGGGTTTCCTGATGTGACTCAGCCCCTCCCCAGCCCCAGTCAGGGATTTGCACCTAGAGGCGTCCTCAGCCCCACCCTGTGCCCTCCACACTGAGCTGTGCTGCCTTTGCACCCAGCTTCTCTGGACCCCCGTCCCTGTATGAGCCCCTCCCACCGTGATAAGCAGCGTCTGGTCCCCGGCGCGTGAGTCTTCATCTCTGACTTTGCGTGGGTGGCTTTTCCTCCTGAGGTCTGCAGTAAGTTAGAGGTCATTCCAAATAACCACAGGCTTCAAAATACGGAAACAATCATTCTTTTAACACAAATCTCCCTCCTGCATCTCAGAAAACTGAAGCCCAGAGGCCCAGCGGCCTTCCCAGAGCCACAGCCTGGGCCGGACAGAGCAGAGCTGGTGCGGGACCTCTCACCGCCCACCCTTTAAGCAAACGCTTGGAAAAATACTTTAAACATTCCAGATACATGGCATAATTTCAACTCAGGGGAGCCATTTTCAAATCCATCCAGCTCATGACTTCTGTATTACTGAACCTCCCCTCCCCAAAAGTGCCTTCAGGGACTGAGTATGGTGAGAATCATGTTCGCGCTTCTCACCTCATTACAGCCATGTTTTTGTCGCTGCTAAACTAATGTGTTTTCTCCATGCAACTTGAGTAGCAGCACAGATACGTCAACAGTATCACCGGGGCCCTTCGTTCCATGCGTAAACCCACACATGCGTAGGTGAGGCTTCTTGGAGCTGGGTTTCTCTCTTCTTGAAACACAAGTGCCCAGGAATGCCACTGCCTTCATCACAGGTGTTAGAAGTCAGGGCAGGCTACCCCGCCCACCTTTGAGACTCCTCCCTGCCCTGAAGCTTTTCCTCCAGCCGCTGCTCCCACCTGGGCTGGCCAGAGGCCTCCACTGCCATCCCCCTGGTGCCGCGAAGCACGTCTGTCTCCCGGGTCCTCTGCTGGCCTCTCGCATCCCAAAGCCATGCTCTGTCTCTGCCGTCCCAGTGGCTCCCACAAGGCCCTGAAGGTCGCTGACCCCCAGGCGTGCAGGAGGAGGCATTGTATAGATGGGTGCACCCACGTGCTGGCTGAAGGCCTGCGCTGGACCTTCGTTCCCCGTCAGTGACTCAAGGGCCTTGGTGTGGGGGTAACAGCCTCTCAGGGTCCCTCTCCCTCTGGCATCGTGTTCTCCGCTCAACAACAACAAAGTCCACGAATCAATGAGCAAAAGTGTCATCGAAGCAAGGATTGCAGGCCATGTGCCTGCCATGCTCTTCTGGAGAACAATACTGACAAGAATGTGCCTCACTGCTGTGTGCCAAGGAGGGTTGGGTTGGGTAGAAATTCTCTTGCTCTTGGAAGATTTTTTGAGATGGTGAATAAGTTCATTATGATAATTTCCTAACTTTATAATGCAGTTTATAATCTCTGTTTAACTGAAAGTATTTCTTTTTTGAAAAGAACGCTTTACCAAAATATAAAGCAAATACTCTATGAAAGAGGAACATCAGAATCTCAGATTCACCCCGAGGTTTCCCTTCTCATTGCAGACTTGGCTTTACCTACCTAAGGCTGAAGGACAATTACATGGAGATATTAAACAGGGAGAACCACATCGAAAGGTATGTGCAGACCTCACCCTCAGATGTGAAAGGACTAACGAATAAAGAGTGTTCTTTATAAGGTTCTGCGTTTGAGGGAAAAGACAAGTTCTCTATGTTCTCCCACAATTCGCTTCCTCTCCTTCCCAGTGACACCCCAGGAATGTCACCAGAATGTTCTGGAGAAGTGCTGGACACTTAGAGAAGGGCTTGGGTGCAGCCACAGCGCTGCTTCCCCTGGATGGTTTTTCTTGGAGATGTAAATTGGAGTTCAGTGAACAAAAGTTCACTGTCAAATATGTTTTGGGTTAAGCCACCTGAAGTCAGGTTTTGCTGCAGGCCGCGTTCTGACCTCTCCAGGCCCCTTTGCCTCCACGAGGGGAGTGAGCAGCTGCCCCCGGTGTGGCCATGAGTCCCGCAGGGAGGAACCCTGGCTCACGTGCTGGGAGCACAGCGTCGTGTCGAAAACAGTTTGCACAGTTACGCTTTTCAGTCACCAGTTTGATGTTGGATTGTTTTACTTTTCATATCTTTAAAACTCTTCCCATTTTTTAGGGACTGTCTCTGTCCCAAATTGCTTGTCCCTGAGATAAGTGACCCATCTTGAGATCTGACTCAGGAGAGGGGGTGGTGGCTTATCAACAAGCACGAATGTGCGGTCATGGTTCCGGCAAAGACACAAGATCTGGTGGTGATGGCCTCAAAACACGTGGATTTTAAAATTTCATTCTTAGGGAAAATAAACTCCCCAGTGGAAGAGAAAGGACAAATCCCTTGATTCGGCGGGGCTCCTGGGCCCTCCGCTGGCACCAGCTGCACCCTCTCCACAGCACCCTGGGCTTCCCGGGGGCCGCAACTCACTGCCGTTGAGGCTCCGGGTTTGCAGCCGTGGAGGTAGTGAGGTCGTGGCCTAGATGAGAGCCCCCATCAGGGCTCTGCCAAGGGACCCCTGGCTCTGAGCTGGGCTGGCACTGCGGCCAGAGCCCCTCCGCAGCTTCCCACTGAGTCCAAGGCCCTGAGGAGGCTGAGGGGCAGCAGCGGGGGCTGCCAAACACTTCCGATGCTCCAGACGCCACACAGGTTTTCTGAGTCTTCCGGTAACAGGACAGCACCAGCCAAAACGCTTTTTCCTTTGGTTTTGATCTCTTAGGGTAACGCCAGTTCATTGACAAGGATCCAATCTCTGACACAACTTTGAGTCTCTGTTCAGCGGTGTTTAGGGAGGGAGTCGGTGCGTAGGGAACGCAGCCTGCTTGGCAGAATCTGAGCCTATGCCCTGGGTAGGATGGGGACGTAGTGAGGAGCCGGTGCCACAGGGCCCAGACTCTGCCCCACTGGGTACACCTGCTGCGTCCTTCAAATCCAGGCCTCTCAGGGCATCCATGGGAGGACACCCCTCACCCAGCAGCCCTCTGTGTGTCCCCTGAGGAAGGGCCAGGGCTGCCCCAGCCATTCTGCTGTGGAGAGCTCCACAGTTACCAGATGGAATCACGTGAGCACCCGTGTGGACGGTGTGACCTTCTGCATTTCTCTTTCAGGTTTGAATTGCTGGAAATTTTGAGTTTTGACTCAGTCAGAAGGAGAATGAGTGTAATTGTAAAATCTGCTACAGGTAAAATTTCTTTTTCTTTTGATTTATTAAGTTATACGTGGTGGTTGTGTTTTATTCTGATGACTAAATTCTACAGGAGCTTTAAGGATTTAGGGTTTAAGAATGATTTATTCTTTTTTTAAAAACTATAGACAAATCCTCTCAAAATACTAATTTTTTATTTTTAAAAAGTGCAACATTTCTGGAATGCTGAGGAAGGAGTCCTGGGCTAAACATCCGGCACCCTTGCTCTGTCCATCTTTTAGTGTCGAGTTGGGGCCACTTTACTGTTGAAAATTGCTTAATTCCATTTGTGAAAGTTCCTCTGCCCATCCCTATCCCCCACCCGCTTTTCTCCATGCAGAGCTAAATGACATAAAATGTTTTTAAATAACCATTTTCAAGGAAAAGGTAATGTGGGTTTGCAAATGTATCTATAATAATGTTCAAAGTTGCAAAGTGAGCTTTGTTGATTGGCAGTTGCCGTAACAGTGTGTCTGTGAGAACAGCACACTCGGTTCGTGCTCCGGAATGCTGGGATGAGCAGTGGCGGGGCACAGTCAGAGCCCTGTGGCCGCCATGATGTTTTGGTGACCCACACGGTTGGGCACTCTCCTGATCCTCCCACTCTGACCTGTGGCTGCCCCTGTCCCTGACGATTGCCTCTGCAGTCCAGGTGGATGCATCTGTGGTCCCCTGACCTCCCTGCGAGGAGCTCTCCCAGGCACTTTGCATCCCCCAAGCACAGGTGGACGACCTCGTCTCCCCCCACCCTCAGCAGGTCACGACACATGCCACAGGTCACTCAACACCGCAGCCCCTCAGGCTCCCGCCCACAGTGCTGAGGCTTGAACGTGCAGGCGCCCCTGGCTGTTTGCCCTGGACAGGCAGGGCCCGTGGGCTCCGTCTGCAGAGGCCACCCCTTTGCATGGCCATCACTTCCTAAGAGCTCCCACCGCCCCCTCTGAGGCTCTCACTCACCTTCATCACCAGGTTGTCCTCAAGTGTCCCCAGAGGGCACTGCCCACAGCCCCCACAGTGGCCTTGTTCCCCGCTTCCTGCCGTGGGCTTTCCCATAGGAAGGGCCTTTCACCCATCTGTCCTTTCCACGGACGGCTCAGGAAGCCTCTCCCGGACCTCAGCCCCATAGCAGCGTGCAGGACATTGCTCTATGGTGGAGCTGTCTGTCCGTCTGCAGCCACTGGCTGCCTGCACGCATCCCGAACGCAGAACCGATGCTCTTCTCAGCAACACGCTGACGTCACGCCACCCTCCGCCGAGTGCTCCCAAATCCTGTGCCGTTCAGAGCCCTCCACGCAGCGTCAGAGCAGGGCTTCATTAAGAGCTGTGGGATCTCACTCTTCATTGTTTCCTAAAACCAGACACTCCCAGGCTGCATTTAGCTCTTTGGAAAGATGCCTGGCAAACAACCAAACAGCCACTCCCCGGAACCAGACAGGCTGGAGAGCTTCATGCCAGCATTTTCCTAAGATGTGCCGAGTTTAATTTTAACACAGTAGACAGAGCAGGGCCATCATCAGTGCCGTCGGGCACCCTTCGGATCAGGACCATGGTGCCTCACTTCCTAAGACCCCGAAGGAGCTGTAGGGGGAGGCAGTGTGACTCTCGGTGACGCCCTGTGAGTCATAGCGGCTCTGGGGTGGGCAGCAGCCTCAGGAGGGAGGAGGGTGCCATGGCTGCTCTGGGGGGCTGCCGCCTGCCTTCGCTGGTTCCTTAGACACAGTCCCACTGTGTCACACAGCATCACCTCTGAGACACGCCATCAAATGTGGGATGAATCCAGGCTCCACAGTGAGATGTCTACTGATGGTCATAGGATGAGGAACAATCTGTGTGTGAATGTTGCCAGGACTCCCACGAAGAGCTTTTGCCAGCCAGACCGTGGGATCAGCAGGACAGGGTCTGAGAACAGGTTCAGATGCGCGAGACTTCTGTGTGTCAGAACCCTTCCCCCCGGCTCGGATGAGGCGCAGTCCTGAGAGTCTCAGCCACTCGGAGTTATCTGGGATAAACGCATCCTGGGTGGGAAGTTCCTGGTCCATCCCGTCACGTGGTTTTCCCCGTAGCAGTCGAATCTAGCTGTTGAGCCATGGCTGGAACATGCTGCCCGTGACCTGCGGGGCTGACTCACGTGGTTTTCCCCGTAGCAGTCGAATCTAGCTGTTGAGCCGTGGCTGGAACATGCTGCCCGTGACCTGCGGGGCTGACCACGGTGCCCAAGAAGGCAAGCATCAGCCACCCCGGAGCCGCCCCTGCCGCGCACTCACCCCGGAGCTGGCCCTGCCACACGCTCACAAGGGGTTTTTGCTGCATCCTGAATGCCCAAGACCTCAGGGCATTGTGGGCTATGCCGTGGAATCTTTGTAAATAACTTCTGTTACTATCAAAAGGCTGAAGAGCCGCTGGATCACTCGAAGAATCCGGGTTGGAGGCATTTGTGCCATGAGAATATCCCTATCCGCACTGGGACGCCTGTGGACCTCCTAGGGCCTCTCCAAGGAACTGAGAGCTTGCAGGAGAGACGGCCCTGCCATCTGAAGCCAGCCACTCATCAGTTACTTTTAAGAGAAGTTTGAATATGTAATTAAGCAAGGTGTTCTGTAAGTAGTAGTCATCCCCGGAGAGGTTCACTAATTGCACTGGAGTTCTCCCTGCTGGGCGGGGAGACCCTGCAGCCAGCTCACAGCTCGTGTTTCCTCCTGGGCTCAGCCCTGTAGGGGGTTGCGGCTGTCAGAGCCGGATCTCACTGTTTTGGGGCTGAGCAGCCCCAACAGGGGCCTCCCATGATGTCCGCAGGACCCTTTTTTATATGTCTGTACCTCAGTCATGTGTGCTTTCCTGGGATTCTCCACGGTGGAATTTTGAGGAAGGACTTCGGAAGTCACAGGCCACTCGGCTGCATCAGGCCTTCCCTTTCAAAGGCAGATGTGAAATCTCTCTTTTGGGGGATCCTGCGGATGCTTACTGCACCCAAGGTATTATGTACGCAGTACACAGAAGACCGACTCGAAAGAAGAAAAGGAGAGTACATAAGCATATTCATCTATGAAAAAGAAAAGCAAGCAGAAAAGATGAAAGAGAAGGAAAGTCCTAACAGTGCACCCTCCTGGAGCTCCTCCAGGAGCTGCTTCCTTGATGCCCTTTTTCCAGCCATTTCGGGGACATTTGCTGTCACGCCTGGCTTTCCATGTCCTTGAGCTGGTCTGTGAGACACAGTGAAAGACCCCCCACCATGGGCTCAAACTGTGGTTCTATAGCCCTTTCTCTTCTCCAAATGGCAGTAAGCCCTTCTTGGTCCCAGAGGGGACAGCCACCAACCACGGCTGCACCTGCGACACAACCCAGCTGTCTTGGGGACAGGATCCTGTGTGTTCGGTTATGTCACCTGTGTGTGCACGGTCTTCAGTTGCTCATTGTAGATTAACTTTTGCTCTGTCCTCTGGGTTTTTTTATTCCAAGGCTGTTCCTCACCAAGTCTTCAGGCTGAAGGTGTCCTGTGTCTTACAGTGGAATTCACAAGCTGAGACAGTGGGAAAGTTAAGCCATTCACATGCTCTTGGCATGAGTTGTGAGCCATGAAACATGAATTTTCTAGTAAAAAATGTGCTGTTGTTCAAGAATGCATCATTATGTCATTTGGACCACAGTTCTCATTCTGAACTGTATCTGATGAAACAACAGCGTTGGCTGGAAACCATGGGAGTCGGGAAACGGCTCTGACATCGATTGGGTAGTTTAACCCCCGGGCCCTGCTTTTCTATGCTAAGCAACTGAGACTCTGTGGTCACACCTCTGCAGTTCTGCAGAGATCCTCCAGGGTCCAACTCCCAGCCTCAGCCTGCTCACTCCCGTGCCCTCCAGCCTCAGCCTCCCCACTCTCCCGTGCCCTCCAGCCTCAGCCTCCCCACTCTCCCATCCCCCCCAGCCTCAGCCTCCCCACTCTCCCGTGCCGTCCAGCCTCAGCCTCCCCACTCTCCCGTGCCCTCCAGCCTCAGCCTCCCCACTCTCCCGTGCCCTCCAGCCTCAGCCTCCCCACTCTCCCGTGCCCTCCAGCCTCAGCCTCCCCACTCTCCCGTGCCCTCCAGACTCAGCCTCCCCACTCTCCCGTGCCTTCCAGCCTCAGCCTCCCCATTCTCTCATCCCCCCTGCCTCAGCCTCCTTACTCTCCTGTCCCCTCCAGCCTCAGCCTCCCCATTCTCTCATCCCCCCCCAGCCTCAGCCTCCCTACTCTCCTGTCCCCTCCAGCCTCAGCCTCCCCACTTTCTCATCCCCCCCCAGCCTCAGCCTCCCTACTCTCCTGTCCCCTCCAGCCTCAGCCTCCGTCCTCCCCCATGCCCTCCAGCCTTTGCTCGGCACTGGTTTGCTGCATGTATTGGCAACACCTGTGTCACCAGGTGCCATCCTCTCTGGCTGCAGGTTGGCAGCCACCTCAGCCACATGAGCGTCAAGTGTAGCCATGTTCCCACAGCTTCCCTGTTGGTGTCTCAGGAGTTAGTGCTTCCTGGCATCCAGGAAGGAAGGCAAGGCGGACCCCTGTTCCTACTCCTGAGTCCTCGTCCAAGCTCCAGGCCTTGGATCCGGGTCGTCAGCCCGAGAGCGTCCCCTCCCCATGTCCCTCCCACCACCACCCTGGGGACCACTGCCTGCCCACTCTGGGGCCCTCTGGATTTGGTCCCCAGTAGACTTCCCGAGGGCCCTCAGTGTCTGGGGGTCTCAGGGCTCTGCCCCGCCAGGAGCTGGGCATGGAGCTTCCTACGCGTGCCGCTCAGGCTGCTGTGGTGTTTCTCCCACCCTGCCGTCACCGCGCCGTAGCACGGCGTTTCCCTGCACCCAGGCACAAACCAGCCGCCTGGCAGAGTGCCACGTGGCTTCGCGGACCAGGGATGCTTCAGGTGCAGAGGGAGCTCTGTGTGTCGGGAGCACCTGCGCCCAGGCACAAACCAGCCGCCTGGCAGAGTGCCACGTGGCTTCGCGGACCACGGATGCTTCAGGTGCAGAGGGGGCTCTGTGTGTCGGGAGCACCTGCGCCCAGGCACAAACCAGCCGCCTGGCAGAGTGCCACGTGGCTTCGCGGACCAGGGATGCTTCAGGTGTAGAGGGGGCTCTGTGTGTCGGGAGCACCTGCGCCCAGGCACAAACCAGCCGCCTGGCAGAGTGCCACGTGGCTTCGCCGTCCAGGGATGCTTCAGGTGCAGAGGGGGCTCTGTGTGTCGGGAGCACCTGCGCCCAGGCACAAACCAGCCGCCTGGCAGAGTGCCACGTGGCTTGGTGGACCAGGGATACTTCAGGTGCAGAGGGGGCTCTGTGTGTCGGGAGCACCTGCGCCCAGGCACAAACTAGCCACCTGGCAGAGTGCCACGTGGCTTCGCCGTCCAGGGATGCTTCAGGTGCAGAGGGGGCTCTGTGTGTCAGGAGCAGGTGACATCACAGCAGAACTGTCGTGGCCTTTGCTGTATGCTGCAGTGCCTGGAAGAGAAACTCGCTTTATCTGAGGCCTGAGAAGCCCACGTTCACAGCACAAGTATGTCCACAGCGATCACAGTGTTACTGGACGTGTGGGAAAAAATGACGCAAACGTTTCCCCTGACTCTTCCAAGTTCAGAGGTGGCCCGGCTGCCTTGCTCTGCATGAGGACAGATGACTCTCCGAAGGGGATTTGTGTTCACCTTCCAGCATTTCAGAAACCAGGACCCCCTTTGGGTCACCCCAACGCCCGTCCCGAGGGCATTTTGTCCCCTTTCGTGTCTTTCCCAGAGAAAAAACAGAGTCCCGGAGCCAAGTTCTTTTCCTCGTTCCTGCCTCTCCTGTGGAATTTCTAGGGTGTAGGAATAAAACGAGGCTTTGGAGGTTATCTGTGGGTTTATTTTTTCCTGACTGTAGCGTGTTAACTGGTCCATTAAAATCTTTAAAAAGCTTTCCACACTGCTATCCCTGTTTTTTGTTTTTTAATAATGGCATAATTTTAAAAAATAATCTAGTCTTCCCCATATTGTGATTAAACTCCTCATTTTTCTCATTTTGTAGGAGAAATTTATCTGTTTTGCAAAGGAGCAGATTCTTCGATATTCCCCCGAGTGATAGAAGGCAAAGTTGACCAGATCCGAGCCAGAGTGGAGCGTAACGCAGTGGTGAGAGCCGGGCTGGGGAGGGCCTCGTGGCGGTCAGCTCCCCTGCTGTCAGGAAGGAATTCCATGTTCCACAAGTTCCTGGCTGGGAATGGCGTATTGTATTCCTTGGGGAATGTTTAGAAATCAGCTGGGCCAGAGGCAGACAGACAGGCAGCCTCAGCCGGCACCGACCCCAGGGGGCCTCCGATACCCAGCCAGGCACAGGCTGTCCAGCCAGGCACAGGCCATCTCCTCCCCAGCCTTGCACAGGGTTTTATTTTCGGGTGGGTGCCAGGTTGGTTGATTGATGTTTTGGGGAGTCAGAATTAGCACGTTTGTGGTTATTGTATTGGAGCAAAAAGTCTTTGTGTTGACGTTTCTAGTGATTTGCTTCAAAACAAATCAGCACTTTCGTTTTCTGTTGTGACATCACCTGTTTGGGTTTCTTTCCCCATCTGGGTCTTAAGCTTGTATGATAAGGTTTCTTTCCACCACTTGTTGTATAGCACCGCCCAGCAGCCCGCACACCTGAGCCTCCCACTCCGTGGGTCCGGCTTTCTGTCTTTGGGGCTGCTGCGGTAGGGGGCCGGCCTGAGTGTCTCTCACAGCAGGGCCTCCCCTCCCCGTCAGACGCGCTAAAGCCGGGCAACACGTGGCTGGGGTGGACACGCTCCCTCCTGTCAGACACCTTAACTCCGGGTGATGCGTGGCTGGGTGGACATGCTCCCTCCTGTGAGAGGTCCTAACGCCGAGCGACGCATGGTTGGGTGGACGTGCTCTCTCCCGTCAGATGTCCTAACGCCGAGTGACGCACGGCTGAGTGCACATGCTCCCTCCTGTGAGATGCCCTAAAGCTACACTGTGCGTGGCTGGGGTGGACGCACTCCCTCCTGTCAGACGTCCTAAAGCTGGGTGACGCATGGCCGGGTGGGCGCGTTCCCTCCCATCAGATGCCCTAACGTTGGGTGATGCGTGGCTGGGTGGACGCGCTCCCTCTGCTCCCCACGTGGCTGCTTTGTCCCACGGTGTCTGCACCCTTCTCCCGACACCACCCTGGGGTCTTCTCCCTCACTCCAGCCCAGGGCAGCACCTCCTCTCACACCGACCTTATCATCTTTTCATGAAAAAGAAACAGTAACTGACAGGCTCTCCTCCCAGAGGTCCAAAATGACGCTGGCCAGAGTGGCTACGCACTGGAAAACAAGACTTCCAAGGCTGGCTCTGCACCAAGGAAGGCTGAACCGAGAGAACCTTGGACTAGAGGTCGTGGTACTCAGCGCTCCCTTCACTGACCATTTAAATGTAAAGCAATGTTTGTCCTCGCTGTCAGTCGCAACACTTGATTACTGTAGATGTCAGAGCATTAAGAATTCCTGCCGATGGACAGGAGCCCTTTCGCTCGCGAGCCCGTGCGTGCAGCAGCCAGAGCCTGTGAACTTCGTGGAATGCTGTCGACGTGCGGATCATCATCTTTACGTTGCTATTAAAACAGCTCCTGGCACTACAAAGTAGCTGCGTTGGAGCCAACAGGAATCCATAAATCAGCAGCAGGTTAAAGATTGTTGAACTTCTCTGTGAGGGATCTGGAAAATACATCACTGACTTCCACCAGCCACAGAGCTGCAGGGTGGGAGCCGAGCGGGTTCCTCTGAGCAGCACAAGCGTCCTGCGCTTCGACACACAATGAGCCTCAGTACAGGGGCGTGTGGGGGCTCCTGAGGGGGCAGCTCCATCTGCAGCTCGCTTTCCAATAGCGCGAGGCTGTGCTTTGCTGTGACGTGGTCGCCGTGCCATGCTGAGCACACGATGGCTACAGGTCACAGGTGACTGGTCCTCCATGGAGGGTCTTCATGGCCTGAGTACCAAATATCTTCCACCTGCTGGATCCCCACTGCTGCTGCCCAGGAGAGTAGGCGCATGGATTATGTGAATTGTGATGATTGTAAAGTCCACTTGCTGCTTGTTTCAGAAAGTCTTCTTGAGATGTAATTGCCATACATTGATCTATACATATTTAAAATGCGAGAGCAGCAAGGGCATTGACACACGAACACACAGGTGGAGGCTTTGCCTGCTGGGAAGGGGACGCATCCCTCACCCTAGAGACTGTCTCGCGCCCTCATACTCCCATCCCTGCCAACTCCCACTCGCTGGAGACCACCGCTCCACTCGCCGTCACTGCAGATTCGTGCCCACCTTCTGGAGCTTCCTATCAGCAGAATCACAAAAGGCGGCTGTTGTATCCGGCGTCTTTCACTCCCATAACTGCTGAGACTCGGCCGTGTGGGCCCGTTCATTTCTGTCGTGAGGAACAGCAGCACTCGTTCAGTTGCCGAGCACTAGCGGTACTAGTTCAGCGGCCGCTAGTCCAAGTACCTCTAGCGGTACTAGTCCAAGTGCCGGGCACTAGCAGTACTAACCAGTCCAGTTGCCGGGTGTTAGTGGTACTAACCAGTCCAGTTGCCGGGTGTTAGTGGTACTAACCAGTCCAGTTGCCGGGCACTAACAGTACTAATCAGTCCAGTTGCCGACTGCTAGCGGTACTAGTCCAGTTACTGGGCACTAGCCATACTAACCAGTCCAGTTGCCGGGCACTAGCAGTACTAGTCCAAGTGCCAGGTATCAGTGGTACTAATCAGTCCAGTTGCCAGCCGCTAGCAGTACTAGTCCAGTTACCGGGCACTAGCCATACTAACCAGTCCAGTTACTGGGCACTGGTGGTACAGACCAGTCCAGTTGCCAGCCACTAGCGGTACTAGTACTAGTCCAAGTGCCGGGCAGTAGCAGTACTAACCAGTCCAGTTGCCAGGCGCTAGCAGTACTAACCAGTCCAGTTTCCAGGCACTAGTGATACTAACCAGTCCAGTTGCCGGGCACTAGCAGTACTAACCAATCCAGTTGCCAGCACTAGCGGTACTATTCAGTCCAGTTGCCAGGCACTAGTGGTTCTAACCAGTCCAGTTGCCGGCACTATCGGTACTAACCAGTCCAGTTGCCAGCACTAGCGGTACTATTCAGTCCAGTTGCCAGCACTAGCGGTACTATTCAGTCCAGTTGCCAGGCACTAGTGGTTCTAACCAGTCCAGTTGCCAGCACTAGCGGTACTATTCAGTCCAGTTGCCAGGCACTAGTGGTTCTAACCAGTCCAGTTGCCGGCACTAGCGGTACTAACCAGTCCAGTTGCTGGCACTAGCGGTACTAACCAGTCCAGTTGCCAGGCACTAGTGGTTCTAACCAGTCCAGTTACCAGGCACTAGCGGTACTAACCAGTCCAGTTGCCAGCACTAGCGGTACTATTCAGTCCAGTTACCAGGCACTAGCGGTACTAACCAGTCCAGTTGCTGGCACTAGCGGTACTAACCAGTCCAGTTACCAGGCACTAGCGGTACTAACCAGTCCAGTTGCCGGCACTAGCGGTACTAACCAGTCCAGTTTCCAGGCACTAGTGATACTAACCAGTCCAGTTGCCGGCACTAGCAGTACTAACCAGTCCAGTTGCCGGCACTAGCAGCACTCGTTCATTTGCCGGGCACTCGCAGTGCTAGTTCTTTCTACGGATGGACCAGTTTCTTGATTCTTCCGCCTGTTGGCAGACATTGGGTTGTTTCCAGTTGGGGCTGTTTTGGAAGCAGCTGCTGCGGGCCGCCTGCTGTGCGTGTCTGGGGCTGAGCCGATGTGTCCTTTTCTCCTGGGGACCCTCCTGTCAGAGCGTCTTCATTTCTCTTTCCACAGCTTCCCTTTTCTGGCTGCTTTTGAGGTGTTTCGTGATGGGATGCCTTGGTGGAGTGATGCTGTGTTTCTTTGCTCAGCCGTGTTGAGCATCTCGGATCTGCGGCGTTTCATCAAGTTTAACATTTTTCAGCAATTATTCTACAGATATTTTTCTTCCTTGCTCCCTTTCAGCAGTTCCAGGACCCATGTACTCAACTGCCGGATGTTGTCTCACCGCTTACAAAGGCTTTTCCCTTTAAGGTTTTCCACGTTTCTTTAGAGACGGTTTCTGTTGCCATGTCACGAGTTTTTCCCGTGCAGCGTCTAACCTGTCAGCACCCCACGCAGGACACCCCTCTCCTCAAACATCGGAGTTTTCATGTCTAGAAATTCCGCCAGCGTGGTTTTGTATCCTCATGCCCCTACTTAACATGGGGCGTGTGTGATAACGATTGCGGTGACTGTTTAAATCCTCCTCGCTAACGGATGGGACGTGTGTGATAACGGTGGCAGTGACTGTTTAAATCCTCCTCGCTAACTGCACCCCTGCTGCCAGCTCTGGACCAGCCACAGTGTTGCACAGTCCCCTCGTTTGGGGCAGGGACGGTGCCCCTGCGTGATGGTGGCCTGTGGCCGGATGCCTGCCTGTGGGCTTTGTTGGATGCTGGGTATCGTGGTCCTCCTGGAGATCTTAAATCTTGTTCTGGGGTGTGGCTGAGTTCCTGGGAACAGTCTGTTCCTTTCAGGCCATGCCTTCGTGATGTCCAGCAGACCCACAGCAGTGCCTGCCCCGGGTGGTGCTCCCCAGACTGCCAGGCCCTGAGCGCTGTGCCTGGTGAGTGGCCATGCCTCCTGGCAGCAGGCTGTCCCACCCTCCTCCTAATGGCTTGTTGCTGGCCTCCAGGAGCTTCCTCACAGTTGCAGGTGCTTGAGGGGCCGTCCACAGCCTCTGGCATCCACTCCATCCTAGGAACTCTGGTGCTTGTTCCCTTGACACCCAGGTCTGCCCCATAACTCAGGGAATTCACTGGCTCCGGCTACGTTCCCCTGCCCGAGCCTCGGCCTGGAAGCTCTCCGGGTAGTGAGCTGGGCACTTGCAGGGCCCCCTCGGTTGGCAGCATTTTATTTTGAAATAATTACAGATTTAGGAGAAGTTAAAATAAGTAGAAAGACAGTCCAGAGGGGCCTGTGTGTCCTTCGAGTCCAGTTAATTTCTCCTTTCGCTGGCTGTGCTTGCTGTCATATCGAAGAAACTGCTATGAAATCCAAGATGATGAAGATTTGCCACCACTGTGTTTTTTTCTATAAGTTTTCTAGTTTTAGCTCTTAAATGTAGGAGTGTAATCCATGTTTGGCTAATTTTTGCATCTTTCATAAAGTGAGGGTCCTACTTTATTTCCCTGCATGCAGTTATCCAGTTTTCCCAGCACCATTTGGTGAAGACTCTCCTCTCCCACTGAGTGATACTGACACTCTTGCTGAAAAGCATTTGATTACGGTACCTGGAGGTTTATTTCTGGGCTCTCTGTTCCATCCCATTTTCTCTATGTCTGTCTTTATCCCAGTTCCCGCTGTTTTGATTACTGTCAGTTTCTAGCAGGCTTTGAAACCAGGATATGTGAGTCTTTCAACTTTGTTCTTCTGTTATAAAATGGTTTGGCTATTCTGAACCTCTTGAGATTTAATAGGAATTTTAGGATGGGCTTTTTCATTTGTGCAGAAAATGCCACTGGGGGCCAGGTACGGTGGCTCATACTTGTAATTCCAGCACTTTGGGAGGCTGAGGCATAAGGATCACTTGAGGCCAGAAGTTTGAGACCAGCCTGGGAAACATAGCAAGACCCTGCCTCTACAAAACATACAAAAGGAAAATCAGCCAGGGGTGGAGGCACACATCTGTGGTCCTAGCTACTAGGCAGGATGAGATGGAAGGGTCGCTTGAGCACAGAAGTTTAAAGCAGTAGTGAGCCGTGATGGCACCACTGCATGTTTCCACGGGCAACTGAGTAAGACCCTGTCTCAAAAAAAGAAACGGAGGAAGGGCGGGAGGGAAGAGCCATTGGGATGTTGATAGGATTTCATTTAATCAGTAGATCACTTTGGGTAGTGTTGTCATCTTAACAATCCATGAACATGGGATATCTTTCCATTTATTTAGGTATTTTATAATTTCTTTCAGCAAACTTTGGTATTTTTCAGCCTTGAGTCTTTTACCTCCTTGGTTAAATTTATTCATAAGTATTTTACTTTTGTTGATGCTACTGAAGTGGAATTTTTTTTTAATTTCCTTTTCATATTGTTCATTGGTAGTGTATAGAAATGCCACTAGTTTTCGTGTGTTGACTTTGTACCCTGTGTCTTTGCTGAATTCAGTTAGTGGGGAGCACATTCTTCATGGTCTTCTGGATATAGGATCATGTCATCTGCAAATAGGCCTTAGAAAGGCATCCTTTCTAATGTGGAAACTTTCTTTTTCTCTTTATAGCCTAATCCTCTCACTTAGAGCATCTAATACTCTGTTGAATAGAAGTGGCAAAAGCAGGCATCCCTGTCTTGTTCCTGATCCTACGGAAAAGCTTTCAGTCCTTCACCATGGAGGGTGATGTTAGCTGTAGGTTTTTCTTTTCTTTTTTTTGAGACAGAGTTTTGCTCTTGTCGCCCAGGCTGGAGTGCAATGGCACGATCTCGGCTCACTGCAACCTCTGCCTCCTGGGTTCAAGCCATTCTCTTGCCTCAGCCTCCCGAGTAACTGGGATTATAGGCATGCACCACCACGCCTGGCTAATTTTTGTATTTTTAGTAGAGATGGGGTTTCACCACGTTGGCCAGTCTGGTCTTGAATTCCTGACCTCAGGTGATCTGCCCACCTCAGCCTCCCAAAGTGCTGGGATTACAGGCGTGAGCCATCATGCCTTGCTGGTTTTTTCACTTAAGTGGTTTTTACCACGTTGAGGAGGTTTCTTCTCTCCCCAGTTTATTAAGTGGTTTTATCACCAAAAGGTGCTGGTTTTTTTTCAGATGCCTTTTCTGCATCAGTTGAGATGATCATGTGGGATTTATGTCATGTATTGCATTGACTTTCATATGTTGACTCACTTTTGCATTCCTGGAATAAACCCCACTTGGTCGTGGTGTATGATCCTCTATGTGCCATTGGATTCAGTTTGCTAGTATTTTGTTGAGCATATTTGCATCTATATTTCTAAGGGATATTGTTCTACAGTTTTCTTGTAGGGTATTTGTCTGGCTTTGTTTTATGTGCTGTGTCCAGGGTTTTCGTAGTACTTAGCAGGAGGAATAGAGAAAAGTATTTCTGTTCTGTGTTACCACAAGAGAAAGTCCCTGATTGACTTTTAAAAGCAGCGACATATTTATTTCCAAAAGCTTCTGCTTATCACTCACAGCAACCTAAGTTCTGGGACCATTTTGGGTTATTATCCTGTAAAACCATTTTCTTGTTATGTAATTTTTCTGGTTTCAGACTGAAGCTATATATCTTGTATGTTTTATTGCCTCTTAGGAAAAGTCAGAGAATTCATTCTGCAATTCGCATTTATGTCTCCAATCTGTAACTTGATCAACAGGTGCACAAAAGATCTAATTTCAACCACTTATTTATTCAGCAAACGTTGTTGAGTTTTGGCTGTGTGCCAGGGATTCAGTGGTGAAGTCAGACACAGTGCCCACAGCCAGAGAACCCAGTGCCTAACAATAGAGGCAAACCCGTGAGCAGAAAGCTGCAAGGTCGTGTGCTCAGCAGGAGGTGAGGCTGGGGTGGCTGAGCAGCGTCTGTTCAGTGCTACTTTCCTCTGAGACGGGTCCACTGGCTTCTCACTTATTCTTGACCAGGAGACAATATCTGGAGGATGGGAAGGAAGGAGTTCCAGAATGTTCCTGGAGAACAGGACTCAGGCACACATAGACCCTGTCTTGTGTTCTGACTTCTTCAACTCCCCCTTTCCCAACTTCTGGCTTTTGAGAGCTCAAGGGCCATGACAGCCGTTGACCCAGTGGCAATTCTGTCCACACCAGTTAAGAGGTCGGAACTAGTGATAAATATGAGCCTTCCCTGAGAGTTAGGAGACGCTTCATCTCATAGAACGGAAAACATTGTTTCAACTCTTACAAACCAGCATTCTGCCGGATTTTAAAATGGTTATTTGGGAGGATTATGGTTCTTTTACTATTATCAGTAGGGCTGGGGCTGAAGGAGCAGGGAAAACGGAAGGGGAACACCCTAGATGATCAGGTGTGAACCTCTGTGACGGTCGCGCTCAGCAGCCTTGACTGATGGAATGAAGAGGTTCATCTGTAAACCGCCCCCTGTGTGGCTGCTTCAGCCTCTGCCCCCATTCCTTGTGTCTTGCTGGTGGCGGCTGCATTCTCTCTGTATGGTAACATCCAGAATGATGATCACAGTAAGGAATTTGTGATTCTTGATTTCTTTTGTTCCTGTGCAACCAATGATTTTGATAAATAACCTGGCAGGTTTCCTTCATTGTGAAAGAACAACCTACCTTACAAACTTCCCACATAAAACATGTTTACTTTAGAAATATCACTTGATATTACCCATAAAATTACAAATGATTATCCTTAAAAAAAAAAGGTTAAATTTAACTCTGCATTTGTCAAAATAAAGGAACAAATTTTATCTTTTGATAGATGACTCTGATTTCTGTTACTTATTTCCAGGCTTTCTAGTCTGAAAATGCTGTAATCCATAATGATTCTTGGTATTTAATGTAGACTTAAATAATTCACTTGTTGATGACTTACTCCTTTCAAGATTTGGTTGGATTATAATCTTTCTTTCTTTGTTTACTTAGTACTGTAAGTTTTGAAAGGGTTACAATTCTTGGGTTAGTTAGTCTAATGAGAGAAGGGATACTGGGAAGGCCGTGGAGCGTAATATTTCAGCAAGTGACACCTTGAATTCGTGCTAAACGCTGCATTGTGTTCTGCAGGAGGGGCTCCGAACTTTGTGTGTTGCTTATAAAAGGCTGATCCAAGAAGAATATGAAGGCATTTGTAAGCTGCTGCAGGCTGCCAAAGTGGCCCTTCAAGATCGAGAGAAAAAGTTAGCAGAAGCCTATGAGCAAATAGAGAAAGATCTTACTCTGCTTGGTGCTACAGCTGTTGAGGACCGGTAAAGTAAACGCATGCATCCCGTCCTGAGAGACAAACTGGGATGCAGGCCGACGGCCCAGGGCGTGTGAGGGCGAGTGGACGGGAGGGAGGCCATCCGCACAGCCGACGGGGCGTGTTTGCTGCTCAGGGAGAGGCTAGGTGTCTTGCTACACCCTGGAGTCATGTCAGGAAGGTCATGCCTGGGGGATATTTTGTTGTCCATGAAGAAGATGCCTGAAAGCACACTTTCCCAGGAAGTAGTGAAAATAGCTTTGTCATATCATATTATGAACAGGCAAGATAGAAGGGCTCTTACAAATTCTTTCTTCTTTTTTTTTAAGGGATGGCATCTTGGTGTGTTGCCCAGGCTGGAGTGCAGTGGCACCATCACAACTCACTGCAGTCTAAAACTCCTAGGCTCAAGCTGTCCTCCCTTCTCAGCCTCCTGAGTAGCTAGAACTTCAAGCACATACCACCATGCCTGGCTAATTTTTTATATTTTTTGTAGAGATAGGATCTCACTATGTTGCCCAGGCTAGTCTCAAATTCCTGGCCTCAAGCAATCCTCCCACCTCAGCCTCTGAAAGTGCTGGAATTGCAGGCATGAGCAGTCATGCCTGACTGTAATTACTCTTTAGAATGGAATCAACAACTAACTCTGTTCCTAAACTTGTTGCTAGTTCTTTCCAAATACTGGTATTACTTCTTAGATCATTACATACTCAATGTGTTTATCATTACTTGAAAAAACTTAATGAAGTAGAAAATTACAAAAACTAATAATCATCATAACTGGCAAAATTACCAATTACAGATTTTCAGGTACCTCTAAGGCAAGAGCTGCCAGTGTGCCCCAGCTCCACAATGGGGACTGAAAGTTGTTTGAGGCTGAGGCCACTAAGAAACAGTCGTCTGGTCCACATGGTGCCTTCCGAGCTGAGTGAAAGGCATGGATTTCAGTGGTTTGTAGGAATGGAAGAAAAAAAATGCCCCAATTGATGAGAATGAAGCAGAAACTTCAGAAAGTTCACTGGGAGTTTATCTCCTAGAAGAGGTTAAAGGCATCAAGTTTGAAAGTCTTTAAGATCCATTTCGGTCCAAAACTGAAATCCTTATCACTAACCCTGCATTTTCTGAGCGTGTTGAACAAATGTTCCTTGAGTTCTCGATCTGAATGGAGTATTAGGCGAAGTGGGAAGTTTTGGTTTGGTGGTTTTGTGTTTTGTTTTGAAGTCACTCTCCCCTGTTCAGTCCAGAGTAAGTGCACAGAGCACCGTGTAAAGAACGCGACTTGCACGTGGGAAGGCTTCAGAGCGCAGGGCCACGGCCGCCGAAAGGCTTTGCTGCTGGGGGCTGCGTCCTTGCTCTAGTGGCCAGTCACTCACCTGCTGTCTGTCCAGGAGAAGAGGGGTGTCCGTAGGATGGTGTTTGCCTGGGGAGCAGCTGGGTCGATCTTTAGAGGCCTTGGTGGAGGAGCGTGGGGATGCCTCCGGCAGAGCAGATGGGACAGAGCCCCTGGGGCGGGGGGCAGGTTGACTTGACTGGAATGGGAATGTAGAAGAGTGGAGAGTTAATGCCTGGTTGGCGGGGGGGGATCTCAGTGGCTTTTTCGTGATGATACTTGCTTATAAATTATTTCCTTATAATCTCCAGTCAGCAAGTGCGAAACATCTCTGAGCCTCAGCTTCCTTTTGAATCGAATTGTAGGGCCAGGCCCGGTGGAGCACGCTTGTAAACAGGGCCAGGCCCGGTGGAGCACGCTTGTAATCCTCGCAATTTGGGAGGCTGATGCAGGAGGATTGATTAAGGCCAGGAGTTTGAGCCCAGCCTGGGCAATATAGTGAGATCCCATCTCTTGAATTTTTTTTTAATTAGTCAAGCATGGTAGCAGGCACCTGTTGTCCTAGCTACTTGGGAGGCTGAGGAGGGAGGATCGCTTGAGCCCAGGAGTTGGAGGCTGCGGTGAGCTGAGATCATACCACTGTACCCTAGCCTGGGCAACATAAGGCGTTCTCTCGTTCTCTTGCTCGCTCTCTTTCTCTCTCTCTATATATATATATATGCACACACACATATGTACATACACACACACACACATATATATATACACATACATACACACACATAAAATTACAGGCTTTTTTTTCATCTATAGAATACTATGATTGTCTGATCTTGAGACTTTTAGCTAGGAAGTTCTTCCCAAAACCTAACCAGATCCTTCCAGTTAGAATTTAAATCCATTCCTTTCATACTTTCTAGAAGCATGGCACGTTACTTCACACGAAAGTAGTCTGAAACTTAGAAAAAATGGAGGCCCCAAAGTGAGGCAGACATGGTTTGACCCCAGATCTCCCAAGGAGAGGGCAGTGGTCTGACTGCTGTCGGAAGAGCCGCTTACCCCCGACACCTTCTGCAGCGTCTGCAGGCTTTGGGTTTTCCATATGTAAATAGGTGTGGTGCTAGCGTCCTTACTCGTGACATCATGGTAAGCATGAAAGATTGCACATAGGAAGTGTCACACAGGCCTGGCATGTGGCAAGCCCATGGCACCTGTTGGCCATAGAATCACTAGTGTTATTCTCAGTATTTTATATTATTTAGAGGTACCTGGACCCCAAGTGGGTTCTAAGTGACAAACTTAGAACAGTTTATACAAAACAAAAGACAATCAATATTCCTGACCACCTTGAGTCCAGATCCCATCTTTCCATGGTTGAGACATTTTTGGTGGTGGTTATAATTTCCTGAAACCCTCCCCAGGTAGTGAGTCCCACCTACACACAAAACCGCCAGGCTTGTCAGACGTCAGTGACACAAGACAGCCCTTTACTTCTCACATGTTTGATCCATGTTTATCTCTCTGCTGTTAGGAAGTGTTTCGCTGTGAAACACTAGTTCAGACCTTCAGAAGCTGCTTCAGTACTTCGTGGTGAGATCATGAGCCACAGTGTGGAGTGTTTTGATTTTGAGGGGCTACGATATTTTGACAGCTTTGCAAGTTTCTGCAGTTCCTTATTTGGATTCCTGGGTCAGCACTGACTTTTCTCTATGCTGTGTTTGGTTTTGCCTCCCTCAGGCTGCAGGAGAAAGCTGCAGACACCATCGAGGCCCTGCAGAAGGCCGGGATCAAAGTCTGGGTTCTCACGGGAGACAAGATGGAGACGGCCGCGGCCACGTGCTACGCCTGCAAGCTCTTCCGCAGGAACACGCAGCTGCTGGAGCTGACCACCAAGAGGATCGAGGAGCAGAGCCTGCACGACGTCCTGTTCGAGCTGAGCAAGACGGTCCTGCGCCACAGCGGGAGCCTGACCAGAGACAACCTGTCCGGGTAGGCAGCGCGTCCCCGCCCCCACCCCCACACTCCCGCAAAAGGGGCTTCAGACCCAGTGGCCTTCACCTGCAAGTCGGGGAGCCGCATTGTCTCTACTGGGAATTCGGTTCTCCCCTGGGGCATTAATGCCAGCTTCTTAGGGGTCAGGTGAACACTGGGAACAAAACGGGCTGTTTTTTCCAGCAATTGTGATGTGTCTTTTTCACATATGTGTGTGTATGTGTGTATGTTCAGTTTCACACTGCCGGCTAACAGATGCAAAAAGACATGATGGATAAAATATTTTGAGTGGGATAATTCTCATCTGTTTCTGAGACTTAGGGGCTCTGCTTCAGGCACCTTCAAGCATCTGCTGGAGGAAGTGGAGATATTAATAATGCATGGTTGTTCGTCTAAGACGAAGCAGTACATGCCCAAGAGTTGTTTTTTTCCCAAGAATATTCAGTAGTTTATTCAGATACATTTTATCGATGCTGTCCTTACTGGTGTTAGATGCATTATCTGAGATTACATGTTATTTGAATCATTTCAGTTTCATTCATGTACATAAAGCGAAAGCAGCTCTCTAATTTACACAAATGTTAAGTTATTCATAAATAGCACAGATAATTCCCTCTACCTGATCTGCAATCTGCAGAACTCCTTTTAGGGATTGGAGGGTTTTTTTTGTTGTTTTTTGTTTTTTGTTTTTGAGATGGAGCCTCAATCTGTCGCCCAGGCTGGAGTGCAGTGATCTTGGCTCACTGTGACCTCCGCCTCCCAGGTTCAAACAATTCTCCTGCCTCAGCTTCCCAAGTAGCTGGGATTAAAAGCGCTCACCTTTTAATAGAGACAGGGTTTCACCATGTTGGCCAGGCTGGTTTTGAACTCCTGACCTCAGGTGATCCACCCGCCTTGGCCTCCCAAAGTGCTGGGATTACAGGTGTGAGCCACCGCATCCAGCCTTCTTGTCATTTTGAAACCCAGCAAAGAGGAGATTATGACCATGTTCTTTCCAACTTAGGTCATCCAGGCAGAAACCCAAGGACTTAGCTGTAAAGACTGTGACCAAGAAGGTTGAGAGTAAAGACCAACCAAGATCTTAGACCACAAGATGAACGCCTTCCTGTTGTTTCAAAAGTACAGGGACTTAACGAGTCCACAAAGAGAGTCTGCACTTGCTTTACCTAAAATAGGAATGTTTCATAAAATACACTCTTAAATGTCGACAAAAGGTGTTATGTTCAATACTATAAAAATTGTATTGGTAAAACAAGAAACACTAGTTTCTTAATCCCATGGATTTGTAGCATCTGTCGATATCCAAAAACAATACAGTCTTCTAAAATCTATAGATTTAGTGATTGAGCAATCTTTCTGACTCACGTACTCTAACAGACTTTCAGCAGATATGCAGGACTACGGTTTAATTATCGACGGAGCTGCACTGTCTCTGATAATGAAGCCTCGAGAAGACGGGAGTTCCGGCAACTACAGGGAGCTCTTCCTGGAAATCTGCCGGAGCTGCAGCGCGGTGCTCTGCTGCCGCATGGCGCCCTTGCAGAAGGCTCAGGTGCTGCCCGCCCGTCCTCGATAGCTGGTGGTCAGGGCGTCCAAAACACTGAAAACCTTCCGTTAGGTCTCACCGCCTCAGATTGTTAAACAATCTAGCAGGGTACCACCTGTTAAAAATAGAAGCAACCGTGATAGAGATTTAAAACGCAGATCTTGTTTTGCTTGTCGGGCCAGCTTCTGTGATTAGTGGGTGATGACCAGTCAGATGTATGACCCTTCCAGATGCAGTGGCCAGGACAGCTGCCCTGGCTGACTTCTGTTAAAAAAAAAAAAAAAAGCTATCTCAATCACTCCTGAGAATCTACACTAAAGGTGTAAGGGAAGGGAGCTGACATTACTGAGCACCTAGTGTGTGCCTCCTACAGATACGAATGCATTTAGTCTCAAAATAACCCTCTCAGACAAATGAGGGCACCAGCTTTACAAATGGGAATAATTTGCCGAAAAGGCTGCAGATGGGAAATGCCACGAGGATTCAACTTGTCTTGTCCATCAAACTCCAAACGTCTCACGCGGCCATGTTCTTGTGGGAAACGCACACCTGAAGTTTTTTCTTTAAATAGTTTTGAAAGCACTATGGAATGTATTGTAAACATGGATGTCTTTCTGGTATCAGGAAGCCTAGAAAAGTTCTGACTTTGTTATACCACATTTTAGATATGATAGGCCAATTTCTCTTGAACTGTTCATGAATAAATCCATCATTGGTCAGAGCAAACCAGTGGTTAAGGTAAAATGCGTCTCACACAAACTCTGGAAACCAAGGAGGTGAAAAGTTGAGCCTTTGTGCATGTGGGTGCACTAATCTGTCAATTTCACTAAAAACACAGAACCAGGGTCCTCAGAATGACGAGCCTAGAGCATTCACAGACCTTCCATGTGAGGAAGACGGTTTGATGTCCTCCTCTCCCTCACATGCGTAACTGCACATAAACCTTACAGAATTACTTCCCAAATGGAACAGCAACTAAGGATTTGCCATTCGCTCTTCATGTATTCCATAGTACTTTTTTAAGTTCTCAACTGGCTTTTGAAACATTTCATACAAATTAACTTGTGTTTCAGTTTCCTATCTTGAAACAAGAAGGCACCCACGTTTCCCCCCATCTCTTCATTCTTACAGCTTGAACTGTTACATTTAGGCACATAGATGGGGGGGAAAAGATTATAAAGAAATTGACTAAAAACTTGGAAATTATTTTTACATAAAATTGTCATATTTGATTTTGCACGTTACAAATTTGAAAATTAAAATAGCATTAGGAATAGTTTATGTTTAGAAATAGATGCTTTATACCAAATAGCTTGAAGTACCTTGGAATAGTGATCTTACAGAATGCAGGGTTCACATTTGCCCCTGTATATTTAAATATATTTTCCCAGGATTTACACACTTTTCCATATATTTAAGTAGAGGAATATAACAATAACTACAAGCTACTTCATATATCTCACATCTCTACTGCCAAAGTTTGTCTACCAGCCTTTTCCAGCTCACGTCATTTTAATCATACCTCATTTCTTTTACTTTATTTTGTTTTGCTTTCAATATGAAAAAGGTTTTATCCTATATGGAGAAAACAGACAGAATGTCGTAAATTACCTCTAAGTAGTTAATTTTTTTATTTGCCTAGGCTAACTTTTCATCTTTGTTATTTCTGCCTAGTGAATGAATAACCTGTTCAGAAGTGAAACAGAGAAGATAAATTCCGCATTTCTTTCTTTTGCAGATTGTTAAATTAATCAAATTTTCAAAAGAGCACCCAATCACGTTAGCAATTGGCGATGGTGCAAATGATGTCAGCATGATTCTGGAAGCGCACGTGGGCATAGGTGAGCTTCGTCCTTGCTGCTGGCACATCCTGGTGGCCAGGTCACCCCTTCGCTAGACAAAGGCCCATGGCAGCACGCAGGTGCATTCAGGACACCCCCGTCACCACCCTCGTGTGTGACCGGGAAGGCTCATGATGATGGTTTCATCCGTTCTTCTCCCCGTCCCTGCCCTGTGTGTGGTGTGCAGAAAGCATTTCTTCAGCTCCTTCACCTCCGTCTTCTAGGTGTCATCGGCAAGGAAGGCCGCCAGGCTGCCAGGAACAGCGACTATGCAATCCCAAAGTTTAAGCATTTGAAGAAGATGCTGCTTGTTCACGGGCATTTTTATTACATTAGGATCTCTGAGCTCGTGCAGTACTTCTTCTATAAGGTAGGAGGGTCGCCGCTCCCCCTCACGGTGTTAGCAACAGGTCACGCACAGGGTGGCACGACCCTTGTCTGAGCCACTTGATGCCACAAGAGGTCATTGATCTCCGAGGAGCAGCAACTGTCAGAAAGGAAGGGGTGAATCTGATTGCAGTCATCTCTTGCTTAGCTGTGACTTTGCTTTTTACAGTTTCCATTACCTACAGTCAACCCATGCCCAAAAATATCAAACGCAAAATTGCAGAAATAAACAGTTCCTCAGGTTTAAATTGCATGCCATTCCGAGCAGCGTGATGAAGTCTCACGCCGTCCTGCTGTCTCCTTCCTGGGATGTGGCTTGTCCCTTTGTCCGGTGTGCCGATGCTGTGTGTACACTACCTGCCCCTCAGTCACTCTGTAGCTGTCTTGGTGATGAGGTTGACAGATCACAAGAAGAAGGGTGAATATGACACAATAATATATTTTAAGAGGAGGAGGGAGAGACCAAATTCATGTAACTTTGATTACGGTATATTATTATAGTTATTCTATGTTTTGTTGTTACTCTTTCACTGCACCTACTTTATAAATTAAACTTTATCATGGGTGTGTATGTATACGAACACACATACCCATCTAGAGCATAGACAGGGTTCAGGACCATCCGCAGACTCTGCATCCCCCCAGGGTCTGGGAATGTACCCCTGAGGATGAGGAGGGCCTGCCGTGCCGCGGGAGGAGACCCCCAGCCCTTTTCTCCCCCCACAGAATTGAGTGTGGAACCAGTGAGAACCTTTCAGGTGGAAATGTTTGAGGAAGGATTCCTTATTCACTGTGCAGTTCGATTCTTTCCCGTTTATACTGATACCTGCATTGCCTTCTTGTTTCTCTTGGAGCTGACAAATTTCCTCTATACGTTGTCTGTCCTGAGTGGCCAAAACGTGGTCACATGTGCATTTCAGTTGCCCCTGAAATAAGAGAAAGCTTTCTAGAACCCATTAGTGCTGTTCTGCCGCACGCTGGGTGCACGTGGATCCCTCCTCCCATGTGGGGTGGGCCACGTCGGTAGGTGGCGGCTGCCTCCCTCTGTCCCGTCACCGAACTAACAGTTATGCCTTGCCTTTCAGAACGTCTGCTTCATCTTCCCTCAGTTTTTATACCAGTTCTTCTGTGGGTTTTCACAACAGGTCAGTCCTAGGGTCTTCAGGGACAGGCTGTCTGAGCCTTCTTTTCCTTCCCGCAGTGGGTGGCTGCTGTGGGGAGGGGAGACTTGGGAATGAGCAGCACTCCCCGGCACCACGAGGGAGCCAGGGTGCCCAGCAGCAGGCGGGGGTGAAGGGTCGGGCCTGGGGAGGGGGGCCACGGAGCTGAGGAGTTGCCGTCCTGGAGGCCCCTTGTTCCATGTCTTCTGAAACTGCCGTGGCCCTGAGATGCGGGCCAGTGATGATGTGGTCTCCTCAGGGCCCAGCAGTGCTGGGCTGGGCATCCTGATGCCACTGCAAGAATTAACTCCAACTCGAGGTCCTTGTGGACATGGGCCACCCCGGTGCCTGGCACGTTAACACATGCAACGTGCCCATAGGGGAAGAAGACAGTTCCCATCCGGGAGGGGTGAAGGACTCCCCGGGCATCTGCCCTAGATGGACACCTCCTTCTGTCACATGTGTGCTCAGTGGTTGGCGGGCCAGCTGCCTTCATGGGAAGTGACTGCGACCAGAGTCACTGAAGCTTGAAGATGGCAATCAGAATTGCAAATGTTTTCTGTGACTTTTTTCCTTTTTTTTTTTTTTCTTGAAGTTTGTGCTGATAGAATGGGATGAGTCAGTGTTAGGCTTTTTGCCAGCTGTGACTTTCATCCTGAAATCACAGTTGATATCACAGACCCTAGTTTATATTGTTAAGCTTTGAAAAGCGCTCTGGTCTTTCTATGCATTTCAGAAAGAAAATATATTTAATCAAAAGATCCAAAAAGTTTGTAACAATGCACTGAGGTGCCACTTCTTGTGACTTTCCTCTTACAGACTTTGTACGACACCGCGTATCTGACCCTCTACAACATCAGCTTCACCTCCCTCCCCATCCTCCTGTACAGCCTCATGGAGCAGCATGTTGGCATTGACGTGCTCAAGAGAGACCCGACCCTGTACAGGTACCATCCTCCAAACAGCCTCTCCTGAGAGCAGAGAGAGTAACTAGGCAGCACTCTGGCAGTTCCTTCCAATAGCCACCTGGCAGACCTCAGTTGAGGGCCAGAAGCATTCGGCATCTGCTGATATTCTTGCTTGATCAGGAGCTTGTTTAAACTGGAAGCAACATAGCTCAAATGGAGATTCTTCAAGTCTTGCTGGATGGTTTATGCTGCATTTGGAACATCTGTGTGGAGCCAGTTTGCACTTTCCTGTGCTTTCTGACAGTCCTGAGGGAGCTGGGGTACAAGCGTCTTCCTCGTTGTGACCCTAGGGAATCTGTGGCCTAAGTTATCCTTTAAAACCATGTGTGTTCCATTCAGTGAGAAAAAACAAAAATTAACAGCTCTGGTTTCAGGGTGTCTTTTCTCCCCGTTATTTTTTAAAAATAATATGGAAGAGATATTTTTCTGCTATTTCAGAAATGCCCCCCAAGGTCTCTGGCAGATTCAATATGTTACTGTTTTCCATGGTCTTTTAAATTGTATTAGTCCATTTTCATCCTGCTGTGAAGACATACCTGAGACTGGGTAATTTATGAAGGAAGGAGGTTTAATGGACTCACAGTTCCACATGGCTGGGGAGGCCTCACAATCATGGCGGAAGGCATGAGGAGCAAAGGCACGTCTTACATGGTGGCAGACAGGAGAGCGTGTGCAGGAGAACTTTCCTTTATAAAACCATCAGATATCGTGAGACTTAGTCACTATTACGAGAACAACATGGGAAAAAACCACCCCCATGACTCAATCACTGCCCACCAGGTCCCTCCCATGATGCGTGGGGATCATAGGTGCTACAATTCAAGACGAGATTTGGGTGAGGACACAGCCAAACCCTATCATAAATTAAAATTTTATTTTTCAGATAATTTTACATCCATATGCAGTTGTAAGAAATAATAGATTCTGTGGGCCCTGATCCCATGTCCCTTAGTGGTGACACGCAAGAAACTGCAGTCCAGCATCACATCCAGTGTACTGATGTTGGTGCCGTTCACCCGTTCCCTTATTCAGATCACCCAGCTTTCCCTGCACTTACGTACATGTGTGTACATGACACGTGTATGTGTGTGTTCAATTCTGTGCAGTCTTCTCACATGCGTGTTTCCTGCATCCACCACCATAGCCAAGACCACTCACTTCCCTGCCTGGGATTCTGCAGGAATCCGTGCATCGGCCTCACTGCCCTCATCAGAATATTTAGCCATTCTGTGGGATCTTGACGGCTTGGATCCAAAAGTAATCACTGTAGGTGATTAAGGACGATGATAAAAAGGCAAACTTCTGAGTTGGTTGTACATCTTTAATAAATCTAAAGAAAATGGGAATAAATCTAAGAAAATGGGAGAAGATATACTGTTCTAGACATGTGTCTGAAAGGAATCCTGCAAATTCTGTCTTATTGAACAGGCATCTTTAATAAATCTAAAGAAAATGGGAATAAATCTAAGAAAATGGGAGAAGATATACTGTTCTAGACATGTGTCTGAAAGGAATCCTGCAAATTCTGTCTTATTGAACAGGCATAAGGTGTCACGTCAGGCGTAAGGTGTCACAGCAGGCGTAAGGCGTCACGTCAGGCGTAAGGTGTCACAGCAGGCGTAAGGCATCACGTCAGGCGTAAGGCGTCACGTCAGGCGTAAGGTGTCACAAGCTCGGTGAACGTCAGGGGTGTGCCTTGTGTTCTCTGTTCGTTGCTTTCAGAAGCAGCAGCATGTGGCAGCATCTCTGTGCCTATGACGATATTGCAGTGAATATGAGAGAGAAAATATCTGAGCAAAAGTTAGCCAAGGACATGAGTGGGTAGTGAAATGCTGGTTGTGATGAACATGCCACATTTGTGGCCAGAGCACAAACTTGATGTTTACTGGCCGTGCACATCTTATCCCATGAAGACAACGTCCAGGGATGGCCACCCCAGAGCCTGGGGGAGGTGCCGGGCCCTGATTCTCGAGGACACACGCTGTGCACCTTTCTCCTCACCAGGGACGTCGCCAAGAATGCCCTGCTGCGCTGGCGCGTGTTCATCTACTGGACGCTCCTGGGACTGTTTGACGCACTGGTGTTCTTCTTTGGTGCTTATTTCGTGTTTGAAAATACAACTGTGACAAGCAACGGGCAGGTCAGTACAGAGCTCGATTGCGCTGACTTAGCTGCTTAGGAATAAAGCCTCCCAAGCCCATATGATGATTTTGCCAAAGCAGAATTCAGTGCAGCCCATGCAGCTTCCCAGCGGGGTCCATCACCACCTGCGCAGTAATTCAGTGCAGGCCACGCAGCTTCCCAGCGGGGTCCATCACCACATGTGCCGTAATTCAGTGCAGCCCGTGCAGCTTCCCAGCAGGGTCCATCACCACCTGCGCAGTAATTCAGTGCAGCCCATGCAGTTTCCCAGCGGGGTCCATCACCACGTGCACAGTAATTCAGTGCAGCCCATGCAGCTTCCCAGCGGGGTCCATCACCACCTGCGCAGTAATTCAGTGCAGGCCACGCAGCTTCCCAGCGGGATCCATCACCACGTGCACAGTAATTGAGTGCAGCCCATGCAGCTTCCCAGCGGGGTCCATCACCACCTGTGCAGTAGTTCAGTGCGGCCCATGCAGCTTCCCAGCAGGGTCCATCACCACCTGCACAGTAATTCAGCGTAGCACATGCAGTTTCCCAGCGGGGTCCATCACCACCTGCACAGTAATTCAGTGCAGCCCATGCAGCTTCCCAGCGGGGTCCATCACCACCTGCACAGTAATTCAGTGCAGCCCATGCAGCTTCCCAGCGGGGTCCATCACCACCTGCGCAGTAATTCAGTGCAAACCATGCAGCTTCCCAGCGGGGTCCATCACCACCTGCGCAGTAATTCAGTGCAGCCCATGCAGCTTCCCAGCGGGGTCCATCACCACCTGCGCAGTAATTCAGTGCGGCCCATGCAGCTTCCCAGCGGGGTCCATCACCACCTGCGCAGTAATTCAGTGCAGGCCCTGCAGCTTCCCAGCGGGGTCCATCACCACCTGCGCAGTAATTCAGTGCAGCCCATGCAGCTTCCCAGCGGGGTCCATCACCACGTGCGCAATAATTCAGCATAGCACGTGCAGCTTCCCAGCGGGATCCATCACCACATGGGCAGTAATTCAGTGCGGCCCATGCAGCTTCTCAGCGGGGTCCATCACCACCTGCACAGTAATTCAGTGCAGCCCATGCAGCTTCCCAGCGGGATCCATCACCACCTGCGCAGTAATTCAGTGCAGGCCTGCGCAGCTTCCCAGCGGGGTCCATCACCACCTGCGCAGTAATTCAGTGCAGCCCATGCAGCTTCTCAGCAGGGTCCATCACCACCTGCACAGTAATTCAGTGCAGGCCATGCAGCTTCTCAGCGGGGTCCATCACCACCTGCGCAGTAATTCAGTGCGGCCCATGCAGCTTCCCAGCGGGGTCCATCACCACCTGCGCAGTAATTCAGTGCAGCACGTGCAGCTTCCCAGCGGGGTCCATCACCACCTGCGCAGTAATTCAGTGCGGCCCATGCAGCTTCCCAGCGGGGTCCATCACCACGTGCACAGTAATTCAGTGCAGCACGTGCAGCTTCTCAGCAGGGTCCATCACCACCTGCACAGTAATTCAGTGCAGGCCATGCAGCTTCTCAGCGGGGTCCATCACCACCTGCGCAGTAATTCAGTGCAGCACGTGCAGCTTCCCAGCGGGGTCCATCACCACCTGCGCAGTAATTCAGTGCAGCACGTGCAGCTTCCCAGCGGGGTCCATCACCACATGGGCAGTAATTCAGTGCGGCCCATGCAGCTTCCCAGCGGGGTCCATCACCACCTGCGCAGTAATTCAGTGCGGCCCATGCAGCTTCCCAGCGGGGTCCATCACCACATGGGCAGTAATTCAGTGCAGGCCATGCAGCTTCCCAGCGGGGATCATCACCACGTGCGCCATAATTCAGCGTAGCGCGTGCAGCTTCCCAGCGGGATCCATCACCACATGGGCAGTAATTCAGTGCAGCCCATGCAGCTTCCCAGCGGGGTCCATCACCACATGCACAGTAATTCAGTGCAGCCCGTGCAGCTTCCCAGCGGGGTCCATCACCACCTGCGCAGTAATTCAGTGCGGCCCATGCAGCTTCCCAGCGGGGTCCATCACCACCTGCACAGTAATTCAGTGCGGCCCATACAGCTTCCCAGCGGGGTCCATCACCACATGGGCAGTAATTCAGTGCGGCCCATGCAGCTTCCCAGCGGGGTCCATCACCACCTGCGCAGTAATTCAGTGCAGCACGTGCAGCTTCCCAGCGGGGTCCATCACCACCTGCACAGTAATTCAGTGCGGCCCATGCAGCTTCTCAGCGGGGTCCATCACCACCTGCGCAGTAATTCAGTGCAGCCCATGCAGCTTCCCAGCGGGATCCATCACCACCTGCGCAGTAATTCAGTGCAGGCCTGCGCAGCTTCCCAGCGGGGTCCATCACCACCTGCGCAGTAATTCAGTGCGGCCCATGCAGCTTCTCAGCAGGGTCCATCACCACCTGCACAGTAATTCAGTGCAGCCCGCGCAGCTTCCCAGTGGGGACCATCACCACGTGCGCAATAATTCAGCGTAGCACGTGCAGCTTCCCAGCGGGATCCATCACCACATGGGCAGTAATTCAGTGCAGCCCATGCAGCTTCCCAGCGGGGTCCATCACCACCTGCGCAGTAATTCAGTGCAGGCCCGCGCAGCTTCCCAGCGGGGTCCATCACCACCTGCGCAGTAATTCAGTGCAGCACGTGCAGCTTCCCAGCGGGATCCATCACCACATGGGCAGTAATTCAGTGCGGCCCATGCAGCTTCCCAGCGGGGTCCATCACCACCTGCGCAGTAATTCAGTGCAGCCCGTGCAGCTTCCCAGCGGGGTCCATCACCACATGTGCAGTAATTCAGTGCAGGCCATGCAGCTTCTCAGCGGGGTCCATCACCACATGTGCAGTAATTCAGTGCAGGCCATGCAGCTTCTCAGCGGGGTCCATCACCACATGTGCATAGCTCTGGGTCACTTTAAAGATCGCATTACCTGAGTGCTCAGTGTTGCTGTAAGGAAATGTCCTGCTGAAGTTTTTTTTTGTTTTTTTGTTGTTGTTGTTGAGACGGAGTCTCGCTCTGTTGCCCAGGTTGGAGTGCAATGGCGCAGTCTTGGCTCACTGCAAGCTCCACCTCCTGGGTTCACGCCATTCTCCTGCCTCAGCTTCCCAAGTAGCTGGGACTACAGGCGCCCGCCACCACGCCTGGCTGACTTTTTGAATTTTTAGTAGAGACGGGGTTTTACCGTGTTAGCCAGGATGGTCTCCATCTCCTGACCTCAGGTGATCTGCCCGCCTTGGCCTCCCGAAGTGCTGGGATTACAGGCGTGAGCCACCATGCACGGCCAGCCTGCTGAGGTTTTCAGACTTTATCTCTGTAACTAACAGTTCACCATCAGTTTGTTACCTAGTGGTACCATTATACCATTTAGACATTGCATTTTTGATGTGGGAATGAATTCCACGTTGAGCCCGTGTTAGATTTCCCCGAGTACCATACTTAGTCGTCTTCCTCTGTGATGAGTAGATTTGTAGTTTTCTAGCAGACATTCACTCTCTGGTTGTTTGCCTAACCCCTGGGGGTTTGTTTTATTTGTATCTTGCTTTTTTCTTTTTGCCACTGGCGTCCCTTCCCACCCTCAGATAATGACTACCAACACACATATGGTAAGACAATCATGGGTTTGTCGTTTCTCTGTGTTTTTGGAGTGCATTACAAATGAAATATTTCTCGAAAATATTTTCAAACGTGAATTCCTGTGTGCTTTGTCGGTAGAAACGCTGTTAGCCGCTGCTGCCCCACACACCCCAGAGCTAGCTCTGTGTTAGAAGGGTGTGTGCGCCTCCTGACGCACATCCTTGCTGTGTTCCCTCGGTTGCCATGTCAGGGTGGCCCATTGAGCCAGGGATGTTTTCCGAATTGACTGGATTCATGGGAGCTTCCCTCGATTTTAAATTAAAGGCAGCACAGGCATGTGTGGGAGGCCCGGTGGGGCCCTGTGCTTCCTGAGAGAGCCACACCAGGCATTCGGTAGATGTCAGAGACCATCCCTGCTTAAATGCCTCAGGTATTTAACTAGCCGTACAAGCAGACACCAGCGCTGACCTCGGAGAAAGTCCCTCTTCAGCAGCCCCTTCTGGGTGACTTCTAAACAGAAATCGGCTTCGTTCCTTGTTTAGCCTGACCTCTCTCTCCCTGTGTGTTTGTCCCTCAGACTGCTGGGTTCAAACACAAAAGTCCTGCTATGTGTCCTGTGCACCATTTACCTGCTTTAGTCGTTTTCATTCCTCTTTACTAAACACTGCTGTTATCCTTCGTCATCACTTAAATCAGTTTTTACCAGGTCTATCTTGAGAACCAATTCAAATATTATTTCACTGTTTTAAAAGCTTTAAGTTTTCTAGAACTTATTCTTTGTCTTCATTTATTTTAATTGAATAATTCCTGAATGCCACCAGGCCATGAACGTCATCAAACAGAGCTACCTGTTGATTCTTTTGTATCTTTTATGAGATTTTCTTCCGAGTTGGGCTTACGTAAGCATCTCGCGTAGCCCTTAAGAGAGAACTAAGAGGTAGTGTCCTGAGCACTGAGATTCCAGGCTCCTGGCGGCTGCCAATGGCAATAGCAAGTCCCCTTTTTCCCACACTTGATTTTCCAGTTTTCTCTCACAAACACCACCCTGGTTCACTACAACCACCCTATCAGCTGGACGTTCAGATCATGTGAAAGCTGAGGAAAGAGAAGTTCGGACAGACTAGACACCCTGTGCGGTGTCAGCTCCCGAGAGGCAGGGCCTGGGTCATACCCGGACGTCCGGCTCCAGACTTCATGGTGTTGCCCAGTGCGGCCTCTGGGTTGCTCTAGTTCCAAATTTCAGCGTGAATGTGAACGTGCCTCCCAAGAGCCCCCGGAGATGGACTTCAGGGGCAAGGACACGGGCGCCACTGTCCTAGGAGGGCAGCCCGGCTGTGCTCCTGAATGAGGTGCTGGCAACGCAGTGCCAGGGGCTTCTCTCAGCCTTCCTGGCAGGGTCTCTGCAGCGTCTCCGCCTTCTCGGATCCCTGGACCCCTGGCGTGTCCGCAGTCAGCTGCACCTGGTGGTCAGTGGGCACTGTGGCTCTGCTGCCTTCCTGGGATCCGAGGATTTCTACTAGCTCCTGTTTCCTGGTCTCTTCCGGCTGTACCCTCCAGCCCCTGGCTATGTCCTGGAAGGTACCTTGAGCCCCCACGGAACCCGCGTGCAGCCCCGGGGTGATGCCAGCACTCAGGGAACTTGGGGGCAGTCCTAGTGGCTGACAGCCCTCTTGGTCCTTACGTAGCAATTTGGGGTTGGGGTGCTCACCCCTGAGAATCTCCCTTCCAACCAGGATACTCCCAACGGGGTTACAGTTCAGAGGCCCTCTGGGATTGATTGTTCTTGGGTGAGAGCTACTTTGTTTTAAAGACCTAAATTATTCTATAGGAATATCTATAGATCCTGTGTAGGATTGGAGGAACAATAGAATTATGGACATCTCTTTCAAAAGTTCACCAATGGAGCATTTTCTGCACTGACATCGTAAGCCATAGTAACTTCTCATTTTGATGCCACAAATGAGAATGCGAAGACAACAGTTATTTGTTGAACAGCAAGACATTCCTAAGTGAACGGTTAAAAGCTCGGAACGTGCTTTGATAGACGTAGGATGCGATGAGAGCAGCTGAAACACGAGCGGTCCGCGTATGGGCCAGGTGGGAGGCAGAGGGATCTGCACAGGGAGGGGAGGCAGTGGATGCCACTCATGACCGTGACCTTGAGAAGGCGCAAGTTATGCTGGCCGTGGATGTTTTTATACATCAGAGTTAAATGGGTCTGGTCTGAGGACTTTTTGAGCAGAAAGCTTCTATAGGAATACCCATTCTCAAAGGAGGGAGGAAGTGGGGGCATGGGGCTTAGCCTGCAGTGGTGGAGGGTGGCCAGCCCCAGAGGCAGATCTGCTGAAGGAGTGAGGCTTTCGCACTGGTCAGGTTCTTGGCTGAGATGTGCCTGTCACATGAGGACAGGGTTCCACAGAAATCAGAAACAGGAGCTTCACTGGGGATGGCGTTGATGTCACTTGGAAGAAAAGGGTCCCTGTGAAAAGCCCTTTGAAAAAGGAGATTGGTATCCCAGGGATGCCTGCCACCCCCAGAATCTGATGGAAATAACGACCAGCAATTGTAGTAATAAACTATCCGCACATGTTAGTCCATTTTCACATGGCTCTGAAGAGCTACCTGAGACAGGGTGATTTAGGAAGAAAAGAGGTTTAATCGAGCCACAGTTCTGCAGGCTGCATAGGAAGCATCGCTGGGGAGGCCTCAGGAAACTTACAATCATGGCGGAAGGCAAAGGGGAAGCAAGGCCCTTCTTTACAAGGCTGCAGGAGAGAGAGAGCAAAGGGGAAAATGCTACACACTTTGAAACAACCAGATCTCATGAGAACTCACTCGCCCACCGTCAACGAGATCTGCAAGGAGGACGTCCATGATTCAGTCACCTCCCACCAGGCTCTCCCTCCAACACACGGGGATTATAATTTGAGATGAGATTTGGGTGAGGACACAAAGCCAAACCACATCATGGCAGTTCACCTGGGGGCCCCACTTCAGGCCACCAAGGGAATAAGAGGGCTTTCCAGAGATGCGTTTCAGGATAGCTCCACAGTGGACTAGCTTCCAAAGGACGTGGACACAGGTTAGTAATGGGTCAGCGTTTCTCAGGGGCCCTGACCAAGGTGCCTGATTCTGGATTCACGATAGCTGTGCTTTGTTCCTCACCTATAAAGCTTACAGCTGTGGCCCATGTGCTCTGCAGGACCAGGCATCCTGAGGCCTAACTCCTTATCCCAGTTCTGCCATTACCCCCTAAACCCAGGGAGCCCCAGCTGGGAGCTTAGAAAGGCAGTTTCTCGGCTCACAGCAGGGAGAGGGGACAGTGAGGAGGCCGTGTGAGTTGACTGCAGTTATCACCTGTGGCGCTGTTGGTGACACACACTGCTTCACAGGGCACCCTTGAGTTCATGTCTTGCTGCCATCTAACTCTTTCAGAGTTCTGTGTTGGGATGGCCAAGGTGAGGCCTGGGGGAGGAAGAGGAGAGCTGGGCAGCGTCAGGGGCTTTTCCTCCAGGCCCAGCTGATGTGGTTGTCTGGGTGCAAAGCCGCCCTCAGCTGCTGTGGAGGCACCACTTGGCTGAAAGCATCAGCTTCCAGTTACAGCACAGCAGCCTCCCGCCCTCCAGCACCTTGCTGGCCACATGTGCTTGTAGGCTGCTGCCAAGCCACAGCTGTTCCTAGAGGCATGATATTTTCCTGCCCCAGAAGTTAAGCCACAAAGAGACGGCACTTTTTGGTGAGTGTGAAACAGGCTTCTCACCCGGGCTCTGCTGACATTGGGGCCAGATGTACATCCTCGTGGGCCACTGTCGTGTGCACTCAGCAGCCCCTCCACCCCCCCATCCAAAGCTAGCAGACCCCACGCCCCAGAAATGTCTCCACCACGGCCAGGTGTCCCTGGGGGCAAGGCTGCCCCAGCCGAGAACCACAAGCATGTGTAGATCTGAGTGACACTGTAGGCCAGGCATTTCCAAGCCAGAAGGAGGAGGCCCACTTCTGATCACAATGAGGAAGTGAGGGAAAAACTGAAGGATGTGTTGATGGGGGCCCCTAAGAAGCGGTGTTCACTACAAAAGGTCCTAACACTTTTTTCTATAATCTACAAATGAGATGTTATCCTGTTATCCCACTGACCATGTGGGAGGACTGTAGCCCACACCCTCCCTCAGCTAAATCAAGGGGTATGGTGATGGGTGTGTTGTTTTGGTTGAAACTGAATTCTGAAGAACAGCCATTTGTATTCCAGCTTTTTAAGAGACAGAGTCTGTGCTCTGTCGCCCACGTTGGAGTGTAGTGGCGTGATCTCTGCTCACTGCAACCTCCGCCTCCCGGGCTCAAGCAATTCTCCTGCCTCAGCCTCCCTAGTGGCTGAGATTACAGGCAGGCGCCGCTACGCCCGGCTAATGTTTGTATTCTTAGTAGAGACGGGGTTTCACCATGTTGGCCAGGCTGGTCTCAAACTCTTGACCTCATGATCCGCCCACCTCGGCCTCCCAAAGCGCTGGGATTACAGGCATGAGCCACCACACCCGGCCCGCTTTTTAATTCTTTATAAAATAAAATTCCCTGCGAGGTGCAGTTCATGGAATCCGATAAACTAGAAATCGTCTGGGCCACAGCGCAGGAGCGTCCCAAAGGAAAGCAGGTTCTCCCGAAACAAGTTTCCAGTCGGGGGTTTTCCCCAAGGCGGGGGGTGGTCTGGGCAGCAGCCCTTTCTGGCCTGTGCCTCGTGCGGTAGAGAGGCGTGCTGTCCTCACGGGTCGGGCACGCGGTCCTCACGGGTGTGTCTGTGTCTGTGCTGCGTTGCCAGCTGGCAGCTCGTGGGTCCCACTGACCTTCCCTCCTCCACGGCCACCTGGGCACCACTGCTGGCGGATCTGTGGTTCTGGCCGCACGCGGGGCAGCCTCTGTCCAGCCCTGTCCTGTCTGCCGGCTTGTCTTCTCTGTCCTGAGGGAGGTTCCCCGAGGGAAGCCCCCAGGCTTCCCCCTCTGCATGGGTGCCTGGGGTGTTTCCTCTGCATTTACTCGCAGAACGTTCCCGCCGCTGTTCTTCAACAGCAGGCAGGAGTCTGAGCTGAGTTCAGAAGGGAACAGACACAGTCTGTGAGTTTGTTCCTGAAACCCGTGGAATGTAGCTGGGTACTCAGGCAACTGTCTTTTCTACGTAAAACACAAAACAGAAAAAGGAGGTTTGCGTGTACCCGAGTTTGCATTATGGATATTTAAATGCCAGCTGTGAGGGAGTTTTTGTGCTCAGTTTGAGACCTTGGGACGTCTGTTGTGGCTGAGAGCATTGAGCAGGGCCAGCGTCAGGAGCGGGCAGCAAGTTGCAGATAGGCAGGCTCTGAGCCCATCACCAAGCCACAGAACTGGTGGTGGGAGATGCAGCCGGGAAATGGGGGCGTCCTGCCGTGCTCTGGGGAGTTGCTGCATCTTCTTTTACGGGATAATAAGAAAATATAGTGCTTATATCTTTGGGGTTTGAAGTGTTGGCACACAAGAAAAATGAGGTGTATTTTCTAAAACTCTTGATTGTGAAAGAGAAAAAAAAATACATAAAAACGAGATGACTTGGACTATTTTCCCCAAACAGATATTTGGAAACTGGACGTTTGGAACGCTGGTATTCACCGTGATGGTGTTCACAGTTACACTAAAGGTAAGTGGTCTCGCGCTCACGTTCCTCCCCCAGCCACAGTGAACCCCTGCAGTGTAGGCCTCACGCGCTCTGAGCTCTCTGAATTATAACTCTGTACTGAGGCTGGAAGCCACTCTCCACCCAGCCTTGGCTGGCTCCTGGGGCACCCCTGGGCATCCTTGTCCTGCTGTTTAGACAAGTAATGCACAGCCACTCAGCACACCCGGCCACCCCATGTGCAAACCCCAGAGCTACACCGGAGGTAACCTCGGGAGCAAGCTGCTTCTTTGTGAAAGAATTCAGGCTAGAATTGTTTTCAGTGGCAAGTAGCCCTCCCCCCAGCGCCATCAAAATACACTTTAATTGAAACAAATTAATGTATTTTGAAAAATTTCACTCTTTAAAGTTCAGTGAAATTATATACAGAATATATCATTATGAAATCTCAAAACCTATCAGACTGAGTCTTAAAAAGTGATACCAAAACATTCCTAAGGTGATTTTCTTAGATAGTGATGTAAACAACACCTGACTCTAAAGTAACTTTCTGGCCAGGCATAGTGGCTCACACCTGTAGTTCCAACACTTTGGGAGGCCAAGGTGGATGGATCACCTGAGGTCAGCAGTTCGAGACCAGCCTGGCCAACATGGCAAAACCCCATCTTTACTAAAAACACAAAAAGTAGCCGGGCATGGTGGCACGCGCCTGTAATCCCAGCTACTTGGGAGGCTGAGGCACGAGAATCGCTTGAACCCGGGAGGTGGAGGTTGCAGTGAGCCAAGATCGCACCACTGCACTCCAGCCTGGGCGACAGAGCGAGACTGTCTCAAAAAAATTTTAAGAAGTAACTTTCTTCAGTAGAGACATAAAGAACACCTTAATCTGAATGACTTTCTTCGGTGACGATATAAACAACACCTTGGTCTGTGGCCCGCATGCTGCCATCTGGGAAATACATCCATGGCTCCCTTACCTAGGACCCAGGGCTGTGGCGTCCCCACATTCTTCCTCTCCACTCACACTGTGAGGTGTGGCTTTGTCTTCCTGAGCAGTGTGAGGTGTGGCTTTGTCTTCCTGAGCAGTGTGAGCTGTGGCTTTGTCTCCCGAACGGTGTGAGGTGTGGCTTTGTCTTCCTGAGCGGTGTGAGGTGTGGCTTTGTCTTCCTGAGCGGTGTGAGGTGTGGCTTTGTCTTCCTGAGCGGTGTGAGGTGTGGCTTTGTCTTCCTGAGCGGTGTGAGGTGTGGCTTTGTCTTCTGGAGCGGTGTGAGGTGTGGCTTTGTCTTCCTGAGTGGTGTGAGGTGTGGCTTTGTCTCCTTAATGGTGTGAGGTGTGGCTTTGTCTTCCTGAACGGTGTGAGGTGTGGCTTTGTCTTCCTGAGTGGTGTGAGGTGTGGCTTTGTCTTCCTGAGCGGTGTGAGGTGTGGCTTTGTCTTCCTGAGTGGTGTGAGGTGTGGCTTTGTCTCCTTAATGGTGTGAGGTGTGGCTTTGTCTTCCTGAGCGGTGTGAGGTGTGGCTTTGTCTTCCTGAACAGTGTGAGGTGTGGCTTTGTCTTCCTGAGCGGTGTGAGGTGTGGCTTTGTCTTCCTGAGCGGTGTGAGGTGTGGCTTTGTCTTCCTGAGCGGTGTGAGGTGTGGCTTTGTCTTCCTGAGCCGTGTTTTGCAGGCATTGAGTCGTCATTGCTGGGTCTTGCGTTTGGTTTAGTTTCTCGTCACCCCCCGGCTCTCTGTCCTGCCCATCACGATCATTCTCACTGCTCAGATGACACCGTTAACTGCCCTTTTTTTTTTCCTTTTAGCTTGCATTGGACACACACTACTGGACTTGGATCAACCATTTTGTCATCTGGGGGTCGCTGCTGTTCTACGTTGTCTTTTCGCTTCTCTGGGGAGGAGTGATCTGGTAAATATCTGATAAGTAGCTGATAATCTGATAAATATCATGTGGTTGTTATTTTTTTATCAAGGGTTGAAGACACATTTTCCGTGCGGCCCTGTTGGTTGGGGCAAGTGTTTGTTGAATGGCTGCTGTGTGCTGGGTGTCGTGGGGTCCTGGGATACAGTCGGGGGCAAGACACCGGGGGGTTCCTGCTCCGGTGACTTGCATCTTCCGGGGGAGAAAGACGCTAACTGATAACAGCTTGTGACGAGTTATACGGAGGAACAGACCAGGATTCCGCACCAGGGGACCCATGTCAGATTGAAAGGCCAGAGGTGACTTTTCAGAAACAGTCATTTGAAACCTGGAAGAAGAGCGCCATCATCACAGCAAGTCCCAGCTGGTAACCGCCTCCCACAACGAGGCACTGGCCAGGCATTCGACAGGTCCTGTCTCACTCCATCCTCACGCCCCGCAGCAAGATGGGGCCCAGGCATGGTGGGGCTGGACCTTGCCCGCAGCAGCCTGACTCATCGGGGAGCCTCTGGTTTGGGGGAGAGCAGCAGGCACGCAGGCCCGGGCGGGAGGAGGTCCTCCGTGAGTGGGAGCCGTGGCCAGCGGAGAGGGGCCCGGACCAGGCTGCAGAGCAGGCATGGTGGCCTCCTGGACCGCCGGCCGTGAGGATCCTGGCTCGAGGCTGTCGTGGTCAGTCGAGGCAGAGCACAGCAGAGTTGAGTGGCTCTTTTAAAAACCCCACGGTGGCTGCGTGTTGAGCTGGTGAGAGCGACATAGGCAGGGTGGTCAGTCTAGAGACTGTCGCTGTAAGCCAGGAAACGACGCTGAGTGGTATGGGCCCAGGGCCAGGTCCCAGTCTCAGCCCCAGCGCAGCAGCCTCTGCCACAGCCCTCTGCAGACCTGGGGTCAGTAGCCGGCCTAGGGAAAGCCAGCAACCCACTCAGGATCCCTCAGGGCCCCTGACCTGGGCGGGACTCTCAGCCCAGGAAGAGTCCCTCCGGATTCTCTCGTTCAGCCAGCGGCCCCTGGTGGCCCCAAGTTGCATTACACAGTCTCAGAGATGACAGCCCAGCTTGGAGGGTGTCAGGCACCCTGTCAGCCCCAGAGAAACCTGCTTAGCTCTAGAGAGCCCAGCCCGGCTCTGGAGAGCCCGGCCATTCTAACAGCCCTGAAGGCGATGGCTCTGTAAGAGGAAGATTCCATCCCAAACCTCTCTGACCAGCTCCTGGGCTTTGTAGCCAAGGAGCCACAGCCCGTCAGCCTTGGTAGAACCACAGCCTCTCACATTGTTTCCTAAAACATTGACCCCACGTCTTTGATGTGCTGGGAGCTCACCATGTCACCACCGCTTGGTGATGAGACCCCATCCTCCTGCCCGCCACCAGCACCACGTGGGTGCCCCCAGCCCCATCCCAGGTCTGCCAGCAGCTGCGTGTCCCTCCCGTTACCCACCATGCCCTGCTTCCGTTTCCCTCCTGTTGTCCACACACCAGTTTCACTGTGCTTCCTGGAGCTGGGGCCCTATCTCTGTGTCTCTGCCACCATCCGTAGTGCCTGGGATGTGAAAGGCGATCAGGAAACGTTACCGGAAGGCACGTATAGACGTGGACCTGTGGGCTCGGGCTGGCTGCGGGTCACTGGTCCCTGCATCCTTGCCAGCCTCCCTCATGGAGGCTGACGCAGACGTCTTTGAATCATCCTCTTTCTGGGGAGAGAAGTCATTGCTTGCTCTGTACTGACGACCAGTGCTCGGGACGTCCTTCCCATCCGAGACTTCAAGATAGAAAAACATCCCTATTTCAATCCCTTTGTGTTTTGTTTTTTGTTTTTTTTTTTTTTGCTTCTGTGAAACTGAACTTCAGAGACTTCTATGTCCCATTTGAGATGACTTCATAGAATTCCTTCTCCCGTTCCTCTTACCCCAGCATTACCGGGAGGTTCAGTGTTCATTTTTTATATGATAAATTCAGAGCAGGCTCCGTGGCTTGCCAAGCAACTCTCACTGACAAAAGTGTAAACTCCCTGAACAGACGGCCTCTCCAGTGAGTAGAGAGGCCAGCCCCAGGGAGTACATGCCTCACCAGCGGCTTCTCTTCCCTGCCCCTCAGGCCGTTCCTCAACTACCAGAGGATGTACTACGTGTTCATCCAGATGCTGTCCAGCGGGCCCGCCTGGCTGGCCATCGTGCTGCTGGTGACCATCAGCCTCCTTCCCGACGTCCTCAAGAAAGTCCTGTGCCGGCAGCTGTGGCCAACAGCAACAGAGAGAGTCCAGGTACGGAGTGTCCCCAGCCGGGGCGGGGGTGCCTCAGGGCCCTGGCCTTAGGATTGGGAGATGACCGTTTTGAAAGACAGTGTGAAAGGTTTGGATTTCATGAAACGTGATCAGTTCAGGTATCACTAATGAGTGTCCTGACGGTGCATGATGTTAAACATCAGGTACATTTGCGATGACCGATGTCTAATTTTATGTTTCAACCTAAACAGTCATCTGAAATGAGACACAAATAAGAGAAAAAAGACTGATGCAAAAGGCAAATTATTTCATGTAAATGGAAACCTTTTTTAAAATTAATCATTACTTTAAAAGGTTGAATTACATAATTTTTAAGGATGGTAAATCTGGCTGGAAACGGTAGCATCTGTATCAGGAAATGCTGGTATTGGTGGAGCTGCTTATTTTACACACTCCCAAGTTTTAGGCACAAGCAGAATTCTGGGTCCAGGGAAGACGTGACGATGCCGAGTGTCCCCCCAGGTGCAGGGTTTGGCAGGTGTGAGGACTTAGCTCCCGGTCCCCCATCCTTTTCAGCAGCTGGCCTCTGCCTTCAAGCTCAACCCTAAATCAGAGGCAGTGACCACGACCCACCTCTGCTGCTTTACTGGGAAGCCTGCCTGTCCTCAGAGGGCCGCTGCACCTGTCACGGTCCCTCAGGACTCTATTAACAATGCAAGTTTTCAAGTTTCATCCCCGAAATTTCCAATCACTCCTTGAGGTGGAGCCCTGGACTGGGCAGTGCTGAAGCCCAATGGGGAAATGAGGGGTGGGGGCCCCTGGCAGTGGCTGCTCCTGCAGGGTGTGAGGCTCCCCAGGTGGGAGGAAGACGGGGAGTGAGTGGGGGCCGGGGCCCCAGCCCTGACTCACTCACGTAGCTCAGACACCCGGGGGCTGGCTCCCAGCGGTGCTGCTGTGCTGGGAGGGAAGACAGGTTGCCCTCCCTTGGGGGGCACAGCCTCACCCACCACCCACCTCCAACAATCAGAATGGGACCCTGGCTTGAGAGCTTTCTTGGGACATTGGTGCCGATTTGAAATGTTGAAACCGATGCCACCAGTTCCCGGCACTCCCTCCTTCATGCCTCCTGCCACAGTTTGTAAAATCAGAGCGAGCAAAACTCGTGGTGAAGAGACTGCCTCTCAATGTAGTGAAAATGTCCACACACAGCTCCACTGACTCGGGGGCCACAGGCAGGAGAAACGCAGCAGAACGTGCCAGTTGGCTGCTTATAAGAAGGTCCCACTGAGGGGCCTCTGTGCAGGAGGGGAGACAGTGGGAGCAGGAGCCGGGGCCCTGGCTGAGACTCCGCGGCCCCCAGTGCTTCAGGGGAAACTCACCGGCCCCAAGCAGCCACTCACTGCCCAGCCCTGCCTGTGGCCCGAGAAGCAGCTGTCCAGTGGTGGTTTTCTCTAAGCACGGTCCTTGGTTACTGAGCTCTTTAGCTGTGCAGTTCCACAGCGGGCACACGTGTTCATGACAGGGCTCTGTGCATGGGACACGTGTTCATAACCACATCCCATACATGGGGACGTGGCAGACACACATGTAACAAGGACATCAGGCACAGAAGAGACAGCAGGGCTGGGGGTCTGACCCCGAGAGAGAGCAGGTGCAGCTTGGGGGTGTCTGCTGGGCCCCTAGCTGTGGCCACAGTGGTGTGGCTTGGGGTTTGCACGAGTCTCAGCCCCACCTGGCCCCTGGGTGCATGTGGCTGCAGAGGTGCTTGGTCAAAGATGCCTGAGCAGGCAGGAGTTGAACTCGGGGGGTTAGGAGGGCCTCTCCCCGCAGGAGTCTGGGCTCTTCCATGCACTGTGCACGCAGCCTCCAGAGTCGGGGCTGCCGAGGGCCACGCCCCCGGATGTGTCTGACCACAGGCCCTCTGCTCTGCAACTCATCTCCAGGATGGGTGGGCACTTTGGGAATGCCAGTGAGGACCCTCCCCGTCCCACCCTTTGTTTAGAAGCCCCTGTATTGCTGTGGGTCTCTGCGTCCCACAAGAGCCCCGGGAATGCTTATGAACAGCTACACAGCGGGACCTGCAGAAGGCATAAAGCAGGGGGTGGGAGGGGCTGGCGGGTCACGGTGGGGGGCACCAGTGTCCGCCCAGAGTGACCAGAAGAACTTGCACGTGGTGGCGAGCCTCTGACTAACTCAGCTCTGTCTCTTGTTTCTCTTTCCTTCCCATTTCCTTCCGTCTTCCGACCGCTTTGCCTAAATCCTCACACCTTGTTCACACACCCCTGTGTGCGTGGCCGCTGACCTCGGGACTAAGACTAAGAGCCAGTGCCTTTCTGTCGAGCAGTCAACCATCTTTATGCTTTCTCAGACTTCCAGCAGCCTGAGTTTCTGATGGAACAAGGTGATGCTCCTCTGCCTTCCACGCACCTGGGATGGTAGACACGGGGCAGCAGGGCCATGCCCATCACCAGAGCCCTGAGTCCACGTGCTCTGACGCAGCGTCCACCAGGCGCTGGGTACAGCAGCCTCACGTCGGGAAGTCCCGCCACCACTTACACCTTCTCATGCACAGACTGATCATGGGCTGTGCTTTCCATCAGTCACAGTTAACCAGGGTTTCTCCCTCAGCGTCCGTGCAGCCTCAGAACCCACCTGTGTGAGGGTTCAGACACAGCTGACAGCGGAGAGCTGGCCACATGACCCCTCACACAGGTGTCAGAGGGGTTCCTAAGCAGGAAGGTGTGAGAGTTTGCAATTCACAGGTCATCCAGGCTCTGAGCTCACACACCCTTCCCTCTGCAGCCTGTAGAGCGTGGATCACAAGGCCTCCTCCCTCACGCACCCACTTCTGTGCCCATTCTGCAGCTGGAAAGACTGAGGGCAGCTAGGATAACACGGTTTGCTCAGGACCCATGCACATTTCAGAAAAGGGGAGCCAGGCTGAGCCACACAACTGGAGACAAAGAGGGGACGGAAGTGTTTGGTGTCAAATGTTTGACCAAATTCCCTTTTTACTGTTTTTTAAATGAAAACCTCATTGTTTTTCAAAAAAGCCTTCTATTAATAATTTGCTTTAAAAATGACGACCTTGGCCTTTCTGGGCAATGTAGAGGCGTTCACACGCCATTTTTCTGCGGTGGTGTCCATGATAAGAGCCGAGATTGCAGGGGCCTGCACGCCGTCCTGAAGTCGCGTTCTGTCTTTTAGCCGTGTGCTCCTGCACCAAATACCGCCTTCACGCATGCCTCCAAATCAGTGATGCTTTGAAAATGCATACTTGGTATTACTGTTTTACCAAATGCAGCTTAGAAAAATGCCCAAAGCAGAAAAAGGCTTCTTTTCCCTTTAATAACATCATCTTCTATATATTTTAAACAGGATTTTTAACTGACAAAATGGTCCTTTTTTAAGTCCAAGCAATTAATCAGAATCAACAGTTTTCTAATTTAGTGTCATCAGAATTTGTTAGATTAAATTGCAGAATTTCATCTCACCATTTCTGTACTTGAAGACATTTAGGATGAAATTATTAGGAACATTTTAATGACTCATAAGAGGTCCTTAAGAAACTGATTAAATCATGCCAACTCTGAGCTAAAAATAAGCATTCTAACGATTCATGTAGTTTGTTGAGAGCTGATTTGCTTCTGAGCATGTACGGAAGCTGAGCCCGGCTGCGTAGAGACAGTGGCACGGAGTTTCTCCTGCCCCCTGCGAGGCCTTGGGCCCCGGCATGACCCCCACAGACAGGGCCGGCGTCCACACTTGAACAGAAAGCGCCTGCAGCCAGCACATGCCCGGCGCACACGGGAACACGCCGTGGCGCCGAGACCACCTGCGTTCTGCAAAACTTTGGAGGAATAAACGTGTCACTAGTCCTCACGTGGGGCATATGTTACTTCCAGTGGATGGCTTTCTTTTAACCTGTTCCTACGGAAAAGAAAAGCATCACAGGCCTCAGATGTATATGTTATATATGTGCGATTTGCACATATATGCCCGTGCTGGCATCTCTGCGTATCTGCATGCAGTTCACTTCTCCGTCACTGTCCCCAGGAAGGGTGGCAGCCTCATCCTCTGTTTCCTACTTCTCCTCACCTGGGCGTTTGCCCATTCAGACGTGCAATTGTGCAATTCCAAGCCCGCAGTTCTTCAGCTCCTGTGCTTCCCTTATTCCTTGAATAAGGCTGGGCTACAAGATCTCAGTGGAGTTCTGTGAGCACGCTGGACTCAGGAAAGTCCGTCGCAGGGCCCTGGTAGAGCGGTTACTGGAGCTCGCTGTCTGCCGTGGAAGTGGGCGTGTGGCTGAACGTGTGGCTTCAGGATTCCAGCGGTGCCTGGTAGACCTTCCAGCCGAGGGACCTCAGACCCTCTGCCTCCCGCGGGTGCATGGCCCGTCCCTGAGCCTGTCGCTGTCTCAGTTCTGGGCTCGGGCCCCTCATGGGAGCGGCCCTGCTGGGACAGTGTTTTCCCAAGACGCCCCAAGCCCTCGCCCTGGCAGCTCCATGACACCCCATGCAGACTCCAACAGGGGCTTCGAGCCTCTTCCTGCTGGGGTCCCACGGATGGTGCAGGCAGAGGCCCGAGCACTCCTGGTGGCCCCGTGTGGCCCACGTCGCTCAGTATCTTTCCTCGCCTTGCAGAGGGGTGTGAAGCACAAGGCTCCAGTCCAGGCCGCACAGAGCAGCGATGGGCCCCTCCTGAAGGACCTCCTACGGCGGCCAAGGCGCAGTTAGCTCCACGCTAGGTAACTGTGCGGCTGCTGGACGCCGCCCGTGTGCTGTGACTGTCAGACCCGTTTTTCCTCCAAAGTTGTGCTGTGCTGTGCTGTCTTTGATAACAAAGGTTCACGGTGAGAAAGAGCAGCCCTCTTTACACACACATGCATTTGCTGTCCCAGGTAAGTAACACGCCTGAGGGCAAGCTGACCACACATGGAACATGCTGTGCACACACACGTGTGCACACTCACCCCACACGCACGGCACACAGCCTGACCAGACCCAGCATCGTCAGACACAGGCTCACGATCCTGGTCTTTCGGGGGACACAGCTTCACTTAAAAGGCCCATCAGGAAGGACCGTGCTTTGAAATCAAACGTGGTTATTGCATGGTTTGTGTGGAACTGGGGCCCAGGCAGGTGTGAGTGCAGGTCTTCTGTGTGCCAGCCGGAGCACATAGCTTGTCGCCTCTCCAACAGACATGGAGGCCATGAAGACATCTGCTCCTGCCAGCATCCGCCGCTGCCCCCTGGTCTAAAAGTGGGCTGACCTGGGGACGGCCCCTCATCAGACAGATGCGTGCTGCCGGCCTCCTGCCGCTCCCCTTGCTGGTCAGACCCACAGGGCCCGTGCACATCCGGGGCCCCAGTGGGCTGTCAGAAGCCATGCAGGCCCCATCCGTATGGTGACATCCTAGGCAACATGTCAAGGGGATGCAAGCTGGGCACGTCCAGTACTAAATCAACCCGGTCCCTGTGGGGTGGGGCCTGCCTTCCCTGGGGCAGTGAGTTCGCCTTTTGTTCAAGGGTCTCTGGGTACCGGTATGGCGTTCGAGCTCACTGCACAGGAAGCCAGCTACAGGGAGGAAGCTCGTAGGTTTCCCGTCCATGGCCTGTATCCCTGGGGCCCCTGGGTTCTTCCCTGGGATGGTGGGACAGGGGGACGGTCACTCTGTTGGTACTGAAAAGGAGAGGCCCTCATTCCTAGACAGAGACCCCTCGCCTCCATATGGCTTCTCTGGTGGGGTGGATCCCGCCCGGCCTGCCCTCAGGACGAGGGTGTGTCCTGAGTTGAGTCTAGCAGTTCCTGCAGGAGGCGATGGTAGTGAGTGCATCCCAGAGTGGCTCAGGTCACCCCAGGCAGCCCCGTGGGTATCCCTGAGACTGACCATGTGTCTCGTTCTCTCAGCAGAATGGGTGCGCACAGCCTCGGGACCGCGACTCAGAATTCACCCCTCTTGCCTCTCTGCAGAGCCCAGGCTACCAGAGCACCTGTCCCTCGGCCGCCTGGTACAGCTCCCACTCTCAGCAGGTGACACTCGCGGCCTGGAAGGAGAAGGTGTCCACGGAGCCCCCACCCATCCTCGGCGGTTCCCATCACCACTGCAGTTCCATCCCAAGTCACAGCTGCCCTAGGTCCCGTGTGGGAATGCTCGTGTGATGGATGGTCCTAAGCCTGTGGAGACTGTGCACGTGCCTCTTCCTGGCCCCCAGCAGGCAAGGAGGGGGGTCACAGGCCTTGCCCTCGAGCATGGCACCCTGGCCGCCTGGACCCAGCACTGTGGTTGTTGAGCCACACCAGTGGCCTCTGGGCATTCGGCTCAACGCAGGAGGGACATTCTGCTGGCCCACCCTGCGCGCTGTCATGCAGAGGCCATTCCCCCAGGCCTGTGTCTTCACCCACCTGCCATCATTGGCCTTTGCTGTCACTGGGAGAGAAGAGCCGTCCAGGGACCCATGGTGGCCCACATGTGGATGCCACATGCTGCTGTTTCCTGCTTGCCCGGCCACCACCCATGCCCTCCATAGGGTGAGGTGGAGCCATGGTGGTGCGTCCTTTACTCAACAACCCTCCAATCCGGATGCTGTGGGAAGGGCCGGGTCACTCGGATACCATCATCCCTGCGGATGCACCGCCGTACCCTGCTCATCTGGGAGTGGTTTCCCTGCGGTTACGTCCAAGCCCGCCTGCCCTGTGTGTTGGGGCTGGCTGAGTTTCGGTCTCCCCATCACCGGCCGCCTCGTGGAGAAGGCAGTGCCACGTGGGAGGACAAGGCCACGCCGGCAGCTTCCAGCCCTGCCGCAGAAGTGCCAGGATGTCCATCAGCCACTCGCCAGGGCACGGAGCCGTCAGTCCACTGTTACGGGAGAATGTTGATTTCGCGGGTGCGAGGGCCGGGAGACAGATACTTGGCTGTGATGAGCAGACATCCTCTGTCCCCGTGGAGGGGTCAACACCAAGGTGGTGTTCGTGCACCAGAACCTGTCTCGGGCTGACGGGGGTGGCACACAGGACACGGGTGGATCCCAACAGGCAGCACCGCACCTCTGCCCGCCTCCCGCACTGCAGCTCCGCCCGCCGGGCTCTGCGTCCCCACGTCCCCTCGTCCCATCCCCACGTCCCCTCATCCCGTCACCTCGTCCCCACATCCCCTTGCCCCGTCACCTCGTCCTCATGTCCCCTTGTCCTGTCACCTCGTCCCCACGTCCCCTCGTCTCCTCATCCCCACGTCCTCTCGTCCCCTTGTCCCGTCCCCACATACCCTCGTCCCCATGTCCCCACGCAGGGCTCTCCTTCGTCTTAGGATCTGTCCAGCGCTGCTCTGGGTGGGTTAGCAACCCCAGGGCTGCTGTGATAGGAAGTCCCTGTTGTTCTCCGTACTGGCATTTCTATTTCTAGAAATAATATTTGACATAGCCTTAATGGTCCTTAAAGAAGACATTTCAGTGTGAGATTCAGACTTCAGACGCTGAAACTGCTGCCTTTCAGGAAAGCACCACCAACGCTGGAGGAGGAGCCGGCCCTCACGCCCGCCCCGCGCCACGCTGTGGAACGGGGCTCCGGCAAGTGAAACCCAGAGGGTGTTTCCGAGGTGCTCGACAGTAGGTATTTTTGGAAGCTCAGATTTCACCATTTGATTGTATAATCTTTTACCTATAAAATATTTATTTGAAGTAGAGGGTAAATCAGCGGTAAGAACAGTGAACACAGTGGTTGGGATAAAATAAGGTGACAAACATCACACCAAAGATGAGGGTAGCGAGCAACTGGCTTGAGCAGACAGAACGGGGAAGACTCCACTCTGTCCCGAGGGGCCAGCCGCAGGCGTCCCCAGGGCCACCCTGCCCTGAGGTCCTTGTGTGGCCGCCCTGGCTTGGCAGCCCTGCCCACGCTGCCCCCGCAAACAATGGTGTGTGCGTTTTTACAGCCCTTTTTAGGAACCCAATATGGGCATAAATGTAACACCTGTAGCGGGGGCAGATTCTCTGTATGTTCAGTTAACAAATTATTTGTAATGTATTTTTTTAGAAATCTTAAAATTGCCTTTGCACTGAAGTATTTTCATAGCTGTTTATATCTCTTTTATTCATTTATTTAACATACTGTCTAATTTTAAAAATAGGTTTTTAAAGCTTTCATTTTTAAGTTTATGAAATTTTGGCCACTTTACATTTAGATTCTGGTGAGAGTTTTGACTGAATGTTCCAATCTCTGATGAATGCGAATTTTCAGATTTGATTTTATTCTCTACACACACCTCTTCTTTTCTTGGTATTTCTGGTGGCAGTGATTAGTTGAACAGCACATTTAAGGCACGATAATTTGCTACACTTTTTCTTTACAATTTGTTGCAATTTCATCTGCTTTCTATGTTTCATTGTTAATTGCCATCCTTCAGCCTTAAAAATAGAAGATTCTCACGTGAAGGTTTAGTAAGTTGGGTCCCAGCTCTGCCTGTGTGGAGATAGTCACCATGTACCTCTGACAACAAGTTTTAGTGTGAAAGTCACTAAACTTTTACACACTCCCAAACGTCTTTTTAAAAATTGCTTGGGAAATTATTAAATGAATGTGCCTGATGATTTGAAATAGACAAGGGGCACGAGATAAAAAAGAAAAGGATGAGAAGATCCTCAGTGAATGACGTTGCAGGGTCTTCATGCAATTTTCCACCTCGCAGTAGTTAGTATTTACTTGCCTTAAACTAACTTTGAAGCAAGTAATGTCAACTTTGAGCACTTTGTTGAGTTTTGAAAAATCTTATTTGTTGCTGCACAGGTTAATAAATTATCAATTTGTAATTCAGCATGTTGGTCAGAGACACGGTCACTGATTCACACCCAGTCCCTGCCACAGACCGTCTCAGACACGCACAGTGGGCCTGCTGCATGATTCACACCCAGTCCCTGCCACAGACCGTCTCAGACACGCACAGTGGGCCTGCTGCATGATTCACACCCAGTCCCTGCCACAGACCGTCTCAGACACGCACAGTGGGCCTGCTGCATGCGTGTTACCTGGCTTTTGGCTCCACGCTCACTCATAGCCATGTCCACATGGGGGCTTGCACACAGGATCACTCACATATGTACATGTACCCACCACAAACGTGCAAGCTCCTGCACACATGCATGCACACAAACGTGTACACAAGTGTGAGCTCCTACACGCATACACACACACACGTGTACATGCACCAAAGCATGTGTGACCTACAGACATGCAGAACATGCACGTGTACACATACCACAGACACGCGTGTGCATGCTCCTACACAATACATATGCACATATCATGAACAGCGTAAGTTCCTACACACGGACGTGTGATACACACATGCATGTACAGGTAAGCACACATGTACAAGCTCCTACAGGCTTGCTCTCACACACGTGTATGCACAGCAGAGAGACGTATGAGCTTCTACTGCACACATGCACACACACACGCACACGTACATTCACTACAAACGTGCAGCCTCCTGCACACGTGCACATTCATGTGTACACCACAAATGAGTTCCCAGACGTGTAAACACACGTGCACACATCGTACACATGTGAGCTCCCACACGTACACACAGATGCACATGGACACACCCCAAACACGCACAGGCTCCTACACACATGCACACACGTGTACACCACAAACGAGCTCCCAGACATGTAAACACACGTCTCCCACACGTGAGCTCCCACACGTACACATGCACATGTACGCACCACAAACACATGCGCAGGCTCCTGCAGGCGTGAATACACACATGCACACACATATACACACATGTGCCACAAACAAGTGCACACTGTCCTGGTGTCCTGCACTGCATCCTGCCTCCTTGCTGAGGGGCCCCTGTGAGAGGCCTCTGGATGGGCATGGGAAGATGGGCTCCCTGGCCCCCAGCCCATGCCTCCCTGGGATGAAGAGTCCCCCTCCTGGCAGAATGTCTGGGCTTTGCAGAGCAGGCCCCGGGGGTGAAGTCGCAGCTTCACTTACACCAGCTGCTCTGTGAGCAAGGCTTGGTGCCCTGGACAAGGCCCTTCCCCTTTAGGGAGGTCCAGCCTCGCAAGCTGAAACCTCCCCTCGGCTCAGCCCTATACCAGGCGGCCACAGCAGGACTGGCCACACCCACGCCGCACCTCATCCGTGCACGCGTCGGAGCACGGCCAGCCTTCCGCCACGAGCCAGCTGGGAAGGGCCGCGGCCGCCTAAAGCCCCAGTCAACCCAGCCTGTGTCTGAGCAGACAGGGCGAACAAGCAGGCCACACCGTCTCGAGGGAGGAGGCCAGATGCGGCCAGCGTCTCCAACAGGGTGACCATCCGCTCGGCTTGCTGAGCGTTTAAACAAATGTTTAGACAGGCTGTGGGGACTCCCCTGAGTTGAGCCTTGGCCAGGGGTCCGGTGCTGTCGCGGGAAACCTCCAGCCTTGTTCTTCAAACCACTCAGCTCATGTGTTTTGCACTGACTAGTACTGAATAATACAACCACTCTTATTTAATGTTAGTATTATTTATTTGACAACTCAGTGTCTAACAGCTTGATATGCAGGTCCTTGCATCCTACATTTCTTTAGGAAGTTACCCATTTGTAACTTTAAAAACAGGAAAAATATCAGTTGGCAAATGCAATCTTTTTTTTTTTTAAGCTAAAGGTGGGTGAACTGGAATGAAAATCTTTCTGATGTTGTGTCTATAAGCAGCCTTGATGGGATATGTTAGAAGTGTCATGAAAGTGTGATTCTACTTTTGCAGAAAAATCTAAAGATCAATTTATATAGCTTTATTTTTTACTTTATCAAAGTATACAGAATTTTAATATGCATATATTGTGTCTGACTTAAAATTATAATGTCTGCGTCACCATTTAAAATGTCTGTTCATTATGTAATGTAATAAAAGAAGGTCTTCAAAAATGTATTTAACATGAATGGTATCCATAGTTGTCATCATCATAAATACTGGAGTTTATTTTTAAATTATTAAACATAGTAGGTGCATTAACATAAATCAGTCTCCACACAGTAACATTTAACTGATAATTCATTAATCAGCTTTGAAAAATTAAATTGTTAATTAAACCAATCTAACATTTCAGTAAAGTTTATTTTGTATGCTTCTGTTTTTAACTTTTATTTCTGTAGATAAACTGACTGGATAATATTATATTGGACTTTTCTCTAGATTATCTAAGCAGGAGACCTGAATCTGCTTGCAATAAAGAATAAAAGTCTGCTTCAGTTTCTTTATAAAGAAACTCACACAAGTGGTGTGTACATTTTCTGCTCTGAGAAACTGTGCAGTCAGAACACTTCGCAGCGTGCTTCTGTGCGGGATGGAGGTGGCAAGCCCAGTGGGTGATGTGGGCCCTCCCTGGCTGTTCCCTCGGCTGCCACCCCCTGCAGGGATACCAGGTGTGCCAGGTGCAGGGCCCTGGTGCTGACTGCCCTGGATGCCAGTGCCTGCACAGAACCGGAAACACCACTGGGTTTCCCAACCTTCTGGTCCATCCCCACCACAAGCTCCTCCCTGACCTCTGCCAAGCTCCTGCCTGCCACCTCGTGCTTGGGGTCTAGGTGCCCCCTTTCCATCCCAATTTTCCCTCTTGACCAAACCCCAGGCTCCTCCAGGCCCTTCAGCCTCCTGGGCTCTGTTGGCTGAACCCAGCCTTTCCCACTCTGAAGTAGAGGGCATTCCCTGCCCCCTGCCACTCCCAGCCCTGGCAGAATTCTGGGTGCTGCCACGGAGCCCCCGGAATGCCCCCTGGCCTTGGAGGCCGTGGCCTTGTCCCAACCCTGACCTCACCCTCTCTCGAGTTCCACCCAGCCCGGCCGTGTCATACTCTGCAGTTTTGTGTCTTGTCTGGAAACACCAACTTCAAAACACCACCAGGTCCCAACTTCTGGGATCCCAGCTCCATTGGGGCACCCGGAGAGGGGCCTTGGGGTGGATCCTAGAGCATCCCTGGTGGCTGGTGCCTGAGTCCCGCCTGGCTACATCTCCTCTCCCTGCTCAGCCACCTGCTTCCCATGGAGTCTCAGCTCAGGGCCACGTGGGAAACACCCCGGGAGGGGACAGAGGGCCCCTGGCTCGCAGGCTGGAATTCTAAACATGGGACTTTTTCTGGCTCCTGAACGCCACAAAGTCGGGGGTACTTTTCACAGGCAGTGCTCCGAAGGCATCTGTGGGGTGAATGAACCTACAGCTGCCCTGGATTCTCTCCGAAATGCTTTCCTCTCGTTCCCTGGATTCTCAGCATCTTCATGTGGGCTTACCTTTACCTTTCCAGCTCGTAACCCTGAAGCCATCTTCCGTACAGCTGTCTCTTCCTCTTGTAGCAGGAAAACAGATAATGCTGTGATTTTGCGGGTCATGGGGAGAAGAGGGGAGGGGCAGAGCAGGCTGGTCCCAGGGGGCGGCACTAGGGTGGGAAGGCCTGGCCCTAATGAGTGACCCAAACTCGCTTCACCTCCCCCTGCTCTCCAGACAGAAGACATGAATCCTGAAAGCGAGATGCCCAGTGACCCTGCCCACTGCCCAAGGAGGAGGAAGCCTGGCCCTCCCTGCCCATCAGGGCCTCCTGGGGAAGCCAGAGGGGGATGCAAGCTTGCCCTCCACACTGGCCCATCTGTCCCGTGCCAAAGATCTTTTCTTAACTGCAGATGCTAGGTCACTGGGGGCCTCTGTGGGTGTTTAGCAAACATCATCAACCACACAGGCCACCCGAGGCCCCCACAGCAGATGATGCCGCCTGTGGACCTGAATGGGAGTGTCTGTGTGCCTGCAGCGGTGAGGATGGAGGAAGGCGTGGCTCGTGTGGCGCTGCGTGCCCCGCGCTGATGCTGGGGCTCCCAGAGCCGCCCACGTGGCCTGTGGCGCACTTGCTCAGTGGCGGGTCCTGAGGTGGACGAGGACTGGCCCTGTCCTGAGGAGGCTGCCGGTCCTTTGCACGCGCAGTGAACCCGCTCACCTCGTGCAGCCTGTCCTGACGACTGCTTTCCACAACAGCATAGCGTGTGGCCTGCCAGTGAACGGGCCCAGGTGTGGGAGGGACGCAGGGACAGAACCCACAGGAGCCCCTTCCCGGTGTCTCGAGAGGTGTCCTCAGGGCGTCCTCGGGGCATCCTCAGGTGTCCTCCGGGTGTCCTCAGGTGTCCTCAGGGTGTTCTGGCATCCACCAGCCTGCCCAGGGCATCCGCTGCTCCCCCACATCAACTGAGGGCTGTTCCATGCCAGCCTCATACTCTCACCTGGGACAGGATTGCTGGGAGGGCTCAGGGGACGGGGCAAGGCCAGCCAAGCCCAGAAGGGCTGGAGGGAGAGCGAGGCCGGCATAAAATGGTTCTCAGCTCATGTGGAGCCACAGATGCTGGCTTGGGGCAGCCTCCAGGCTCTGACAGGGAGGCTGGTTTGTTCAGGTGTCCTCCAGTGTCCCAGCAAAGGGGACATTCCAGCAGCACCTGGGGCCAAGAGAGAGGGAGGAGGATGGAGCCTGGAGAAGAAATAAAAGTTGGAATTAAAAGTTGTTTGCTGGGAGAGGAAGAGCCATGTGCCTATCTCAAAAGCGTGGGTGACATGCGTGCTTCCTGTGAGCGCCCTGCGGAGGCTCGTCTGTGCACCAACACCCCGGGGTCTCCCCAGGTGTGGCAGCACCACCCTGTCCTCCACCTGCATCTCCTCTGGGCGCTCTCCATGCGGCGCTGGGGTCAGGGCCCGCCCCACTGACCTCCTTTTAGCTCGGTCGCCTCTGTAAAGACCCCATCTCCAACCAAGGCCACATTCTGAGGCACTGGGAGTTAGCACTCCGACATCTCTTTTTGGAAGACACAATTCAACCCCCAACACTCCGTTCTGGGGGGCCATGGAAATGCCTCATCCGGCTTCAGGGCAGTCACACCTGGGAGCAGCCGCGGCCTGCGGGGTGGATCCGGGCCTGTGCGGCGGTGGGGTGGGGTTGGAGGGGTGTTTGAGGCCATGGCTGCTCCTTGGATGACAACCTGGAACACACCAGGGGAGCTCGCTTGCCATCGGTTCTGAGTGGCTCAACCTGGGTGACTGCAATGGACCGAGAGGGTCCGGGTCGTCCCCAACCCGCAAAGGCATCCAGGAAGCCACCCGGGGACCCTGCTCAGAGCAAGGCAGAGCCAGACACACAGCAACAGGCAAGCCGCCCCGCAGAGGATGAGCCGAGGCAGCACGCACCAACACGGGGCTAAAGTCAGCATCTCACTCATCTCACAAGGCTTCCTGACTTCTTAAGACATCAGTGGTTACTCTAAAAGAGAAGAGCAGGCCGTGGCGGGCAGGTGACCCCTCACCGTCGCCCTGGGGGAAGGAGCGGGCTGTGGCGGCCGGGTGACCTCTCACCGTCTCTGTGGCGGCATCACTGTCTTTCTGCCGGCCAAGCCATCGGGGCAGCAGAAGAGTCTCAAACAGAAACCCGGCTCAGCTCTTGTTTCTCACCTCCTTGTTTCAGCAAAATTCTCCCCAAAAGGTGGCTATATTTGTTGTCTCTGTCTCCGTACACACCCTCATCTGCCTCCCGATCTGTGGACGGCTTCTGGGCCCTCGTGGGACGGCTGGGTCCTGTCTGTCTCTGCTTCTCAGCGGGCCCCGGCGCAGGCCACCACCCCACCTGCCCTCGTGGTCTGCGTTCTTTGCCTTCACAGCATGAATCTCACCCCGATTTGAGGCTGTGTCTGTGTACATTAACCTATTTTATGTATTTTTACTGAGACATAAGCTCCAAGAAGTGAGAGACTTTGCCTCGCTCTGGGCCGAGCCCTGTGTCCAGCATGGGGCCTGGGGTGCAGGAAGGACGCAGTGACCATGGGGCTGGCTGGACACAGACTCAGGGCCCCTGCCCGGCTCAGCTTCCCAGTGAGGATTCCAGGTGCTGGGTGCCTGGTTGTAGCCAGCCAGACCACCCTGGTCAGAGGTTTCGGGACAAGGGCTGGCAGGAAGCCCTTCCCATACAGCTGGAGCCCATGAGGCCGAGCCCGACGGCACCTGGGCAGTGAGAAGCCAAGACCTCGGCACTTTCGTTCTGGAGGAGGGGGTGAGGGAGGGACAGTACCGCTGTCTTGTCTAGGCAGGGTTTGTGCAGATTTGGGGGCTGGAGGAGGCCAGCGTAGCCCTGCCCTGCTCCCTCCAGCCACCCAGAACTGCAGAGGCGCCAGGCCCAAGTCTGCCTGTGGCGTGTCCAACACAGAAGGGCAGATTCCGAGACAAACCAGGGTGGCTACAGGTTTACAAGGGGGCCCTGTGGTCTTTCCTCTGTAGGTGGGAGGACACTGTCGCCACCTTCCTCGGCTGTGTAAGGCGAGCACAAAGGAGTCTCCCACCTGAGATACGATCACTCCTTTTCTTTCCCGTACAGACATCTCTGTGGGAGCGATGCTTTCACATAAAGCGCTTAATCTCCAATGGTAAAGTTTCCAACACTAAGTCGAGACGTTGGAACAATTTGGAAGCAGATGAACCTTCCTAAACTGCTTATGGGACACAGTGACCACACGGAGATGCCCTGGAAGGATTCCAGCCTTTGGGGTCACAGGCACGGGCACCACAGCTTCCCGGGTGCCTGCTACCTGAGCTCGCTGTAAGTGCCGCACGGCTTACGTGGAATCCACAGAGGCAGCCCGTACTCCCCCCTCCATGTGCAGCGCCCAGACACGTGTGCCGAGGCTGCAGGTGTGCTACAGTGCGGCGGCCAACCGGCTTTCCCCTGCAGCCTCAGCTCCTGCGGGATCTGCTCACTGGTAGGCAGTGACGCCCTGGCGGGAGTTGTCCCTGAGGTCTCTGCTCCTCCTGCTGTGCTCGCAGGGGAACCTGTTTGTGACGTAGTCTCCTTGTGCCCCACTGGGCTTCTGAGGCTGTGAAAGCTGGTGGAGCACAAAGGGCTTGCCCGGCCCTAACAAGCCTGGCCCCAGCAGGGCACCGCGGGCAGCCTCTGATGCGCGGCTCTGGGCCTTTGTCCTCGGCTGAATTAATTTCCTCTTGAATTGCCTCAACTTTAGAATGAGCCCTAGCCTTTTCTGAAGCACACACATCTTGGGGTTTTGTCCTCTGTATTTTCGCTGCATTGGCTGCCAATGCGGAAAGCTTTCATGGAGAAGACGTTCTGGCTTCTTGTCTGTCTGTCCCCTGAGGGCTGCGGGCCAGCTCCATGCCCGTCCACGGTGTGCAGGTGGAGGCATCTTTCAGGGTATCAGGTGGGAATCCGTGCTTCCTGGCAAAGTCTGTTCCAGTGTGGTGCCCACTGTCCATGCGCCTGTGGGTGTGAGCCTGCACCCTGCACGAATGTGTGGAGCGGGGTCGTGGCTGGCTGGGGTCACTGCCTGTCCCCTCCTTTTCCGCAGCCACGGTGCCATCTGCTTGCACGTCCTGCAGGAGATCCTCAGGGCGGGTTCCCACGGGCAGCCTCCCTTTGGACTTTTATTGCTCGATTAAATGATATTTAATTCAGCCTGTCTGACAGTCTGACAGAATGTGCTATGTTACCAGAGGGTCTTATGCCAACATGAGAAAGGGGGCGTTGGTCTCCAAAAAGACAAACAAACAAAAAACAGGTAAGAAACACCATGTGGGCCCACTCTGACCTTTTTAACTGAGGCACCTTTGAGAAGGAAAGCCTGTTCCACTCCGATTCTCAAAGCTCCTGAACGCATTGCTAGTGACAATCCTGTCTCCGTGGCTAATTATGTGAAGAAACGTTACTGGGTTGAGGGAGTTCCCTTGGGTTTAATTTCCTGTCCCTCTCAAATCATCCCTCCTCCTTCCCTGAGCCCAGCCTCCCCCTTTCCTGCCCATGCTGGCAGGTTCTGGCCCTTCCTGGACCCCTCTCCTGTCCCCTGCACAGGTCTCTGCAGGGTTTCTGCACGCTGGGGAGGGCAGGTTCCCCAGTGGAGCCACTCCCTGCGGGTCTGAGTGGGGCCCGGGGTCTCTGCACGGTCACCGATGCTGCTGCTGCTCCAGGGAGCGGGCTTGCAGGAGCAAGGATCCAGTCCCTGAACGCACGTGCTCCCCCCGGGAGAAATTCTGCAGCCAGGCTTGGTCCACGCACCGTCCTCCCGGCCCACACACCCTCCTCCCGGACCTCAGTCTGTCTCTGTGTATCACATGCCTGTTCCCAGTGTTCTGACCTCAGGTGGGCACGGCGCGGTGGACTGCACTTCCCGCTGCTTGCTTGGTTAATGTTTACCTCCCTCCTGCCAGAGCTTTGTTTTCATTTCATTCAAACAGGCTTCCTCTTTTTACCCACTAAATGGAGACATTTTAAAGCTCCAACTGCAAGTGCTAAAGTCTATAGCTGGGTCCACATCTTCCATGATTTCACCTTTTTATGCCACTTTACTTTGTTTTTAAGTTATCAATAAGTTTCCACTGAATCTTGGAGACACAAGAATTAAATGGTGGGGTCTTTTATAGTTTTTTTGTTTTGTTTTGTTTGTTTTGCAAACAACTTCTGCTGCACTGTTAGGTACCAAAGTGAGGCCGCGCTGACAGGGGCCAGCGTCCTGTACCGCGACCCACAGACCAGCGGCTCCTTACCCACTCCAGTACTGAGGAGTGAGGTGGGTTCTTGTCCCTTTTTACCCTAGGACCTAAACATGGGAAACCCTAGCCCTTCTGATACGTAACAGGGGCAGCCCTGATTTCTGCTGCTAACCTAGTTAACTGGTAATCTGTCTGCTCTTTGGCATGCTGGGAGCTCTGTGTGCACTAACCCGTGGACCCCAGGACGCTCTGGGACGGCTGCACAGATGAGAACACAGGCCAGAAGGGTTTGTTAGTGACTTCTCTGATGTCACAGGCTGGTCAGCTCAGCTGGGCCACATTCCAGCGGCCCCAGCCCTGTCCCACGTGCCCCAGCTTTCTCCTGGGAAGCTGCAGGGAAGGGTCCAGCTAGGGCGATCCCAGCTAGGGCGATCCCAGCTGGGTCCCTGTGGGGCTTCAGAGTGGACACAACTTCCCTGCCAGCTGGCTCGGATCCAGGGGGGCAGGTGGGACCCCGTTTTACATGTGAGCCCAAGGAAGTGAGGCCTGGGCCCCAGAAGACCTCCGACCCGTCCCCTTGTCCAGCCCTCTCCCCTCTGGAAGGGGCCGAGGGTGACCCCAGGTGGCAGGAACTGCACCCATTAGGCACGACCCCGCCCCGCTGCCCGCCCCGGTCACACCTCCCCCTGTCGCCCCCTCCCCCGCCTCGGGCACGGCGGGGAGGAGGGGGAAGAGGGGGATGGGTGAGGAGAGCAATGGGTGGGAGAGGGGGAGAGGGGGAGAGGGGCAGGCTGTTCCCATCGCCCCGCCTCGCCGCCCTTCCCCCTCCGCTCTGGGCTCTGGCCCCCGCCCCGCCCCCGCCCCCGGGCCCCTCTCCGCCCCTCCCCCTCCGGCCCGCCCCCGCCCCGCCCCGCCCCTTCTCTCTCCCCGCCCAGTGTCGGCGCAGCCCTGGGAGGAGGCGTCAGGACGCGCGGACACCTGCGGGGCGCGGAGCTCGGCGGACGCGGGAGGGCAGCACCACGGGCGGCAGGTGCGCGCGGGGCGGGGGCCTGGAGGGGGCGCGGGGGTGACGGGAGGGGGCGCGGGGCGGAGCCGGGCAGGAAGCGTCGCGGTCGCTCCCGGAGCGGGGCCGTCTCCCCCGCGTCCCCCTTAGCCTGGCTGGGGACAGGCGCTGGGACCCGGCTCGCGGTCAGGGCGGCCTGGGATCGGCCCCCGCGGCCCCTGCCCAGCGTCCTGCGCTGGGAACTTCGAGGCGCCTGGGGGGCTCGAAATGGCAGTGGAGGAGACCCCGCGAGTGTCCAGGCGCCCAGGGCCCCTCCGCATTGTCACGGGGGCCCTCACACCCCGGCAGGTGTCACCCCCTGGACGGGCTTCTGCCGACGATCCCTTGGGCACCTCGTAGGACCACCCCGGGAGCTCTGCCCACCCCTTCCTGCCAGAGCGATGGGGGGCCAGTGTCCAGGACAGCGCCTAGGGACAGGGCTGGAGGGAAGGGTAGCCTGGGGTCCGGCTGGGGTCGGGCCCACACCTGGTGGCTGGGGACAGTGCTGGAGGGGAGGGTAGCCTGGGGTCGGGCCCACATCTGCATCTTTCATCTGCCTGCTTGTCCCGGGCCAGGGTCCCCTTGGCCACAGGTCCCCAAACAGACAGCGGGAAGGCCGTGGAGCGCGGGCTGGGCGGACTCCTCCTGGGAGCTCCTTTTGACCTGGCTTGGTTGCCGTGGGCCCTCTGTGGCTCTTCTCCCAGCTGTGGGCCCCTGGCCTTGCTTCAGACCCTTATATAGGATGCTGCGGGAGGGCTGGGCCAGAGGGGGCTCTGGAGCCCAGGCAGGCTCACTCCCTGGAGACTCCCGCCCAGGGGCGTGGCCCGCATGACCCTCACAGAGCCGGGACCCCGAAGGGGTTAAGGTGGCCCGGGCCGCCCAGGCAGGATGTGCCGGCATGGCTGTAGGAGGCCCCAGGATGTGTGGCCACGGGGACCGACACGGCTGACCACAAAAATAGAAATGCAGTCCCCAGGGCTGCAGGCTGCAGAGTGTCGGTGTGGTCCCCTCCCTGGCAAGCAGGAGACCCACATGGCCAGGTGGGTGCTGGATGCTGGGACTGAGGAGGAGCCTCTAGCCCCCAGGACTCCTAACATGCGAACTGTGGAGCGAGGGGTCCAGGGCTGGTCGTGAGAACGGAGTGCACACCCAGGCATTGCCTGAGTTCTGCAGCCTCCGTGGGTAGCTGGGGGGACGGGACCCCGGGAGCCTGTGGAGCCCTCAGTCCCAGGGGGGCAGTGAGGACTCTGGGGCAAGCTGACAGCTAGGTGGGCAGGAGACCCGGGTTTTAAGGCTCCCTCAGGACTCTCCTTCAGCTCTTCCCCATCCTGTGGGGCCGGCTCCGCCCTCCCAGGTCCCAACTTCACCGGGCTGTGCAGGGGCCCAGGCGTCCCCGATTTCACCGGGCTGTGCAGCGGTCCCGGTGTCCCCGATTTCACCGGGCTGTGTAGGGGCCCAGGTGTCCGTGGCTCAAACTTCCACATTGGGTATCCCCAAGAACCCCCCACACGTCTGTGAAATGAGGGGGGCCCCTCCCCTGGGGGCCTGACAGAATTGCTGTGAAACCTGAGATTGTGGGAAACTGCTGGAATCCGTGAAGGGTCTGCAACGTTAGACGGTGGGCTTAGGAACCTGCAGACTTTGGCAGGGACCCCGTGGCACCACCTCCCCCATCACTGTGCTGACTTCAGGGCCTGCAGGCACAGCCAGGTGCAGAGGGGAAGGGGCACAGTCATCATCCTCACCAAGGTGATGGATTCGCTGCAAGATGAAAGGTCTGTGTGCAGCTTCACATCTGTCCTTCTCTGGAATTCAGGTCTCTTCACCGCCCCCCCGAGGCCTCCTCCTGAGGTTTCCCTTTACCTGGTCCCCAAATGGGTGGTCCCAGTCACCTCTGCTGTGGAGATGCACCCTTGCTCACATCGAGGACCCCAGGGAAGACTTTGACTGGAATCTGAACGTTTATTTTGGAAAGGCAGCCTCTTGGTGACTCCAGGTCACTTCAGAAGAGAGGCCCCCCCTGTCTTTACAGCCATGTAATTTGCATTTGTAACGTGGTGGGAGAAGGCCTGGGATTGGCAGAGGGCATGGAGGAGATGAGTCGTGTAGATAGACTGGCCAGGAACGCCACCGGTTGGCAGCCTTTTGTCACCAGTTGAGATGATTTGGGATCATTTTTGGAGGCTCCTGGAGCAGCCACAGTTAGCACTGTGACCAGAAGGATGGAGTTGTAAGGTTCTGGGTGCAGCTCACCTTTCTGTTCAGCCCACCCCGCTTCACTGTCTGCAATGGCTCCCAAGGACGCTGTGAGACTCTCATGTGGCAGGTGCACGGCTCTGGGCTGCATCTTGGTGACAGCATCCCTCTGGCATCCCAATGCAGGTTCCTGAGTCCCACCACAGAGCTTCCCGCCTCACAGATGGAACAGGGCCCTGCGTCTTCGGCAGGTACTCAGTGGTGTTTCTAGGTTCCAACTTGAGTCATCAGTGGATTCCCTGTGGAGGGTCCTTCAGGGGACAGCAGGGCACTGGTCAGGGGCCATGCAGGCTGAGAGCCCACCCTGAGAGGAGGCCAGGCCGGCAGAGCACAGGGCCCCAGCTCGGAGTGCGGGTGGCAGAGTCTTTAGTGCGTGGCCAGCTGGAAGCAGCAGTGGCACTTTGAGAATTTCAAGTCTTGTCCAGGGGCCTTGGTGGCCTCTGACTCACATGGCCTGTTCATGGCAACCCCCGCTTTGGGAAAGCTACATCATGAGGGTCGCTCCTGGCGTCCTAAAGTGAACCTCTCCGAGCTTTCAGCCAACGGTAGGATACGGGACACGGTATGGCCACCGAGAAGCTTTTGGACATCTGTGAGGGCCACCATCGTGAACGTGGTGGTCAGGAGCCCAGCATGAACCGGACTCAGTTGAGCATCAGGGCTGCCCCAGCCGGCTCTGCGGGGTTCACAGGAAGCCCACTCCTCCTCCCCAGCCATGCCTGGGATCTCCTCGGAGCCCTGAAAGGTCGTCCCCATGGGGTTCCACAGCAGGGACAATGATGGCTCAAGCGGCCATTGGAACCAGAGCTGGGAAGCTGTGGGACGTCCCGGATGAAATGTAGGATGTAAGTCCCTGTTGGGGGCCATGCAGCCCCACCTGTTGAGAAAGTGAAGAGCATTACTGACATTTCCATCATGATGTAAGGAAATCAAAGCACATCTAGTGAGAAAGTGATGCTGTGGAGACCGGAGAGGGTAACCGTGTTTTCTTCGCAGTCACCATCTTCACTTTTCATTCATTAAAGAAATGGCAGAAAGAAAGCAGAACTGACTCCTGTGGGGACAGGCCCACTTCTGTGTCCAGGTGGGCAGACTAGAGTGAGGCAGAGACATGGCAGGTGGAGCCGTGGTGAGGGTGGTGCTGACTGGCAGTGGGGACTGGAGTGAGGGCTGCAGTCAGGGGTGTCGGCCTGGCACCCGCTCTGTGCCAGGGCCCAGCTGACCTCTCACCCTGCAGCATCAGAGACAGCCCTGGAGGTGCCATGTGGCCCGTCCAGCCCCAGCCCCGGCCCCGGCCCCGGCCCTGGGTCATGGCTTTGCAGCCTTCACTCTTTAGGGAAGGTCTCCCAGCTCCCCCTGTCCTAGGGCCGCCGCCCCCACCTCTACTCCACGTTATTATTAATACTGGCGATTTACAGTGGATGACACGGTGTCGTGAGTGGAAGCCGTGTGGCAGCGGCGGGGACCTTCCTATCTTTAGTGCCCAGTGCCTGGGATGAGACACACTGTGTGACCGCCAGCTCACTGCTTCCCCCGCATGTGTGGCCGACGTAAAGTCCACCCAGTCCTCAGCAGCTTCCCCCAGCACGGACAGGTGCTCCACGGCCTCTGGGCCTCTCCGCGCTCTACCCGAGCTGGTTGCGGGGCGTGAGGTGGGCGCGTGTTTGTTTTGTTCGCTTGGAACCTGTGTGCGGAGGAGGCTGCCCACGCTGCTGCTGGGTAAAGGCACCATCCCCGTGAACCGAGCTCGGCAGGTGCCGGAACTGAGTCCAGGTCCAGCCTTTCACCACTGGCCACTCGCAGCCTCCCTCAGGCCCATCCTGCCAGACACGGCAGCAGCAGGGGTAACGCCCACGGCCATGCAGGCCCTGCTCCTCCTGCCCCAGCGCCCTTCCCTCCCCGGTGGTACTCCCACCCCTGGGACCGTCAGCACTTGCCTCCCCTCCTCCATTTGCTATTCGGCTGCCTGTGTCACTTCACCAGCTATTCAGGCTAGAAGCCCAGACGGCCTCCCTGCCCCCCAAGTCCCTGAGTCCCCAGCTGCCATCATCTCCAGACTCTCCTTGTCCATCACACCTCTGCCTCCCGCTTCTCTCCTCGGGATCCCTCCCCACCGGTCAGCATCAGCTGCTCTCAGGCCCCAGGTGCCACTCTTGGCCCTGAGCTTCTGCCCCTATCCTGCCTGACTTCTCGCCACCTGCTTCAGGCCCTGCACCCACCACCACCCCATCCCACCACCCCACCCTGTGCCCCCTCCCAGGGAGCACCGGGCAGGGCCCCCTCCCCCCATGCCGGGTCTGCCCCCGCTTGGTGGTGGCTGCTGAACCTGCGGAGAAGCTGGCTCTCCCTGGGATCCGAGCTCCTCGGGGACAGGAGCTTCCCTGACATTTGTGTCCTCGGCACCTGCGTCATAAACGAGGACCGAGCAAACGAGTCACAAAGCCGTGCTGACTTGGTGCTTCCGTGGGGCTGGGCCGAGTTCTAGCCGCCTGTGACCGTGTCTGCATCTGTAGACAGATTTAATTGTGTGTGTGTGTGTGCGAGGCGCCTCGCTCAGCCCAGGACCACAAAGCCCAGGGGGCCTGGCTCTCGGTCCAGCCTTCGGCCTTCACTGCTGACGGCTTCTCAAGGTTTTGCCCAGGGGAAAGCAGACGCTCCAAGGGTGGCGGCGCCTGTTGGGTGCCTTGTGGTCAGGCCGGTCTTGGGATTTTGAAGAGAACAGACGTGAACAGGACTGCGTCTGGCTTCATCATCCATCCTCTCGGGGCGGGAAAGTCTGTTTTCTTGCCCTCAGGAAAACCCACTGCTGGAGAAACAGCAGTTTCCAGACTCTCTCTACCCACGTATCTTGGGGTTAACTCTGGTGTCCTTCACCACGTGAGAGCTGTTGTTCGAAGCAGCTGGAGGAGTGAGATCCTAGAGGAAGGAGGAACCTTTAAGCAGGGGCCACACCTGCCCCAAGACTCCTGGCCCCAGGTGTCCTCACACAACACCCAGGGGTCCTCAGGACCCCGGAGCTGACTGGCACCTGCTGCGGAAGAGGATGGCCTGGACCTGCCCTGTGGACGGAGGGATCGCTGCATCCCTTCCTCCACCATGTCAGTGTGACGGGCCGCGCGTGCCATCTGCAGCCTTCACTGGGTAAAAGTGAAGGTCCCTCACCTGGATCTTTTCCACCGTATCTTGAGATCAAGTGGTTAGGAATGCTTGCAGGGTCTTGCCTCATAGTGGAGAGAAACAGCGGAACAGCCCCTTGGGTTGGTTTCTGGATGGGGAGGATGTAGCCCTCATGCCTGGTGTCTACAGAGTCCAGCTTGGGGACGCGATTGCAGCCAGGGGCATAAACGTGACCGTGCACACCTGGCCTTTCATTTTCCCTTTTGGAGGTTTCAGATCACGATCAGCCAGCTCATGTTTGAAATTCTCTGAGGAGAATTTGGAAGAGAAAAAGGACAAAACAGCATTTTGCTTTTGTTTTTTTAACCAGGGACATTTTTCTTCCTACTTTTTAATCATTGAAATTAGATTTAAGCAATCAGAAAATAAGCCTTTAGACCTGCGCCAGGTTGTCCTCAGGTCTGTGCCCCTCCCGGACCTTTCTGCAGAGATGAAGCAGGTGCCCGGACAAGGTGGTGAGCACAGCTGGGTCCCAGTGCCAGCCACTGAGGGTGGGCATGAGATGCGCAGGCAGCCTCGTGGCAGGCTCTGCAAGTCAGCTGGAGAACACGCCACACGTAAACAAAAGACATGTATGAAAAACCACACAGGAGCCAGGACGTGTAACAAGTTCTGAACAGTAGCAGCAAAGGGATGAGTTGAACACTGAGGGGTGAGTGTTTGTGGGGTGGTCTCGAAGGCCTGTGCCCTGATGAACACCAAGGGGTGAGTGTGTTTGTGGGGTGGGAGTCAAGGCTGTGGAGCTTGTGTGTTGGGGGAAGAGGGGCGGGTGGAGAAGCACAGCCTCTGCTGTGAGGGGCATGGGTGTGGCCCTGGTGTCCCCAGAGTGTTTGGGACCTGGACTGTGGGTTGGCGATGGGTATCACCCTGTCCTGGGCAGGCTTCGTCCTTCAGGGCTCCATGTGGTGGGGCAGTGGTTCTCGGGACGGGCCTGCTCTCCAGGGCCGGGCATTGGTGTTTGCAAAGCTCCCTGGGGACTGACAGCAGTGGCCCTGAGAGCGCCTGTGGGGTGGTCTGGGCACCTGCAGGTCTGACCTGAGGGATGGGATGGGGTTTAGCTGAAGACAATGAAAGGGGGAGATGTCCCAGCAGGGGCCTCTGAGCAGGGATTTCAGGTTGGAGGGAGGCAGGCGGCCCCTTCCCAGGGGAATACCAGGGCAGGAGGGATTTCCCCAGGGAGCTGAGGCCCAGGCAGCAGCAGAACTGGGCGACAGGATGCAGTGTGAACAGTGGCGTGGAAAGCGACATCCCTGGTGGAGCCACCGATACCGTTTATTTTTTATTTTATTTTTTTTGAGACGGAGTTTCACTGTTGTGCCTAGGCTGGAGTGCGGTGGTGCAATCTCAGCTCACTGCAACCTCCGCCTCCTGGGTTCAAGTGATTCTCGTCCCTCAGCCTCGTGAGTAACTGGGATTACAGGTGCCGGCCACCACGCCTGGCTAATTTTTGTATTTTTAGTAGAGACGGGGTTTCGGCATGTTGGCCAGGCTGGTCTTGAAATCCTGACCTGAGGTGATTCGCCGGCGTCGGCCTCCCAAAGTGCTGGGATTACAGGCGTGAGCCACAATACGGTTTATTTAAGTAAACTGTTGCTGTCTTTATTCCTAGGGAAGGGGTCCTGCGGGTGGGACGCCAACAGTGGGAAGTAGCAGTGAGCCATAAATGTGCTGAAAGACAGCACGGAAAGGCACCACAGGTCACCGCCTGGGAGGGGAAGGGCTGCCGGCAAGTGACTCTGAGGCTTCGGTTGGAAATGCAGCTACTAGTTTTCTCTTTACATTTAAGATTCTTCCCAAAAACTTCGTGTAAGTTTCTTTGCCAAATTTTCAGTGAGGAATTATGCTTTAAAGTTTCTGGAACTCGGAGGACATTCTCTACTTAGGGGATTTAGAAATGTTTTTAGGTAATCTGAATAAGCAATCAGCACTGATTTTGAAAGTTTGCCAGTTCGGCGAATTAGATACTGAAACCTGGAGAACTAGGGACGTCTATGTCTTTGAAACAGGAGTCTGAATGTCGAGGGGAAAACCTCGGTTGTTGTTGTTTTTCTTTTCTTCAGCAGCAGAAGTTGATAATATGTTTTGCTCCTGCGACCCTTTATTCTGTGTCAGAGTTATAGAAGAAGGTTCCTTGTGTAAGTGAACCCTGATACAGTGGAAATTGACCGGAGAAGAATGAATTTAGTTTCAAACATACTATCTTCACTGCAGAATAAATACCACGAAGGTTGTAACTAGTTATTTCGGTTTTGTTCAGAGCAACAGTTCTTAAGTCTTTCTGCAGCATGACCTCATCGTGCTTTTAAAATCTTTTTTCTGCAGCCTCATGTTTGACTGTTGGAGATTTATCCTGTGCAAGAGACCTGGAAGCAACAGTTATTCTTCCCCACAACGGCCCAATGAGGCCAAAAAGGAGGAAACGGATCACCAAATTGATGTGTCTGACGTCATCAGGCTTGTTCAAGACACACCGGAGGCGACGGCCATGGCCACAGGTAGGCGCCTGGTGCTGCGGCCTCATTTGATTTTGCAGGTCTCACTGCTGATCAGACCTGTGCTGTTCTTTGCTATTCCGGTCCTTTTAGAGATTGACAAGGTTTAGATCCTGGGAATGCATGACCCCCCAGGTAGCAGGCTGTGGGAGGGGCCTCGAATGGGTTCACGTGGCTTTTACCTGCCCAGGTCCAAGTTGGGACGACTTGCCTCAAGATGTGTGGTCATTTGTTTGACTTGGCATTGGTTATCTAAGTGAGTATTTTAAAATGAGTTTGGCTCCGGTTAGAGATCATGAGAAATGTTTCTTTGGGTTCCAAATAAAGCACAGTATACCTGAAGGGAACAATTTGTAGGCTTTGCTTCATTCTTTAGAAACAAAAGAGCTATTGTCTGAATTTGTATGTTTTCATATTAACATGGCAAAGCCTCAGCTGGTCTCCAGACCAGTGCCCCTGCCTGGGCGTCTGGAATTGGCTGTACCCCGAGGTGAGAGCTGGGCAGGCCTGGGGTGTGAGTGGCCTCTCCAAGCTCAGCCTGACCTCCTGATCCAGGCCAGACAATGCTTCTCTCTCCAGCCCCTGCCTGTCTGAATGTTCTGCATGTATTTTCTAACCTGAGCAAGGGGCTGAGTTCTCTGTTCCTAGTTTTGCCTGCATTTAATTATTTGTTGCCATTTCTTCCCAAATTGATTCCAAAATTTGTCACTAGACAAACCCAGTGTGGGCACTCACCACTGAGGGCAGGCGTGGATTTGATGGCCGGGTGCTGGCCTGGCATTGCAAAATCCATCCTCTGGCTGGACAGGACGTGCAGGCTTCCAGCACCAATGGGGTGGCCACTGAGCTGAGAAGGGATTTTGATAATTCTGCTGCCTGCTCTAAATCTGGTGCTTTTCTGGGCCTTGTCCTGAGCTGGCATTTGCGCTGATTAGTGGAGTCTTGGGAGTTGCTGGGTCAAGGCATCATTCTGAGACTTTCGCATTCAGAGTCCATCCTGTCCCCATCCCACGGCTGCTGCCCTGAGGGCTGGTGCCCAGGAATTCCCTCCTGTTTCGTGTCTTCAGGTGAGAACTGCCCTGGCCCTGTCTTCAGAGCTCAGCTCTGTGTGTCTGCTGCTGTAGAAAGAGATTCCACCTGGTGACTGCCGAGTGTCTGTGGTTCCCTGGCCCAGTGGTTCTGGGCCACAACTTGTGTAGACTCTTGCACTTGGAAACGCAGGCTGTTGGTTTAGAGCTGGCTGGCTGGGGGGCTGCGTTTCGGTATAGTCACCCCAGTCAGGGTATGTGCTTAGTTCTGCGGGATTAAGAATTTGATTTCCATCACTTCCCTTGTCAGTGACTGTCACGAATGAGAGGTGAGGACTGAGCCTCTTGGGACCTCTCACGGACTGAGAACCAGGTGCTCTCATTATTCCCTGGCACACCGCCTGCTTCTCTGGGATGTACACACCTGAGAAACCCTGTGAGCGAGGAGACAGCTACTTCCTACAACAGTGAAGCGGGGCTGTCAGGACAGTGCTGCACACAGCTTAGCTGTTGTGCAGGGGGCTTCAGAAGAGGGCAGGAGTGAGGGGCTACTTAGCGCGTGCAGACAGCTGGCTGCCCTGACCTCTGCAACTGGAAGGTTGCTGAGTCTTCCCGCGCTCAGCTTGGCTGTGAATTAACTGCCCGTGGCCACTCAGAACCTCGGACTGGTGCCTTTCCCTGAGCGCCCAAGTCTCGCGTGGACCAGCTCTGGGGACTGAGGAGCTGGCCGCGGTTAGGGTTAGGGTTAGAGGTTAAGGTTAGGGTTAGGGGTTGGGACTGGGGTAGGGGTAGGTGTTAGGGGTAGGGGTAGCGTTTGGGGTAAGGCAGATTTAGGACTAGGGTTAGGGAACCCTCACAACTGAACCAAGTGCTCCTATTATTTCTCAACGTACCGAGCTCTCCCAGGCTCAGGAGCATGTCAGGGTCCACCGTGCACCAGCCGTGGAGCAGAGCCTGGGCCCACGCTCTGGCTTTGTTCCTGCCCCTGCTGACCCCACAAGCTTGGGTGGGTTGAGAAGCCTCTGCAGTGTGGGCAGCAGTAGTAGCATCCAGGCAGCTGCTGTGAGGAGCCCAGACATGTGGCTGGTCAGAGCACCCACTTAGCAAGCCGTGGCTCTTAATAATGTCACATCTGACTTCTTCCTCCCCTAACTCGCAAAACCTCTCTGATCCCTGAGTCCTGGAGGCCCAGGGCTGGCTTTACCAAGAAAGCCCTTTAGGCAGCTTCCCTCCAACCCTGGACTCCAGGGGATTGGAAGATAATCTGCTTAGAGTTCTGAGCGGTGAAGCCCTTCTGGCTGTCCTTGCCTCGTCTGCTCTGTGGAAAGAGAAGCGCACGGCGTGGACTGCGGCCTGCGGGAGAACCGCACTCGGCTCTCAGGCCCTGCCTGCACCACACCTGCTCCGTCTCCAGGTGACCTGGGGCCTTGGCAATGTCCTAGCCCAGCTGGCTGGAGACAGTTGGTGGTGATGAAACCTGTTTGTATCAGAACAATTTCGAAATCAGTGATAGTTTTTTTTGTCATAAAATAGACACCCATGAAATGTACCATTTTAACTACTGTCAAGTGTAGAGTTCCCTGGTATGAAATATACTCACACTGTTGTACAACCACCACCAGTGTCCATCTTCAGAACTTTCTCATCTTCTCTGAAACTCTGTCCCCATTAAACACCCGCTCCCATTCCCCCTGTTGGAAATAAGAACTCGGAGTTGCAAAGAAAACGAGCACGTAAATAAAGGATTTCTCAACAAGGCAAATTTACTTCTGCAGAAGGGTGCTGCTCACTCTTCTGGTCGCTGCAAGAGCACACCGAACAAAGGAGGAGAGGGGGTTTTATCCCTAACGCAGCCAGTCCCTGCTACTGTGTCCAGTCCCCATTGGCTGGAGTCAGACTACACAATCTCAGCTGATCCTGATTGGCTACTTCAAATGGAACAGGGGTGGGGGCTACAGTGGTGGGAAGAGCAGTTTCAGAACTAAAGGCACCAAATAAGGAATAGATGTGGGTTGTTACAGATTGGGAATGGATGTGGGTTACAGATTGGGAACGGCACGAAGTTTGTTTACCGTAACTAGGGGCAAGGAGGCAAGGAAGTTAGGCTTTGAGCATAAAGGACAAAGACGAGGGATTTGAACAAGTGGAACTTTTGAAGAGGATCTCACTGTATCCAACACCCCTGCCCCCAGCTCGACACCCACCATCCTACTTTCTTTCTCTATGAAATGGACAACTCTAGGGAGCTCATGTAACTGGAGGTTATTACACTGGGCATAACATTCTGAGGTTCATCTGTGTTGTACCGTGTGACACAATTTCCTTCCTTTTTAAGGCTGAGTAATATTCCATAGTGTGGGTGGACCACATTTGTTTCTTCACACATTCATCCACGGACGTTTGGGTCACAGCCGCCTCTGCTATTGTGAATAACACTCCTATGAACACAGTGTGCAAATACCTGTGCAGGCCCCTGCTTTCAGGCCTTGGGGTTGCCTCCCCAGAAGTGGAATTGCCGCATCATGCAAGTATTTATTTTGAAACCATGATAGAAGGTGATTCCCCCTGGTTCTACCTTTATTTTCCTGCTGGGCGATGAACAGTGTCCCGTCCAACTTCCCTGTTCTCAGTCAACAGACACTGGTCTTTGAGAAGGTCACAGGAGGCCTGGGTCCTGCTGGGTAAACATTGATGAGCTTATTTTCCAGCTCGCTCGGTGCGGTCTGAAGCTGCTCTGTTTGCTCTTGGTTTCCTTCAGGCTTCTTCATTTCAGCTATCGTGACAGTGTTCCACCACATTGTTTCAGTGACTCTGCGATTAACTGTTTCACAGTCAGCTATGGAAGGGCCTCTAATCCGAGGGGACACACTGCAGACAGGCCTCCTCAGGGCTCCTGCCTGAGCCTGCAGCGTTTTGTAAGCTGACTCACTCCACTAAAGGTCAGCTCTCACAGCTGTGCTGCAGGATTTGCAGGTGAATGGGGAAGGCGTGGCCAGCATCAGCTCCCTGTGGCTTCTGGCGCTCACCCTCTGCAGGGCCTGTCTCACTGAGAATGGCAGGTGCCCACAGGAACATGCACACACGCATATGTACACACACGCACACACGGTGCAGTTCCATGGGGTGCGTGTGGAGCTTGTCTGGCTCTCCTCTCCCTGGCAGTGCTTTCCTATCAAAACACCAGTGCCCGCTCTGCCGTGAGTGCGTGGTCTTGCTTTTCAGTGGTGCGTAATGCGTTCTGGCTCTGGTGGGCCAGGTGAGAGCAGAGGCCTGGGAACATGTTGTTCAGCCTCTTTGGAAGGACCGCTATCATCTTAGAATTGAGCGTGAGAGAGCAAGAGGGTTCGCCCACAACTTCCTTGCGCAGCAGAGGTGAGGTGCCCCCGGCACAGGCGAGCACCTCTAGCTCTAGGGTGGCTTGTGGGGCCTCCTGTTAGAAACTCCATCTATCCCCATTGGTCAGTGGTGTCTTTAAAGATGCCAGTGATTTTCGTCCCAGCAAACCTTTGAGCATCACACTGTTCAGGTGCTGGGCAAAGCTTTGAGGATAAAAGAACAAGTGGAAGACAATCCCTGACTTGGGCTTAGGGTGAAGAAGAGCAGCGAAGAAACAGACACATTTGCCGCCTTGGGTGGAGTCGCGACATTGCTGTTTCTATGTCAGAAGCCTTGGAGCATGGATGATTCCATGGCTGGACCTAATACTTCCATGCTTTATGGTAGGAGATTACACAGGATTCTGAGGGGGGACCTTGTCTCCACCTGGGGGCACGCGGGAGGGTTGGGAAGCACTTCGGGAAGGACCAAGACTTGCCCCAGCCTTGAGAAGTGATGGGGCTGCAGCATTCAGATATGAGTCTCACAGAGGGGTTTGCAGAAACAATTAGCTGGAGCTGAAAATGTACTTTGGGGAAGGGGAAAATGACCACAAGAAACAGATACTTGGAAGGAAATTGGCTTTTTGGCTATCCACAGTGTTTCTGGCATGGGTCATAGTCGTGGCTTGGTGGAGAATCCTCGGTGTTTGTGGCATGGATCGTAGTCATGGCTTGGTGGAGAATCCTCGGTGTTTCCAGCATGGGTCAGTCGCGGCTTGGTGGAGAATGGCTGAATCCTGGCAACTGTGGCCTTTGCAGGGGCTGTAGTTGTGCATTCGTGAATCTGACGGGGGAAGATGTGTTTCTTCACATCTTCAGGCTCCTTCTGTGGTTGGGTGCTAGCTGTTGTATGCTGATGGACTGGTTTCTCTTGGCCCACAGAAAATGTTCTTTAATAATTTGGTAGACTCTGGACTTGAAACTTCCTGGTTCTTCATGCAGTTCTCAAAGCTCATGATTTTCTTGGGAGATTCATTGCTTTCTCCTTGCATGCCATTTAGTGTTGCAGAAAACAGCTCTGAGAAAAGGCGATCTCAGCAGCACGCCGTGTTAAAGAACAGCGCATGTTGGGAGAATGAGCACCCACTGCTCCCTCCACTCATCTTTTCTTTATAGTTCTGAGTCTCGAGTGAGACGGCCTCTGAAGATGAACATGTTGTTTGTGGAAATGGTACTTGCAGTGTGGCTGTCAATGATTAACTTCTTGTTTTCAACCTTTCCTGATTCCTCAGCATCTTTCTACTTGGACTTTGTGTATTACTCAGGAAGCTGGCAGGAATTCCTAATTTTTTTAAGACATGTGTTCAGTGCATATGAACCTCCAGACATTTGGGAACGAGTTGTGTTACTGGTTAATGTTGGAAGCATGGCTGGTATCTGCTCGTGTCCAATGCCAAGGGTGTGGGCAGCTTCCCAAGGCCAGGTGAGATGCTGGCATGGGGGCACAGGTGCTCTGACTCACCAGGGCTCCTGTGTTAGGGGGATGGGGTGGACCACCGCCCCAGCTTGCACAGGGGACCTCTGGTCTCCCAAGCGCCCTCTGATTCAAGGGTGCCTAAATGGACTGTTCTGAATGGAATTGGCTGCAGTATTTTTCATCTTTTAATTAAAATGGATGTGGCGGATTACCTGAAACCAGGAGTAACTGTTCTGAGCTGCTGGAGAGACTCCTCAGGTGAACGGAAGGTGTCTGAAGACAGCAGGCAGCTTCTCTCCCAAGAGCCCCTTCTCAGAGCCAGAGCCGATTTTGCATGCCCCAGAGCACACATGATTCTGTGGGTGTTTTATCAGGAAGTTAGGGGTTTCTGCCTGAGTGCTCTACAATATGTGCTCTATGATTAAAGTCGGATTTCTCCTCTGAAGAAACTGTGTTTGACATGACAGAATCAAAGGCAAGCATCACTAGTCACCAGCGTGTCAGACACAAACACCAGGCTCATGTTTTTTGTTTTGTTTTGGTTTTTTTTTGTTTTTTTTTGAGACAGAGTCTCACTCTATTGTCCAGGGTGGAGTGCACTGGCATGATCTTGCATCCTCTGCCTCCTGGGTTCACGCCATTCTCCTGCCTCAGCCTCCCAAGTAGCTGGGACTACAGATGCACGCCACCGCAACTGGCTAATTTTTGTATTTTTAGTAGAGACGGGGTTTCACCATGTTAGCCAGGATTGTCTCGATCTCCTGACCTCGTGATCCGCCTGCCTCAGCCTCCCAAAGCACTGGTATTACAGGTGTTAGCCACCGCGCCCCGCCCATGCTTATGTTTATCCATGCTGCTCTCGGCTTTGCCGAGGGGATGATCTGGGTAGGGGGATTCACTTGGTTTGAACTGTTCCCACTGCAAAGAAATTCTCTCCCTCCTGCTTGCCTCATCCGCTTCTGGGTTAAGTCCAGGACTGGCAAAAACACTGCCTGTTCCCGAGGGAGCCCCTGTAACCAACCTCTCCCCAGATGTCTAATCCCTTGCTTGTGATTCCAGCAGAGGTCTCGGCATCTCGTCCACAGTGAGCTGGTGTCCTGCCAGTCTCGGGAGGCACTCGGCAGTGTGAGTACATCCTTCACCTCTGTGTCTACAGACCCGGCCTCCCCGCCCAGCATGGGTTGAAGCCAGGCTAAGGCGTTGATCCCAAGGGGCTGTCTGCAGGGGTTTGGGGCAGGCCTGAGCATTCACCCCAGCGTCCTGTGCAAACGTCTTCGTCAGGAGCGCACTTGGGAAGTCCTACACTAGCGCAGAGGGTGCGCAGCCAGCGGGTCTATCAACTTGGATGCAGGTAGTGCTCAGTGGCATTTGGAGGAGAGTCTAATAACCAAGAGGATGAATCTCTTTGAAGGATCTGATGGAAACAAGAAATGAAGAGGGTTGTTTTGTTTTGTTTGTTTTATGAGACAGAGTCCTGCTCTGTTGCCCAAGCTGGATGGAGTGCAGTGGTGCAATCTCAGCTCCTTGCGGCCGCCGCCTCCTGGGTTCCAGCTATTCTCCTGCCTCAGCCTCCCAAGTAGCTGGGATTACAGGCATGCACTTTGACACCCCGGCTAATTTTTGTATTTTTAGTAGAGATGGGGTTTCACCATGTTGTCCAGGCTGGTCTCAAGCTCTTGACCTCAAGTGATCCGCCCGCCTTGGCCTCCCAAAGTGCTGGGATTACAGGCATGAGCCACTGTGCCTGGCCACGAAATGAAGAGATTTTACTACCTGAACCTTAAAACTGTTCCTGAGAAATCACCAAGAAGACTGACCAGCAAATGAAAACCTGGAAAAAAATTGCAACAAAGGATAGATATTTATCTATGCATCTGTCTTACATAGCAGAGTGAAAAGGAGGCACACGTTCATAGAAAGTGAATATAAAGCTTGCACAGAAATAGGCTGACCTGTTCAGTTTAAAGAAATGTAATGCTGACCACAAGGTCTCTTTCTCTTTCCATTTTTATGGCCAAAAATTCCAAGCCTGCTGGTAGGAATGCCAGTCCTTATCGATATACTGGAAAACAACTGATGTCAGTAAAAGTCTTCAAATATTTTTAGTTTTCGTCAGCAATGTTCACTTCTAAGAATTTAAAAGAAGAAAATGATAAAAATATTGTCACAAACATTCATGAACAAAGGTGATCATCACAGCCGTTATTTATAATTATGAACACTTGCAGGAAAGCAAAATTACAGCAGTAAGGGTTTGGAAATGATTTAGTTGTTGAGATCATAATTCTCCCTGGCACATCTTACACTATAATAAGTGAAATTGCCAGTTATAAAAACGATACACAGTCTTCAATTTTGTAAACACCAAATATGTGCAGTTTTGTAAAAGACTTAAGATATGCACCTAAATATAAATGTTTTTAATCATACATGTGCCATTTGTTGTTCTTTTTGTTTTTCTGCATGAGGAAACCTTCTTATCTATGTCAGAATAAATGCTTCTTAGAAAAGGAAATTAGACTGAAAACAGGCACGAGGGGGGCTCGGGCTTCCTGCCCCCCGGTCCCCTGGTTTGCCGCTGACGCTAGTGGAGAGCTCTTCTCGCCTTCACCTTCCTGGTGGCTGTCTCGCCGGGACTGTGCCGCTGGTGACCTGGGGGGTGTTAATTACCTAACACTTTTCAAGGGGAAAATATTTCGTGGGAGAATTCGTCTGAAATTCTGCTGGAGGCACCTTGGAGAAACAGCTGCGTGTAAATGAAGCCGCAGCCAAAACGCAGGCCAGGGGGCCCAGCACTTTCCCAGAATTTGGGGGGTGGGGGCGGGGCGGGGGTGGGGCTGACTCTCTCGCCCCTGCCCTGGGACCTGGCCGCTCCCCGGCGTCAGCTGGTGCATGCATGGTGATGGAGCTGGTGTTGAACCCCCGCGGGTCTTCGGGAGCTCGTCCTGGCGGTGGGTGGCGAATGCCAAGGCCCCCTCAGGAGCCTAAGCCCAGCTTTATTTTCCATACCATGTCAGTGACTCCAGAAGACCCAGAGGCTGGGTCTGGTCAGAGGTGATGGCCAGAGGGAGCCCGTTTGCAATGTCCCACGGCCAGGATGGGTCTGGCTGGCGGAGCCCTGTGTCTACACACGTAGCCTTGGGTCCCGGGGTCTGTCTGCAGCTCCGCCCGGCACCGTCCATGCAGGGTGTAGACCCAGACACTCTCCTGCCTGGGAGAGCGGCCCAGCCGCTAGTCCTGTGCGCCCACCAGGTTCTTCTCTCCCAGCGTGGCCGCCATGTTGGCCGTGATCCCCGGATCCTGCCTGCTGCAGGCTCCTCTGGGAATGGCCCGCCCACCATGCTCCTCTGAAACCCTCCCTCACTTCCAGAGACCTGGGCCCCGGGCCTCACCCAAGCCCCTGCTGTGGTCACCCGGGCTGCAGGCGTCCTCTCAGGTGTCTCAGCCGTGGGCCCGGCACCCCCTTCTGTGTTCACCTCCTTCCCCGAGGCCGAGGGCGCGGCGGGCCTGCGCCAGCCTTTCCTCACAGAATACCCGGGACCTCACACGGATGCGCTGAGCAGCGATTTCTTCCGTCTTCCTCTCTTCCGACTTCTTTCCTTCTAGAAACAAATGTGATCTTTGGTTACTGGGTTTTCCCTAAACATTACTGAGCTGTGTCATCAGAACTTAGACTTCAGGTACCTCAAGGAAAAGAGGTTCTGTTTAGCAGCAGAGAAGAAAAAGGCTACACGCAGGCTAGGTGGCCAATCCGCCAAGAATAGGAATGAGATGAACTTTGAATTCTTTTTAAAAAGAAAAAACAATGTCTTCATTGAGTAAGTTCTACCCCACCCTCACCAAGAGTCACGTGGCTGGGGAGGTGGCCGTGCATGTGGCCCAAGTCCCTTGTTCTGTGAAGTTTCCCATCCCCGGGCCCAGCAGTCACATCCTCAGAGTGTCAGTTAACATGTGTCTCTGTCCCCTGTGTTTAGTTTATTCAGAACCTGAACCAGCTCCAGGAGGACACCTTTCTCTTCAGGCAATTTCAGAGTGGTGCTCTCCATCTCAGGAGTGGGTAATGTCTGGGTGTGAGTGTCCGGGGACATTGGCAGCCACAGGTCATTGTTGCTTAAATCTATTAATTTATTCCTTTTTTTTTTTTAGATAGAGCCTCGCTCTGTCACCCAGGCTGGAGTGCAGTGGTGCAATCTGGGCTCACTTGCAACCACTGCCTCCTGGGTTCAAGCAATTCTCCTGCCTCAGCCTCTCAAGTAGCTGGGATTACAAGCGCACGCCACCACACCCAGCTAATTTTTGTATTTTTAGTAGAGACGGGGTTTCACCATGTTGGCCAGGCTGGTCTCGAACTCCTGACCTCAGGTGATTCACCCGCCTTGGCCTCCCAAAGTGCTGAGATTACAGGTGTGAGTCCACCATGCCTGGCCAATTTATTCTTAAGAGCTGCAAATGTCCTCATTGTGTCATTTCTTTTTTATTTATTTGCTGGAAGTCACCTAATAAATATCCCCATATATATTTTATATCCTTCTTTTCTTATATAAATGGCTTGTGTCTTTGTGTGGCTGTGTGTGTGTCACATGTCTGTGTGTGTGTCTGTGGTGTATCTCTGTGTGTGTATGTATGTATGGGGTGTGCCTGTGTGTGTGTCTGTAGTGTATCTGTGTCTGTATGGGGTGTGTCTGTGTGTGATTGTGTGTGTGTCTGTGGTGTATCTCTGTGTATGTATGGGGTGTGTCTGTATGATTGTGTGTGTCTGTGGTGTATCTGTGTCTGTATGTATGGGGTGTGTCTGTGTGATTGTGTGTCTGTGGTGTATCTCTGTGTCTGGGTGTGTCTGTGATTGTGTGTCTGTGGTGTATCTGTGTATATGGGGTGTGTCTGTGTGATTGTGTGTGTGTGGTCTATTTCTGTGTCTGTATGTATGGGATGTGTCTGATTGTGTGTCTGTGGTGTATTTCTGTGTCTGTATGTATGGGGTGTGTCTGTGTGATTGTGTGTGTGTCTGGTGTATCTCTGTATGTATGGGGTGTGTCTGTGTGTGATTGTGTGTGTGTCTGGTGTATCTCTGTGTCTGTATGTATGGGGTGTGTCTGTGTGTGATTGTGTGTCTGTGTTTATGTGTGTGTGTCTTTGTGTGATTTTTTGTGTATATGGCAAACCCAGAACAGAACATTATCACTCACCTCACCTGGCAAAACAAAAAGCTTTCAGAGAGATGTGTGGCCGTCATGATGTCTCAGCTGCAGGCATTTTTCAAAGTTATGTTTGATGCAGCTGGCACCTTTCTTCTCGGGGACAAATGTGATCTTTGATCATTGAGTTGAGAATGAGTTTACTCAATAATTTTAAAATGCCTCGGTGTGAGAGGATGGGCTGCTAGTAAACATTTGTGGCAAATATGCGTTGTCTTTTCCTCCTTCAAGTGCATGGGGCAGGCTGCTTCTCTGCACGTCCATCTGTGGGTCAGTCTGTCCTGCCACCTCCCTTGCCCCAGGGCTTAGTGCCCTGTGTGGATCACGGCTGCCCCAGGGATGCTGGGGAAGGATTCAGCCCAACAAATAGATTCGTTGACGTCCTCTCAACGAATGTGTGCTTTTAAAAATGTCTTTAATTTTGCACTCCATTTCATACAACAGGTGCACATTTAAAACATTTATTTTTAAACAGCTCTGTCTTCTCAGCACTGCAGACTCTTTCTCGCTCACTTGACAGGCAGACGTTGGGACTATGTTCTTTTCCTGCCAAGAATCCATCAGCCCCCCAATGCCTGCACCTCGAGTCCAGACTCCTTAGCGTTGCGTTGGGACGTAATTCCCCGTTAGCATCCCCAGCCCCTTCTCCCCCTGTGAGCCAGCCTGGGTTCTTTTCTTTTTCCTTTCTTCCCTGTTTTCCTTCTTTCTTTTTTGGGTTTGTAATAAGTAATATACAGTCTTGTGGTTAAGAAATCAAAATAATAAAGAAGATACGGCTTGAGGATTCTTGCTCTGCACTGGTCCTTCCGCCAGGACCTGGTGCGTCCCCCAAGAGGGCCTTGCCATGTGCGAGCTGAGACACATGTTCACACTTTCCTCCTTTTTTGTACAAAAGGTAGCACATGGTAAATAGCGTCTGCACGCTTCTCCCCTCGCTCTGTCTTCGGGACTACTCCACATCCATGAAGAAGCAGCATCCTTATTCTCTTGCACAGTGGGCAGTGGCTACACTGTATTCACTCGTCTCTGCTGATGGGCACTACTGTAGTGGTGCAATTAGTAACCTAGTATACATGCCCTTCAGCGTGTGTACTGGTGTATGGATCTCACATTCCCAGAGGCTGAGTGAAAGAATAAAGGCTTTTTGACAGTATTCCTCAGGTACTCACACACTCGCTCTGTGAGCCACGTGATCATGGGAGCGGCTCCCTGCAGAGGTGTCTGATGGGAGAGGCTGATGTCCTTGTCTGATGGTTGCTCCAACCTGAGAATGGTGAGCTGCTCTCCCAATGCAGACTTTCATCACTTGCATCTCATGCGTGAGATTGAACTGCTTCTCATTTATGTTTTTATCTTTGTTTGCCCATATTTTAGCTGGGTTGCTAATCTTTTAATGTTTTCTAGGCGCTTTTCATAAATTAGGGAGTTTAGCTGTAGTGATGTGAGTTGAAAGTATTTTTTCAAATCGTCATTGTCTTGACTTTCCTTTTTTTTTTTCTTTTGCCACTTAAAATATGTAGTTGAATCTCAGTATTTGGGGGCTTCTGGATTTTGAGTCGTAGTTGAAAAGGTCTTCCTATTCTGAGGTTATACAGGAATTCACCCATTTTTTTCCTAATATTTTATTTCCATTTAAACTTTTGACCCACTTGGATTGATTTTGTTGTATGGTGTCAAGTATGGGTCCAAGTTTGCTTTTCTGACCTGGGGATCCTAACATCGTTCATCAAAATCTCCATGTTGGCCGGGCGTGGTGGCTCAAGCCTGTAATCCCAGCACTTTGGGAGGCTGAGGTCGGTGGATCACAAGGTCAGGAGATCGAGACCACCCTGGCTAACACGGTGAAATCCTATCTCTACTAAAAATACAACAAATTAGCCGGGTGTGGTGGCAGGCACCTGTAGTCCCAGCTACTCAGGAGGCTGAGGCAGGAGAATCGCTTGAACCCGGGAAGCGGAGGTTGCAGTGAGCTGAGATTGCGCCACTGCACTCCAGCTTGGGTGACAGAGCAAGACTCTGTCTCACAAAAAAAAAAAAAAATCCATCCTCACTACACGCATCAGCAGTTGCCACCATTAAAATAGATTGAATTTTCATACATATTTGAGTCTGTTTCTGGACTCCCTGTTCTGTCTCATTTCTGCTTGCCTTCCATTTTCCCACACCCACTACTTTAATTACTAGGGCTGGTGGTCTCGTTTCACTGCTGTCCTTGGTAAGAGCTTCCTGGACACTCTTGCTAGTGTACCTTTTCCTAGGAACCAAAGTTCCTGTTATCTAATTACATGATTGCATGAACAAATCTGCAGATAATCATGGTTTTCTTTCTTGTCAATTTTTGTGCTTCCCATCTCGTCCCGAGTGGATTGCCCAGCATCTCCTGGACGTGATTAAGTAGTAGTAGTGATGTTCAGGTTTGGTGATGCTGCCTTCTGTAATATCCCTATTCAATATTATACTGGCCTTCAGGCTGAGATGGGTACTTTGTTGTTGTTGTTGTTGTTGTTTTAATTTTTTAAAAATTAAAAACAGGCCGGGCGCAGTGGCTCACGCCTGTAATCCCAGCACTTTGGGAGGCCGAGGCATGTGGATCACAAGGTCAGGAGATCGAGACCATCCTGGTTAACACGGTGAAACCCCGTCTCTACTAAAAATACAAAAAAAAAAAAAAAATTAGCCGGGCATGATGGCGGTTGTCTGTAGTCTCAGCTACTCAGGAGGCTGAGGCAGGAGAATGGCGTGAACCTGGGAGGCGGAGGTTGCAGTGAGCTGAGATTGCGCCACTATACTCTAGCCTGGGGACAGGGCCTCTGATTCCGAGGCGACTTTTCCCCTTTCATTTCCTATTTTAAGTATTTGTCCCTTCTCTCTTTTTCCTTGATTAGGTTAGCGGATAGTTTATCTATTTATTGCTTTTGTTCCCAGAAGCCATTTTCAAAATGTAGTTCTACTGATTTTCCAATTTCTGATTCACTGATTTGTGCTTTTGCCTCTACTTCTTGTCCTTTTCTTTAGAAAATCTTCTGAGCTCCTGCTTGACTCACTGGTGTTTCATCAGTCTTTGGGGAGGTGGTGGGATGAGTCTCCGCACGTCCGCGCTCTCGCGTGCCTCACCTGTGAGGTCCTCTCCCTTCTCACCCAGCGTCACGCCCTGACCCCTCGGCTCCCGTGTCCTCTGACTTCCTTGCACCAGCACCCTGTTGAGCTCCACCCCTGCACTGGGGTCTGTATAGGTGGCTGTCATGTGTGCCGAGCATAGCTCAGTATAGCTGCATGAAGCGTTCCACCGGGCAGACGGTGTTGATCCTCCAGTCTCTGAGCCACAGTGGTCCTCCGAGTGGTCCTTAGAGTGGTCCTCAGGGCCACTCCCCGAACAACCAGCTCACGCCTTGCTTCTCCCCTCGCCCCCAAGGCCTCTTCCCCATCCTCACTTCTAATGGGTGGACTGGATTCCTGCTTGACAGAGCTGAACCAGTTGGAAGAGCATCCCTGCCTGTCCCCTGCCTGTCCCTGAACCTCTGCTCTGCACCACATCCCTGCCTTCCTGCCGGACCTCTGAGGGTCCTGCACGCTCTCCCCACACTGGTCTGTGTCCCCATCCCTCTTCCCACTCCAGGGCAGTCATCCTCCCTCATCGCCAAGTCTGAGTTCTCCCCGGATTCCTGTCAACTCAAAGGTGCTGTCGTTTCTCCTGTCTAAACCTGCCTGATCTCTCCATCTGTACTCAGCCCCTCGGCGATCTCAGTCCCCTGGCTTGTGACCCACCTGAGTGTGATGATTCCTAGTCCACAGCTCCAGTCCGGACCCCTCCCCCGGGCACTGCACCGCCCTGCCTCCGCAGAGCCTCCACCCGCATCCTACAGGTCTCCCAGAGCCGCGTCATCCACTGCAGCTCCATCCACCATAGTTCACTGCACCTCTCCGTCCAGTTCCTTTGGCCAGAAACCCCATCGTCCTCATCTGTGTTTTCACTCATGCCCGTATCCGACCTCCCGGGAAATCCTGTTGGCTGTGCCTCCAGAACAGATCCAGAATCCAGCCAGGCTACCGCCCTGTCTCCCACTTTGAGGTCGCGCTGCCTCTGCGCCTGTCCCTCCCCACCGCCGTCTCGCAGAACAGCAAGCGGTGACCTCTCGAAGGTGAGTGCGGGCCCTTCTCTGCTGAAATCCTCAGTTCAGCAGGGTAAACACAGCCCCCTCCGGTGGCCCACCTGGCCCTTCGTGCCTTCCTTCCTCCCTCTGGGTGGGACCCTCTCCTGAGAGACCTCCACAGTCGGCCGCAGTTCCCCCTGATGTTCTTTCAGGCCCTCCTTGGTGTCTTCCTGTTCAGCTCTGACCTGGAGGTACTTCCACTGGATGGGTAGTTTGTGTGTTTGTAGGTTTCATTTCATGTGATTTTCCCTTCTCTTGTTTGCTGCGGGGGTTCTCCTTACTAAGGTTGAAGACTTACAAGAAAGCTGGCTTCTAGACCCTCTGGACTCTGACCTAGCCTCACCTGCCCACCCCCCTGCTCCAGGCCGGCTTGCGTCCCCAGGTGAACTCAGTCCTTTCAGGACACCTTCAGGGCTGAGCCCACAGTCCAGTACCATTTCCTGGTCTGTTTGAAGTCCCCTGGGACTTTGTATCTTTCCAGATAACTTGCCACTTTTTCTAACCAGTGGCATAATTATTTGAGGATTTGTCTTCACCTAGTTGGGTGTTAACCTCTTGAAGGCAGGACCTGTCTCTGAGTCATTGTGCTGCCTTCATAATTCCTAGCAATCGCAAATTAAGGGAACGCACTGTGTCCGGGAAGGCATCTGCGCGGGAGGAACTGAAGCTCCTGAGCGCATGTTAGGGATGAGGAGGGTCCCTGGAAACAGTGCTGACAGCCCCATTGAGGGGAGAACTGTTACTACCCTAACACTGGGGATGGGGATCACAGGAACGTCACGAGAACGTCATTTTGGGAAGCCAGCTTGGTGGAAGCTCCGTGTTGGGGAACTCCAGTAGACTGGGAGAGAGAGCAGGAGTAACTGACGCAGTTCACTTCCCCGTGGGGTTTCCCACACCTCGGCAAGTTGAGGGTGTGCAGGCCCTTGTCCTTGTTGGGTTGCATATGGAGAGAATGTCCATGGGGAGAGAGTAGGGAGGGGACCACACCCTGGAAAGGCCAGTTTGAAAAACCTAGGCCTGGGGGGATGCAGCCTGGGGGATGCAGGGGCGTGGGGTGGCTCCAAAGTCAGCTGCCTTGGAAGATTCCAGTGATGAACAGGGGCAGAGCTGGTGTCTGTCACTCAGCTGGCTGGCATTTCCTGCTTTTGTCTCCTGGGAGGTGCTGTGGATATAAACATTATATGCAGAGCAGCAGTGCTTTCTGGTTAGGGATGCAGCATTTTAATTCACTGAGCAAAAGTGGACTGGAGAGTCGTTTTGGTAAGAGACCTGACTGAAGCATCGGCCCAGACTTTCACGAGCGGGGTCCCATTTTCCCAGTGCAGGAGCTGAGGCCCATCTGGATTACACGGATTCTTGAAGTGCCCCATCCTCCGTGTCCCCACCTGTGGGCTCTGCCCCTGCGCTTCCCCGACGCGCGCCCCCTTCCACTGCACTTGCTGGCAGAGGCGCTGTTGAAAGGCTCTCAGACCTCTATGCTGACACCTGTGGTCTGTGGGCCCCGTGCCTCTCTTACTATTCCTTCATTCTCTTTCCTTGTGCCTAGCAACAATTTCATTAATTCAAATTCATTTACAAGATATAAAACCACACAATATAACTTTTAGTTTTTAGGCATTTTTTCAATTATATATTCTAACAAAAGACTATCAGGTAAGAATTTGCATTTTTTTTTTTTTTTTTTGAGACGGAGTCTTGCTCTGTCGCCCAGGCTGGAGTGCAGTGGCGGGATCTCGGCTCACTGCAAGCTCCGCCTCCCGGGTTCACGCCATTCTCCTGCCTCAGCCTCCCAAGTAGCTGGGACTACAGGCGCCCGCCACTACGCCCGGCTAATTTTTTGTATTTTTAGTAGAGACGGGGTTTCACCGTTTTAGCCGGGATGCTCTCGATCTCCTGACCTCGTGATCCGCCCGCCTCGGCCTCCCAAAGTGCTGGGATTACAGGCGTGAGCCACCGCGCCCGGCCAGAATTTGCAATTTTTATAATATTTAAATGAAATTTTTCTTTCAAAACTGTTAGGAATCACTGTTTTGTTTTAAAAAAAAATGCCTAGAAACGCCTTGAGAAAATAGAAAGCACATAAAGCCTGCAAATTCTGAGAGTAATTGTTATTAAGTGGGTGTTTTTCCCAAGAGTTTGTATTTGTAGTCTTTTCTTAGCTAGTTTAACATTTGTTCTTCATACCTACTAGACAGATTTTTTTAGTTACACTCTTGATAACAGTATTCATTCATTTTATCAGTACCATCTGTAACTCCAAAATGCAATTTTTAAAATTAAACTAAGTAGACCATGAAATGTATTTGAGATGCAATATCAAATTTTTCATGCTTTGAAGGACCCCAAAACCAGTGTAATTTCTCTTCCCTCAAATATCAAGGCATGGCTGAATTATGGATGTTTCAGATGTCTCTTTCCTTCTTTTCTTATGGTAGCGAGGCACCCCTCCTCCATGAAATCAGTGTTTTCCTGCATTTGGAGTGACTGTTAGGTTTCCTTTATCTCAAGCTGTGCTGTCCCTCCCACAGTTTGGAGTTTTTCTGGGTCTCAAGTTAGAATCAGGAAGGTTACCATGCTACCTGGACAGTTAGGTGTCTAAGGGAGAGAATCTGGCAGACAAGCCCGTGTTACCTGGCTGAACTGCAGAGTGAAGAGCTCACGTATGGGTACATGGCGGAGAGGTGGGAGGAGGCGTGTGTCTGTAGAGTACAGTTCTGTTGTTCTCTAACAGAAAACATAGAGTTTTTGTTGTTTGTAGTTGGTGCAAAATGCAGAAGAAAACTCTGCATTCAAAATCAGCTATGAAGAGTGATGTCTGTGTGTTGCTGCTGGCTTGTGTGTGTGTGTGCACACGCGTGTTTGTGATCAGTTATCTGATATTCATGGGGCACATTGTACCTGTTGAGCTGAGCTGAGTTCCTGAGATTTGGTTAAATGCAGAAAGACTAGAATTTACCATCTGTTGAAACTAGATGCCTGTGGATGGCCGGTGACCCCAGAACGCAGGACAGGATGGCAAGTAGCCTGCACATTGTATGGCCTGCTGCCCTGCGGTTACCGGGCTGCTCTGAAGCTGGAGGGGAGCAGTTAGTCAACAGTAATCCAGTCAGGTTGTGGGTGGGTGCCAGGGGGAGGGCTTGCAGGGAGAGTTGGGTTGTGGGTGGGTGCTGGTGGTGGGTGGGCGGGGGGCTTGCAGGGAGGACCCGACCGAGCTCTTCCAGGTGGACAGGATTCAGAAGGTGGAGAGGAGGAAGAGCCCCACAGGCTGAGGGCACAGATTGGCTCACAAAGAGCAGTGCAGCCACTCACTCTGCACAAGAGACACTCCTGAAAGAAACACAGCCATGGCCAGGCGCGGTGGCTCAAGCCTATAGTCCCAGCACTTTAGGAGGCCGAGGCAGGCGGATCACGAGGTCAGGAGATTGAGACCATCCTGGCTAACATGGTGAAACCTCATCTCTACTAAAAAAAAAAAAAAATCCAAAAAATTAGCCGGGTGTGGTGGCGGGCGCCTGTAGTCCCAGCTACTCGGGAGGCTGAGTCAGGAGAATGGCGTGAATCCGGGAGGCAGAGCTTGCAGTGAGCCGAGATTGCACCACTGCACTCTAGCCTGAGCGACAGAGCAAGACTCCGTCTCAAAAACAAAAAACAAAACAAAACAGAACAAAAAACAGAAAACAAAACAAAAAAACTGCCAGAAGAAGTTAAAATAGAAGGACGAATAGGGCAGGCTGGTCAAACCAAGTAAGAAAACAGAGGTTGCAAGTTTGATGCCTAACAACGCAGAATTCAGAGCAAAAGCCTTGAAGGATAAAGACGCCTCCATTGATAAAGTCTGAGATTTGCAGGGAGGCTCCACACACTGTTTACCTGTCAGCATCCAGGAGTGCAGCAATAACTTTAGTAAATCAGAGTCTATAGGATTTGTGTGGAAAACAATCAGGAACCAAACGACCTCCCACCTCCTAGTCTAAGATAGATCAAAGAAAATTCTGTCAAGACACAGAAACCCTGAGGGAAGTCCCATAGAGTCGGTCAACCTGCGAACACTGCTGCAAAATAAACCTTCCTGTTAGATACACGAGACACAATTTCTAGAAAACTGATTGTATTTTGGACGACAGAGACACCCTCAAATTCCCAGGGATATGAATAATACAGGAACACTGTCCTAGACGTTAAGAATAAAATCAGAAGGCTGGAAAAGAAACAAAACAAAAATGCCGCTAAGCAGCCTTTGAGTTGGAGGCCATGCCAGCTAAAGTGGAGAGTTCCTAAAAGTACAACACACAACTTAGCAAATCTATGAAATATGGCAGGAGAGAGTGTCAGGAGGATTATATCAATACTTATATCAGTAAAAATGTAAAAAGGATGCAAATACCTACATAAAAATGGTAGAAAAAGAACAATAAAACAAGCCACAAAAAGTAGATAAAAGCAGAAAATAAGGATAGAAATAATAAAAATAATAAATCTAAAAGCTGTTTTGAAAGAGACACATGAGGCCCCAGCTCACAGTGAATGGAGGAAAAGTCCAGAGGCCCAGAGCTGGAAACGTGTGGGCCGGGAGCAGCCCCTGCCAGAGGGCACTTTATATAGTAGTCGACTTTGTACAACCAAAACTCAATAAATTTGAAAGCGTAGAAGAAACAGATAGTTTTTCAGAAAATTACAGCTTTCCAAATTTGATACTGATAGAGCCAAAGTCTAGAATAAATGGGGAAAGGAAAGAGCTCTTCCCCGAAAGAGCAAGCCAGATTATTCCACACAGAACGTCTTCCAGATCTCTAAAGATCATACAATTTCAGTGCAACTTAAACTGCTTTGTGAGGTTTTCTTTTTCTGTCCTTTAATGTCACTTTATGTAGTGATTTCAACATTGATCCCCAAACCTGGCAACATAGTACTTTGGCAGAAATAAACTATGGACTGATCTCAATCTCATTTCTCAGCATTGAAGTAAAAATCTGAAAGCATTCACAACACATAAAAAAAAAAAAAACCCATCAGCCAGGCGCAGTGGCTCACGCCTGTAATCCTAGCACTTTGGGAGACCGAGGCGGGCAGATTGCCTGAGCTCAGGAGTTCAAGACCAGCCTGGGCTAAACGGTGAAACCCTGTCTCTACTAAAACACAGAAGAAATTAGCCAGGCGTGGTGGCACGTGCCTGTAGTCCCAACTACTTGGGAGGCTGAGGCAGGAGAATTGCTTGAACCTGGGAGGCGGAGGTTGCAGTGAGCTGAGATCGTGCCACTGCACTCCAGCGTGGGCGACAGAGCAAGACTCCATCTCTACAAACAAACAAACAAAAACCATCGTGACAATTAGGGGTTTATTCAAGGAATGCAAAGATGGTTAACATTAGAATCCATTAATGCATAGAGAGAAATCATGTAAGTTTCATAGATGTGGAAAAAGCACTCGACAAATGCGGTGCCTCTTTATGTTAAAAGAAATCCAGTCATAGGAATTGGTGGATACTTTTTTCTGTAACCTTTATTTTAACAATTTCAGATGTACAGAACAATGGCAAGGGTAGCACAAAGAATTCTCGTATATAAGACACTCAGATTCCTCAATATTATGTTTCACCATGTTTGCTTTCTTCTCTCATGTGTGCATATTACACAAATATACATTATTATTTTCTAGGTGTCAGAGAGTACGTGACAGACAGGCTACCCTTTTATCTCCATGAACTTCAGTGTTTGCTTCTTTTTTTTTTTTTTTTTTTTTTTTGAGACGGAGTCTTGCTCTGTCACCCAGGCTGGAGTACAGTGGCAAGATCTCGGCTCACTGCAAGCTCCGCCTCCTGGGTTGACGCCATTCTCCTGCCTCAGCCTCCCGAGTAGCTGGGACTACAGGCGCCCGCCACCACGCCTGGCTAATTTTTTTGTATTTTTAATAGAGATGGGGTTTCACCGTGTTAGCCAGGATGGTCTCAATCTCCTGACCTGGTGATCTACCTGCCTCGGCCTCCCAAAGTGCTGGGATTACAGGTGTGAGCCACCGCACCTGGCCAGTGTTTACTTCTTAACAAATATATTTGTTTGCTTATAAAACTAGAGTATAATTCTCCAAATTGTTTGTTTTTTGCCATTACTTTGAATGGCAAAACCCACAATTACCTTTGCAGCAACCTAATAGGTAATTAACTTCAACACACTCTTCTCTAATCACTGCTGTTTTGTATGTAGATCCAGAGTCTATGAGTTGTCCCCCTAAATGTCCTTTAAAGCAAAAGAAAATTCAGGAGCATGAGAATTTGGAGCAGGAGCTGCATTCAGTTGTCCTGTGTTTTATCTTTCTTTACTCTGGAGCAGCCCCTTAGTATTTCTTTGTTTCATGACACCGCCACTTTGGAGAGGGCAGGCCAGTTATGTTGTAGAACATTCCTAAATTGGGGTTTGTCTAATGTTTATTGCTAAATCCAGGAGATGCATTTTTGGCCCAGAAATGCTGATGTGTCCTTCCCAGAGCGTCCTATCAGGAAGCATACGAGACCGGTTTATCCCGTTACTGGTGGTGTTAAATTTGACGACATGGTTAAGAAGGGAGAGCTTCTGTAACATGACCTAAAAATACGCACACACATTATCCCCAAAGCCAGCATCCTACTCAGCAGGAAATGCTGGAAGCTCTCCCACTGAAGCCAAGAACAGAGTGAAGCTCCCCACAACCCCCCCACGATGTGTCGTCGTTAGAGTGCCCCCACACGCAGCTGGGCTACAGAGACAGCACAGACACGGGAGTTTACCTTTTCCTTTTCATTATCTCTATTTTCAATTTCTCCGTATGCAGTTGTTACATTTCTGGAAAACCCAAAATAATCATTGGATAAAATGCTACAAAAAAATAAGGGAATTAATAAATTTTATACCCTGCTGCTTAACATGTAGAAATCATAGGTAGGAACAAAAACCAAGGAGAAGATCTAATGGGAGAGATAATATTTATAGTAGCAAAAATAAAGTACCTCTGTTTTTAGCATTCTCGTTTAATAAATGCTGATACGAGGAAAACTATAAAATACTCCTGAGACACAGAAGACTTGAACACATGGAAAAGGTATATGATAGCTTTAGATAGGGAAGCTCCACATGACAAAGACATCAGTTCTCCCTGAATTAATGCATACACTTAAGGAGCCCCAATAAACACATCATCTTTTTCTTTCTCAGGGTGCTAGACAAGTTGATCATAAAACCCACTTAGAGAAACAAACATGAACACCTGAGAAAACCCTGGAGAGTATCAGAGGGGAATGGGCTGCCCAGACGTTAAAATTTTCTATACAGCCTCTTTAATGAAAATGGTGTGGATCCTGGCATAAGAACAAGGACAGGTGAATGGAACAGAATAAAAATCCAGAAGCAAATCAGGCTGCCTGGGGAAGATCCATGTAGCTCAAGGCAGCATGTAAATTTCGTGCTGGAAAAGATGACCTTGGTTATCAATGGTGTTGGGATAACTGGATAGCCTCATGGAAAAAGATGAAAGTCAGGTCTTCTTCACACCTTTCACCTGGATAAGTACCAGATGGACCTGTGATTTAAATGTAAAAAGTAATCCAATAGGCATATCCAATAAGCATATGAGAATGTGGTTGGCATCATGATTCAAGGGCAAAATGTACATTAAAACCACAATAGGGTACCATTCTTCGTCCACCAGAGTGGCTAAAATTAAAGACTGGCTATTCCAAGTGGTTGGTGCAGAAGTGGGATACCAGTGCTCACATTTCCTGGTGGGAAGGCATATTGCTATGACCACTTTGGAAAACATGGACAGGGTCTAAAGCTAAGCATGTGCCTGCCCTCCGATTCCACCCTAACTGTGCACCCAAAAGGAAGGAGTACTTCTGTACGTGTACGTATGTGGACGTTCACAGCAGCTTGATGCCCAGGAGCCCCACGCTGGACACCCTAACCTCTAGGAGCCTTAAGAGAAAACGGGTTAAATAAAGGGCATCATATTCATACCCCACAAAGCTACACGAGAAGAAATAAACCACTACAACATGCCTGCAGTTCACACATCAATCTCAAGATCAGGCAAAACTAGCTTCTCTGGTAGTGGTCATAGTATTAATGGCTGCTACCTCTTGGGAAATATTGGTTGGGAAGGGGCCAGGAAGCCTCCTGGGGTACTAGAAATGTTCTTTAGCTGACCTGGGCAGTGGTCACTGGGTACATACATACGTTTGATGTGATAAACTGCTCCGTGCATGTTCCTATATCTAGTAAAGGAATCTTAACATAAAGCAAAACCACACAAGAAAGCATTGCGTTGATTACATTAAACGTATTTTAAACTTTGCATGAGAAGAAAACAAGAAGCAAAGTGAAAAGTCCTGTGACAGACTGGAAAAAATATTGGCAATTATCAAAATGAAAGGTTGCTATTTAATATATGGTTTCTAAAGTAAAGAATAGCATAATTTTTATCCCTATAGAAAAAAAAATCTAGAGATATCAACCAGTAGTTCACAGAAAAAGAAATCCATCACAGTAGCCAAGATATGGGATCGGTCACAGATGAGGGGATAAACAGAACATGGTCCGTATCCACAGCAGAGGGCTGTACAGCCTGGTCTGTTTGCACAGCGGAGTGCGGTACGGCCTGCTCTATATACACAGCGGAGTGCAGTATGGCCTGGTCTATATGCACAGTGGAGTACTGTACGGCCTAATCTATATACACAGCGGAGTGCACTATGGCCTGGTCTATATACACAGCGGAGTGCTGCATGGCCTGGTCTACGTACACAGCGGAGTGCAGTACGGCCTGGTCTACATACACAACGGAGTGCTGCACGGCCTGGTCTACATACACAGTGGAGTGCAGTACGGCCTGGTCTACATATACAGCGGAGTGCAGTACGGCCTGGTTTCTATACACAGCGGAGTACTGTACGGCCTGGTCTATATACACAGCGGAGTGCTGCACGGCCTGGTCTACATGCACAGCGGAGTACTGTACGGCCTGGTCTACATGCACAGGGGGGTGCTGTGCCACCTGGTCGATATGCACAGCAGAGTGCTGTGTGGCTTCATCTATATACACACAGTGGAGTGCTGTATAGCCTTGGAAAAGGATGAAACCGTATCATTTGTGACAACATATATGAACCCAAAGGACATTCTGTTAAGTGAAATAAGCCAGGCACAAAAAGACAAATCCTGCATGTTCTCACTTACATGTGTACTCGCAGAAAGGGGAACTCATAGGAGCAGAGTGGCGGTCGCCTGGGGCAGGGGGCGGGGTGGGATGTGCTGGGAAGATGTTGGTCAGGGATTATTGTACAGTATGGTGACTATAATGAATTTCTGAAATTGCTAAGAGTAGATTTAAGTGTTCCCACCACTAAGAAATAAGCATATGAGTTAAGACATGTGCTAATTAGCTCGATTTAGCCTTTCCACTGTGCATACATACTTCAGACCATCATGTAGTGTGCTATAAATACAGTTTTTGTCAATTTAAAAGAAAAAAGATGCTAAATCACACTTACAGAGAAATATGAATTAAAAGCACACTGGCATACTGCCTCTTGCTAATCAGAAGTTTAGCTGGAGAAGTGGGGAGGGCTGAACTCTCCCGTGGCATGGCTGCGGCAAATGGCATGACCTCATCATGTGAACTTGGCAGTATCTAGCGAGGTCATAGACACGTTTGCCCTTTGACCAGCAATTCCACTTCTAGGAATCTGTCCCAAAAGTACTCTGGCAGAAATAGAGTTATTTGCAATTTTTTAATAGTCTTCTAGTCTTGATGTTGAACTGGAAGCATCTGTATAAGTCCAGTGTCTTTTATCGTAAAATACATGGTTTCTAGACCTGTCCATGGAAAAAACTGAACACAGAGAGCCCAGTTGTGGTCTCCTCATGTCATTCCCACTGAGAAGATCTGGAGGTCTTTGGATAAATGACCGGGTCTGGGGAAAAATGTTTCCAACGAGCCTACAACATCTTGTTCTACCAGCAAGTGCAAGACTAAAAGGTAATGAATGACTCTTTATAAAACATCAACACAATACAGTCAATTCCACAGCCTCTGATCAGGAAGCTGCTGGCATCACAGAAGGCGAGTTGGACATTAGCACCTCCCTTGGTGAACTGCTCTTGCCAAAAAAGTAAAAGTAAAAGCTGAACCAGAATCTGACCAGGCACCTAGATGTAACTGTCAATTTATAGGAAATACCGGGGACAGAGGCACATGATAAACACCTCCAAGGGGGCGTAATCGACAAAACCCACCTCATGTGAAGCTCTACATGACAAATGACCTGGTTTCTCCAACAACAACAACAAAAATACAAAGAAAAGAGAATCAGCAAGAAAACCTGTCTATCAAAAGAGACTCAGGAAATAGCAGCCAATTGCAGGCTATGGACTGGATAAGATTTTGATCCTAGTTCAAACAAAATGTGTCTAGAAAACACAGAGAAAAATAACAGGAGAAACGTTAACACTGGCTAGATATTTAATTCTGAATAATTATTAATTGTATTGTGGCTGTGGAATTGATTGTATTGTGTTTATGTGTATAAAAAGTCATTACCTTTTAGGAATGTTTACTGAACTCTGCACGTGTTAACAGTTCTGTGCTGTCTGGGGTTTGCCTTGGATTGATGGTGGTGGGCAGCCGTTGCTGGGGATGCGGGTGAAACGCGGCCGGCCGTGCACCAACGTTGTTGCAGTCATTGCACCGTTTCTGATGTTTTTGCACTCGTTTGAAATTTCTATGATTTAAAGAAAACTTTTTATAATGTAAGTTGCATGGCAGACACTGCCCTACCTGCTTGATTCCTCAGTCTTCTAAGCACTGCTGTGGTCTTTTTTCCTCACAGTCATAATTAATTCTCTGCGTGAATGTGCCTCGTTATAATCCTTGGAAATGTGCACAGAGCCTATTTCTGTCTAGCCATGCCAGCCGTTACTGTACTTGCAAAGATGCTATCTAAATGGAAAGGAACTATGTCCATATCTTTCAAATAAATATGGTGCTTTTTTCCTCCCTTCACCCCCAAAAAAGTCATGATGACTGTCTACTCCTAGTATTTGTTTTATAGGAGCATTGGCATCGCTAGTGTCTGTGAATAGCTGGAGTGTGCACTCTGAAACTTTACTTTGCCTGTTGTATGGGACACACACAGGACTAAGAGACACATGTAAAACGCATGTGGTCTTGGCACGGGGAAAGGACCATATGTTTTTTAAAAACAGTCTCCAGCAGCTCTGACGCTTCCCTGCAGGGGAGAGGGATGTGCGTGCTCCTCAGACCCTCCTTGAGAGGACTTCCCGGCCGAGGGCCTTTTCTGGCCACATACATGGATGGAGGTCTGCGCCTCCTCCCAGCTGACAGTCTGTGGCATCTGCAGTGGGGCTGTCTGTGGCTGGCACCTGTGGACACAGAACCAGGAGACACAAGCCAGCCTTTACTGGAGCATGTTAGAGCCAGGACGTGCCTCTCACCTGAGCTACTCAGCGTGCAGATGACAAACAGAGGTTCAGAGTCCTCCTGGCTGTGTCTTCTGGGGCCTCCCAGCGGGGAGGGAGTGGCACTCGGTGTTTCCACATCCCTTTCTCCTGCCTGCACAGGGAGCTCCAGCTGTTGGCTCATTTTGCCTTTTCCTGCCATGGAGAAATCAGGGACTTACCTGATCAGTTTTATATTGGTTCCATAAATGGCCACTGGGTCTCCCTCTTCAAAGGGGTGTTTGCTCTTTATTCCTGGATTCGTGGTTGTCCTTAATGTGAATCTCTTTCCCCGATTCCTGCGCGGCTGCAGCAACGCTGCGGTTTGTTCAACTTCGTGGCTGCAGGACGCTGTCAGCAGTTTGGTCTTCTTGGCACACTGCCACTTATAGGCCAGGAAATGGGATAAAGCCATTTATCTTTTATCGGGATGGGAGCCTGCCCTTTCCGCCTTCTCTTAAATGCATTAGTAAAACCACTTGGGAAAAACAACAGGGAGTTCATTTGAAACTCATTTCCAGGTTAACTCTTCACACTCCTGATGAAATCTGTGAAGTGCATGGAGTCTGCCCCTGCCCTCAGGCCCCTCCACAGCAGGTGTCAGAATCACCAGGTGGGTGGAGCTCCAGACCCTGGCCCCTTACCGCTGGCCACAGCATCCTGAGCACCCTGCCCAGAACCTCCGGCCTCGGGTTCCTCTTCTGCAGAAAGCAGATGATGACGCCTGCATCACGGACTGCATGGTCGGGATGGCGGAGTGACCACAGGCTCGGGAAGTGACTTGGGACGGTCACTGTGGCTGAGTTAGCAGTTGGCTGCTTGTTGTTTTCTTCCGTTTGTGGCGATCCTTTCTTTCCCAGATGACCCCTGTTTTGTGACGTTCATTCTTCCCATTTGTCATTGAAAGCCGTTGCTGGGATAACGCTCTAATAAAAACCAGTGCCAGAAAAGATGCTCAGAATCATTTGTCATTAGAGAGTTACATATGCCCCTACACACCTGTTAGAGCATCGGCTTCCACAAAACCTCACAACGCCTGGTACTGGCGAGGACACAGGGCATGGGGAGCTCTCGTTCACTGGGATGGAGCGGAGGGAGTGGGGAAGACAGTATGGCCGTTACTTCCAAAGCTAAATGCACTCTTACCATACAGTCCAGTGATCTTGCTTCTTGGTGTTTACCCAAACTAGTTGAAAACATGTCCATACAAAAACCTGCACATAAGTGTTTATAGGAGCTTTATTCACAAGCACTAAAACCTGGAAGCAACCAGTATGTCATTCAGTAGATGAATAAACAAACTGTGGTCCATGCAGATGATGGAATATTACTCAGCAGTGAAAAGAAATGGGCTAAGTCATGAAGAGACATAGAGGAAACTTAGATGCTTATTGCCAAGAGGAAGAAGCCAATCTGAAAAGGCCACAGACTGTATGATTCCAACTCTGTGATATTCTGGAAAAGGCAAAACTATGGAGACAGTGACAAAATCCATAGTTGCTGAGAGGAGAGAGGGGTGAGTAGGTGGAGCTCTGGGGATTTTAGGGCAGTGAAACTACTGTATATGATATCATGTATTTGTCAAAACCCATACAGATGCACAGCACAGAGTAAATCTTAATACCTGCAAATTTAAAAATTATTTAGGACATGCCTATAATCCCAGCACTGTGGGAGGCTGAGGAGGGCAGATCACTTGAGGTCAGGAGTTCGAGACCAGCCTGGCCAACATGGTGAAGCCCCATCTCTACTAAAAATACAAAAATTAGCCAGGCATGGTGGAGCGTGCCTGTAATCCCAGCTACTCAGGAGGCTGAGGCAAGAGAATTGCTTGAACCCAGGAGGCAGGGGTTGGAGTGAGCCAAGATCACGCCATTGCACTCCAGCCTGGGTGACAGAGTGAGACTCCGTCTCAAATAAATAAATAAATAGTAAAAATCATTTCGGAGGTCAGAGGGGTCCCCGGAAGGAATGCAGGAACCAGGAGACACAAGCCAGCTTTACTGGAGCGTGTTAGAGCCAGGACGCGCCTCTCACCTGAGCGGTTCAGCGTGCAGATGACAAACAGAGGTTCAGAGTCCTGGCTGTGTCTTCTGGGGCCTCCCAGTGGGGAGGGAGTGGCACTCTGTGTTTCCACATCCCTTTCTCCTGCCTGCACAGGAGGCAGAGAGCCAACCTGTGCTGAAGATGCATGAAACCGCCTCACGGAAGAAGAGGAACAGGGTGCTGACCTGCGTGACTCTGGGCAGGAGTGGGGTCTGTGAGACTAGAGGCAAAAGAAGCCACACAAACGCCCCAGGCTCCACTTAATTACGTCGTTTCCCGTAGATACAGGTCGGCAGTGCTGACGCTGCTCTGCCGGAAGCTGAAACTGAGCGATTAGGTGAGCAGCTGTCTGCGGATGGGAGCTGCTTTCTCACTGTTCCAGGAGAGGCTACACCCGTGTTGTAACAGAGCAGGTGTGCGGCGTCAGTGTGAACTGACGCTTAGCTTAGTGCAGATACAGGTGGCGACATACAGAAATACTGTGCACATCCCATAGCACACGCCTGCCTCTCCTCACCTTGACAGCTGAGAGGGCCTGGAAGCAGCAGCAGCCAGTGTCCACGAGCGTCCCCAGTGGCCAGATCTTGGTTTCTAATTCCATTCTTCAGTAAAAGCAACTGGGCTTCTTAGAGAAACCGCAGATTCCAGGATGGAGGCAGGAAGTATGCAAGATGAGACTGGATCATCTTACAGTGACAGAAAGGGAGGAACAAAACAAACAAAACAAAACCCAAACCCACGTGGATGGGGGCAGGCCAGAGGGACGCAGGAACCACCGAACACTCCCCATGACCAAAGCAGAACAATTTGAGCAGCAAAGTCAAGTCGCGTTGTATTATAACCCCAAGAACAAGATGAAGAAGCGTGGGTCCACACTGACGTAAATGATTGAATAGATATTAATACATGACTGGAGACAAGAGATAAGTCTCCCTTGCAGAAGAATTCCCCATCCTTCATGTAGATGAGTTGTTGTCACGAGGGGAGCTCAGAACCCTACTTCCTGAGTGTGGGATGTGCGCAGCTATGTGGTTCCGAAGAGTTCAAGACGAAAAGAGGGAGAAAGAGTAACTTCCCAGCAGAGGACCTGACGACCTGAGCCAGGCAATCGAGGTCAGCACCGATGGCGACCAGGCGTGTAGACTCGTGCCCTGGGTAAGGCGTGACCGGGATGGCACTTTACCTCTGTAGTCCTCCTCCCCAAGCACATCCTCCCCACTCCAATCATGAGAAGGACGTCAGAGTTCCAACAGAGGCTTCCAGTATACCTGACCAGTAGCCCTCAAAACTGTCAAAGTCATCAAAAATAAGGGAGCTCTGAGAAGCTGTCACAGCCAAGAGGAGCTGAAGGAGACAGGATGACTGAATCCTAGAACAGAAGAATATATTAGGCAAAAACTGTGGAAACCTGAATAAACTGTGCATAGTTAATAATAATGTACCAATATTGGCTCATTAATTGCAACAAAGGCACCATAAGCTTAAGATATGAATATTGGAGGACACTGGGGGAGGGGTGTGTGGGAGCCCTGTTCTATGTCAGTTTTGCTGTAAATCTAAAGCTGTTCTAAACAAAGCTAAACAAAGTTACTTAAAAAAGAAGCATCTCAGTACCGTCAGTGGGCCTGTGTGGCCCCTCATAGGTATCTGTATTTTAGCAAAAGAGAAATAAACGACTTTGGCTGGGTGCGGTGGCTGGCACCTGTAATCCCAGCACTTTGGGAGGTCAACGCGGGTGGATCATCTGAGGTCAGGAGTTGAAGACCAGCCTGGCCAACATGGTGAAACCCCGTCTCTACTAAAAATACAAAAATTAGCCTGGTGTGGTGACACACACCTGTAATCCCAGCTACCCAGGAGGCTGAGACAGGAGAATTGCTTGAACGCAGGAGGTGGAGATTTTAGTGAGGCAAGATTGTGCCACTGCCCCCCAACCTGGGTGACAGAGCAAGGCTCCATCTCAAAATAAATAAATAAATAAATAAATAAACATGAAGGAAGGAAGGAGAAAAGAAAGAAACGAACTTAACCACAAGCTGAGGAGCAGGAGTGCTGGGCCGACAGCCTTCTGGGAGACCCACAGCCTCCTGGAGGTCCGGGCGCTGGCCCCGCAGGGGTTGGCTCCAGTTGTGTGTCTGATCCAATGGGACTTTCAGAGACGCCCAGGCTGCCGTCTCCTTGGGCTCTGTGTGCAGAGAGGTCTGTGTGGTTGGAATTTCGGAGGTTCCTCTGCCAGTTGTTCCTCCCACCAGGAGCTCCGTGGAAGCTGTGCTCCAGGAATACTGAGGTGTGTTCTGTCACCAGCCCTGCATCTGCTCTCCCAGCCCTGGCTCTAGCAAGAGGCTTGATGGCCCCGTGGGTCAGGACCAACCAGGTCCAGCCTCGTGCTGCCCGCCTTCCAAACCTGAGTGCTGGGACCGTGCGCTGATGGAGGAGAACAGGAGAGGCCCCAGGACAGCCCTGGCCCTGCTGCAGATTCAGAAAGTGGGGGATTGGGTCTGGGATTTCGGTATTTTTCTTTTAGTCTGTGAGCAGGTGTTTTTATTATTTCAGCACAAATATTTCTAGTAGTGCACAAAGATGGAATATGTTGATGTTAACTCTTCATCCTCATGACAACCCTGTGAGGTGTGCCCGAGTCTTATTAACCCATTTCATAGCAGAAATCATGACGCAGCTGGCCCTTGGCCATCGGTCAGCGAAGAGCAGGCAGGAGAACCCAAGGCTGTGTCCCTGACGGCTCTGCCCTGCAGCCCCTGTGGCAGGCCGAGGATACATTTCTTAACAGATGCCTGCAGGAGGAAAGGCCGCTCAGCTGGCATGGCCTGGGCTTCTGTTGGGCAGTCTGTGTCCAGTGCTGATGCCATCTGCAGGTACTGACCTCCTCCTGAGCTCTGCCCACTAGTAAATAGAAATCAAAATTCTCATTTTGCTCATTTCATAAAACTTCATCCAGCCTTTTGCCCATTCATTTATTTGCTCACTGGGTTCCTGGCTTTAAAGGTATAAGGAAACCATGTTTTAACCCTATTTCCCACCAGGGGCCAGGATCTGGCCATTCACTTGTGCATCCACCTCCCTGGCAGGGACCCTGGCGGCAGATGCATGGAAGCCCCCTGCTTGCCACAGGAATGTGACTGTCACCATATGCAGCATGCCCCTGAGGGCCCCAGCAGCCTGCAGGGCACACGTCCTTCCCACTGTAGCAACAGGAAGCATGGTCCACAGCGGGGAGGCTCAGCGCTGTCTCTAGAGGGACCTGCCCTGAGCCAGGCATGTGGTCTGCACATCTTTATCCAGTGCCTGTCACGGGATTGCCACGGGGCCAGAGAAGGGGCCAGCAGGGTGAGCTAGAACAGTGCCTTAAACTGCACTGTGCCTCAGGACCCTCAAGGCTTGTGCAACTCAGACCCCTGGGCCCCACATCCAGAGTCTCTGATTCAAGAGGTCTGATGTGGGCTCCAAGAGTGTGCAGATTTCCAGGGGATGCTGCTGCTGCTGCTGCTGCTGCTGGTCTGGAGACCCCACTTTGAGAACCACTGGTTGGGACCTCAAGTCTGTCTCTGGCTGTGCTGCCCGTTCTCAGCCGCCCAGTTGCAGGCAGATGCTGTCACTGTGACTTGGGGTAAGAGGTCACGTGTGCTGGGGCTGTGTGCCGGGGCGGCCCTTCCACAGGCAGGTGGAAGGTTGGAGGCCACTGAGCACTGCCTGGCACTGCTGGCCTCCTGGAGATGTTCAGACACCCCACATTACAAATAGGCCAGCCTTTCCCCTGGGCGCCCCCGCCACTCCCTGCAATGCTTGGGCCAGAGACACTAATGGAGTCATTCGAGGCTTGACTTTGCTTCCTGGTCCTGGACACGTTAGTGTTCATGTTCCCCAACAAATAAATACTTTAGAAAATGTGATAAGATCACATTACAAGATTGAAATCCAGCAAGGTGGTTGAATTGTGTCCCCTTAAAATTTGTATGTTGAAGCCCTAAACCCCAGTACCTCAAACTGTGTTAGGGGCACTGCCAATGTATGTAATCACAGATGGCCCTCAACTTACAGTGGTTGGATTTAATTTTTTGACATTATGATGGTTCAAAAGCAATGTACATTCACTAGAAACCATACCTCACATACCCATACGGCCATTCTGCTTTGCACTTTCAGTACAGTATTCAATAAATTACATGAGATATTCCATACTTTTTTTTTGAGATGGAGTCTCGCTCTTGTCACCCAGGCTGAAGTGCGGTGGCACGATCTCAGCTCACTGCAGCCTCCGCCTCCCGGGTTCCAGCGATTCTCCTGCCTCAGCCTCCTGGGTAGCTGGGATTACAGGCACGTGTCACCATGCCTGGCTAATTTTGTATTTTTAGTAGAGATGGGATTTCACCATGTTGGCCAGGCTGGTCTCGAACTCCTGACCTCAGGTGATCCACCTGTCTCGGCCTCCCAAAATGCTGGGAATACAGGCGTGAGCCACCACACCCGACCCCATACTTCATTTTAAGGTAGGCTTTCTGTGAGATGATTTTGCCCAACCGTAGCCTCACGTGAGTGTTCTGAGTGAGTTGAGATAGCTGGGCTGAGCTGTGATGTTTGGTAGGTCGAGTGTATTCAGTGCATTTTCTACTTATGATACTTTCAGCGTACACTGGGTTTATCGGACATAACCCCATCATACATTGAGGAGAATCTGTAGTTAAGATGAAGTCATGCAGGAGTGGGGGTTGCCTAGGCCAATATGACTAGTATCCTTATAGAAAGAGGAAATCTGGACACAGACACAGGGAAAAGGCCGTGTGATGATGGAGGCCAAGATGGGGTTGATGCGGCCACAAGCAAAGGAGCACCAGGGATCAGGAGCAGCTAGCAGAAGCTGGGAGAGGCCTGGAACCGATCCTTCCCTCGCAGCCTCAGAAGGACCCAGCCCTTGGCTGGGCATGTTGGCTCTTGCCTGTAATCCCAGCACATTGGGAGGCCGAGGTGGGTGGATCACCTGAGGTCAGGAGTTCAAGACCAGCCTGGCCAACATAGTGAAACCCCGTCTCTACTAAAAATACAAAAATTAGCTGGGTACAGGGGCATGCACCTGTAATTCCAGCTACTTGAGAGGCTGAGGCAGGAGAATCACTTGAACCCGGGAGGCAGAGGTTTCAGTGAGCCAAGATCGTGCCACTGCACTCCAGCCTGGGCAACAGAGTGAGACTCTGTCTCAAAAAAAAAAAAAAAAAAAAAAAAGACCCAGTCCTGCCAACACCTTGACCTTGGACTTCCAGCCTCCAGAGCAGACAGAATAAATTTACTATATTTTTATGCCACCCAATCTATGGTGCTTTGGTTCTGCAGCCCAGGAAGTAAACACAGTTTTCCTAATCACCCTCTGCCGTCTAATGCAGTTAATGAGCTTTGGGTGAAAGGCTTTGATCTAATGCTGGTTATTTGGGAAAAGGTGTTTTTGGGGAAGAAGAGAAGGAGGTGACAAGGGGTGTGATTTATTCACTGGCAGCAGAAAATTCAGGGATGTCTTAGCAAGTTTATTTACCTAGAACTGCTGGTAAAAGATCTTTCCCTAATCTGGAAATAATCTGAAATGTTTTACAGTATGCTCCCAAACATTTATAATTCAGATTATATTAGGAAATTGTTTCCTAGGACATGTCTTTTCATAACAATGGAGTGTAGATACCATCATCTCTCTGATGTAAAATGGTATAGAATTTGCATATAACCTACGTGCATTCCCTCGTAGACTTTAAATCAGCTCCAGGTTCCTTATAATACCTAATACAATGTAAATGCCGTGAAATAGTTTTTACACTGTATTGTTTGAGACATAATCATGAGAAAAAGTCTGTCTATGCTCAGTACAGATGCAACAGAATATTTCAATGTGCAGTATATTGAATCTACAGATCCAAACCTCACAGATATGACTGTTCTCAGTCACTGTAAAGTACAATAATTTTACTTAAAATGATTACATATTTTATTTTTTTATTTATTTTTGAGATAGAGTCTCGCTTTGTCCCCCAGGCTGGAGTACAGTGGCTCGATCATGGCTCACTGCAACCTCTGCCTCCTGGGCTCAAGCTGTTCTCCTGCCTCAGCCTCCCGAGTAGCTGCGATTATAGGCACCTGCCACCACGCCCAGCTAATTTTTTGTATTTTTAGTAGAGATGGGTTTTCACCATATTGGCCAGGCTGATCTCGAACTCCTAACCTCAAGTGATCTGCCCACCTCAGCCTCCCAAAGTGCTGGGATGATTACATATATTTTTTAAACTCCAGGTTTGAAATTATAGTATGGTGGACGTTATCTTCATTTCAGAAAAAATTTAGAACATTTTCTTAATATATTGTTTATAAGCCTTAGGTAAAGCTGATGGTAAATTATTTTATGAACAAAAGTTCTTTGAAAAGGAGTTTGGAGGAAAGAGACTTTATTCCAGTGAACAGTTTACAAACCTGGAAGCTGCAGCCTTTGGTGTGAAAGAAAGTATATTCCAGAGAACTCAGGGAGGGTTTGGGTTTTATAGTGATGGGTCCTGCCCAGGTCCCATTCAGGTCAATTTATGCACATGAAGGATTCAAATTTGGTTAGTTCTGATTGGTTGATACAGCTAAGCCCTGATTGGGTGATGCAGCTGAGCCCTGATTAGCCAAGGTAGGTGAGCACTGATGTGCTGGTTCAGGTGAGCTCTGAGGGGTTGGTTCAGGTGAGCACTGATAAGTTGGTTCAGGTGTGCTCTGAGTGGTTGGTTCAGGTGAGCTCTGAGGTGTTGGTTCAGGTGAACTGTGATTGGTTGGTTCAGGTGAGTTCTGATGTGCTGGTTCAGGTGAGCTCTGATTGGTTGGTTCATTCAGGTGATCTCTGAGTGGTTGGTTTATTCAGGTGATCTCTGAGTGGTTGGTTCAGGTGAGCGCTAATTGGTTGGTTCAAGTGAGTGCTGATGGATTGGTTCAGGTGAGCCCTGATGGGCTGGTTCAGGTAAGCGCTGAGTGGCTGGTTCAGGTGAGCTTTGATTGGTTGATTGGTTCAGGTGAGCGCTGAGGGGTTGGTTCAGGTGAGCGCTGAGGGGTTGGTTCAGGTGAGCGCTGAGGGGTTGGTTCAGGTGAGCGCTGAGGGGTTGGTTCAGGTGAGCGCTGAGGGGTTGGTTCAGGTGAGCGCTGAGGGGTTGGTTCAGGTGAGCGCTGATGGGTTGGTTCAGGTGAGCGCTGATGGGTTGGTTCAGGTGAGCTCTGAGTGGTTGATTCAGGTGAGCTCTGAGTGGTTGGTTCAGGTGAGCCCTGAAAGTCCAGAAGTTGACTGGAGGTGCGAGTTCTGGGGGCTCAAGGCATGTGGCTTATTGTCAGTAAGTGGCCTCTTGGGGCTGTTTTAAACATAGGCCCAGTTGGGCACTCCGGGTGGGCTCTTTCGGGTCCACATTTGTTCACAATTTGTTTCATTGTGAAATGAAGGAATTGCAGGAATATGACTGCGGCAGCATTGACGGCAGATTTGGGACCTGAAACTGGGGTGTTAAGAGAAGACGCTTTTTCTTTTGTTTTGTTTTTTAAACCAAAATGATCAATTTGAAAATTGAACACATTTTTGGCCTCAGTTTTATCATGCTCATGTCAACTATTTAATATAAAAGACCTGCCTTTTGGGTAGCCTGTGTAACAATCAAAGTTTTGGCGCTACCAGGGCAAGGTTCTGGGGAGCACACATTCACTAACCCAGCTCCCACAACCACCGAGGCAGACGCTGTGGCCAGGCAGGAGAGCTGGGGCAACTTGGAGGGCAACAGGGCCAGCGCAGGGGGTGGGAGGTCTTGGGTTGGAGGCAGAGACCTCCTGCCTTGCCACGCGGGGGCCAGGCAGGTTCTTCCAGCTTTGGAGTGAACCAGACATGTGGGCTGAGTTCTCAGGGCTGTGTGACAGCTGCCCCAAGTCCCTCTTGCACGAGGACAGGAAGAGCTATGAATATGTAAATAACATGAAATATAAGCAGTGTAGCTTTTTAAGAAAGGAAAATTATTCACACAGAAGAAAGAAAAATGTCACGTTTGGGTTTCAATTTCCAGATACAACTGATGGTTCACTTTCATCTGTGACACTTCACAGAACGACACATAAAGAATTTTGTTTTATAGTCTGAGCAAAGGAAGGTCAAAAGGTCTCCTTGGCATCTGAGGGCCTCCGGCAGGTTTCTCAGCCTCCACGTCGTGGACATCTGGGGCTGGGTGGCTCTTGGTTTTGGGTCCCCAACCTGTGCAGTGTGAGGTCTCAGCAGCATCCCTGGACCCTACCCACTCCATGCCAGGACTTTTCCTCAGTGGCAACACCAAAATTGTCTCCAGAAATTGCCCAGTGCATGCCCCCACTGCTCCCACACCAGGGGACAAAGTTGTCTCTTGGTTATCAACCTCTGGTCTCTAATAAGAGAAATAAAAATCCAACCACAAACATACTCTCCAGGGATGTCTTGTATTGCTGGATGTGTGGACCCCATGTCTGCCTGGCTGTCAGTCACCTGAAGATCCACTGATGCTAACTCTGTACCTGGACACTTTGGGTTAAATGGAAAGCGTCCTATGGGTGTGCAGCAGAGGGAGAGACACTCTTCTTAGTATCAAAAGTGCTAGGCAAGCCGGATGCAGTGGCTCACGCCTGTAATCCCAGCACTTTGGGAGGCTGAGGTGGGAAGATCACCAGAGGTCAGGAGTTCGAGACCAGCCGGGCCAACATGATGAAACCTCATCTCTATGCAAAAAATTAGCTGGGCATGTTGGCATGCCTGTAATCCCAGCTACGTGGGAGGCTGAGGCAGGAGATCACTTGAACTGAGGAGGTAGAGGTTGCAGTGAGCTGAGATGGTGCCACTGCATTCCAGCCTGGAAGACATAGTGAGACTCCATCTCAAAAAAAAAAAAAAGTTCTAGGCAGGTGCAGAGCGGGCTTACAGGGGATGCTTGCAGCTGGGGGTGGTGATTGGGTCAGAGGCCTTCTTCAGGGCAGTTTATCAAGTTTTTATACAACGGGGGGTGGGGGCATCCATATCATTAAGTCGGTCCCTCTATAATGTTGAGGTGCGTCAGTTTCCTTACGCAAGAATTTCATTTCTCATTGTTTTCATAATAAATATTTTGTCCTTAAAAACATCTTGATACTTTTTCATGTAAATCTGTGTTTTATGATAAGTAATTTGTAACTGGTTTATTTGGACACCGCCAGAAACTCTAGTTGTTCATTTCACTGTCTCATCTGTCTGGAGACAGGGAGTTTCATGAATGCATCTCCAGTGCCAGCACGGGGAAGGTGCCCAGGCTTTGAATGGAACTGAATGCAGAATTCCGGGGGCGCCAGGCAAGCCAGATGGCCTTGTGGGCAGTCACTTCCCGTGGTCGGGTGGGGCGGGGAAGGCCCTGAGGCGCTGCCGGCTGTGTACCGCCTGGCCCAGCTCCCTACCCGCTGCCTATGTGGGTCACCTCTCAGTGGGTTTCAGGGACACGGCAAAATAGACAACTTCCATTTTGACTTTGAAACCTCGTGTGCCAACACTTGAATATGAATCTTTTCGTAAATGTACGTGTACATTTCAATCAGTTTTTGCAGTTAGAATATATTGTTTTGCAGTCAATCTTCTGTATAGCTTTATGTGTATTATTATAAACATAAATATAGCTACAAAAATGGCATAATGTATTCACTGTGCACATATTTGTATATGTATGCCAAATATCAATGGTTCATTTCATGAGCACTTAAAAAAAAATCACATCTTCATGGGCTTGCTCTGTAGTTACTTAGCTACCTACGCAGACCCCAGCATTTGGGTGGCATGTGATTTAGAAGGCAGCCAGCACCTTTCTTTGCTCTGGGGTCATGATCGCTGAGCCCACCCTCCTCCTTGTACAGTCCTGGAAGAGGACTGCCTGGGAGCATGAAGCCCAGAGTGAGTGAATCAGACACATGGGCTCTGGATGTGAAATCCACCTAGCAGCCCCGCTGCATCTGGCACCACCATAGGGAGCATATTTTTACCATCTTTTCCGCAGGGTCAGAGTGGCCATCGTGCTTATCACATAAAAATGTAACCTACAAAAATTCAGGTCATCAGCCCGTAATGCCACCTTGTTTTATCTTGGTGCTATCTTGGTTTGCTTTAGAAACATAGTTCCTGGGATGTGTCCTGTTCACAAAGCCCAGGGTACAGGTCTGTGTGGTGTGTGTGGTGGCACTCTGGAAGCCCATAAGCCATATATATATATTTCATATTATATATTATATATAATTCAAATAGAAATTATATCAAAATATATATATTTGAATATATTATATAATTTCTATTTGAAATAAAATTCCTTGTACATTTCCTTTAGGTGTAAAAGGAAAATAACTTACAGTAAAATGTAAATCTATTAGTATTGAGCACACTGTGTGTGGAGCATCCTGAGTCAACACAGGTGTAGGCGGGCGCAGGTGTGGATGTCAGGTGATCGAGTTCACAAACAGCCTTGATGTTGTCATGGAGTTTTCTGAAATTGCAAAACCTCTGGATAAAGTTCCTAAAACCATGGTCCACTGTGGGCGGCAAGCCACCCAGGTGCCGAGGCAAGAGACCAAGGGCACGAGCTGTTCCAGTATAATAAAATATATAAAATAAGAATAGTTATACTAGATATCGATCTTAGATGTGATTATATATGAATATCAATCATTAGTTTGTAGCAATTACTCTTTATTCCAATATTATAATAATCCTTGCTCTACAATCATAACCTAGGAAAAACCAGGCCATACAGAGATAGGAACTGAGGGGACATAGTGAGAAGTGATCAGAAGACAAGAGTGCGAGCCTTCTATTATGCACAGACAGGGCCACCAGAGGGCTCTTTGGTCTAGCGGTAACGCCAGCATCTGGGAAGACGCCCGTTGCCAAGCGGACCATGGTCTAGCGGTAGCGTCAGTGTCAAGGAAAAACACCCACTACTTAGCAGACCGGGAAAGGGAGTCTCCTTTTCCCTGGGGGGATTTTAGAGAAGACTCTACTCCTCCACCTCTTGTGGAGGGTCTGTCAGGCCCACCCGCAGTTATCTGGAGGCCTAACCGTCTCCCTGTGATGCTGTGCTTCAGTGGTCACGCTTCATGTTCCATCCTGTACACCTGGCTTTCCCTTTTAGATAGCAGTAGCAAATTAGTGAAAGTACTAAAAGTCTCTGATAAGCAGAAATAATGGCGTAAGCTGTCTCTCTCTCTCCTCTCTCTGCCTCGGCTGCCAGGCAGGGAAGGGCCCCCTGTCTGGTAGACATGTGACCCACATGACCTTACCTATCATTGGAGATGGCTCACACTCCTTACCCTGTCCCTTTGTCTTGTATCCAATAAATATCAGTGCAGCCTGGCATTCGGGGCCACTACCAGTCTCCGTGTCTTGGTGGTAGTGGTCCCCCAGGCCCAGCTGTCTTTTCTTTTATCTCTTTGTCTTGTGTCTTTATTTCTACACTCTCTCGTCTCCACACACGGGGAGAAAACCCACTGACCCTGTGGGGCTGGACCCTACAGTCCACCTGTCTGATTTACACAATAATTTATTCTAAGAAAATCTAGTCTAGTTTTAAATTAGTAAAAAAACTCTGTCTAGTTACGTGTAAAACGAAGTGAATGAGTTCAGATGCAGGTAACCAAGTTTTGCCTGCAGGAATGTGCAGCGGGTGCAGGCAGGGACATCTCTTGATGTGGTTCTGCTCCCCTATTGTGGGTGACTTAACATTCTCTCCACCCACCTGGTAGGCGTGGCCATGTCCTACTAAGTCCTTCTCCGCACCATCCCCACATGCCAGCAGAGGGTGCTGTTGGGCAGGAAAGGTGGGACAGCACCCTCGTGAGCTGCTGTTCCATTTTTCCTTCTGTATTTAGGATTGACATGTGTCCAAAGGATATGGTGTGTGAAGATAATGGGGACATTTTGGAATGCCATTTGGAAGAAATGGAAATGCAGAGCCAGGAAGGCGCTCAGAGAGGCCTGAGAGATTTCTAGCAAAAACCTGGTAAACTTTGAGGTGAAGGCTGTCAGAAACAGCTGCGAGGAGCATCCAGCCTAGGGCTCAGCAGGTGTGACTTAAAGGATCGCAGGTGACAGCCCTCAGTGGACTTCTGTCCTCACCATGTTTCCCACTGGCACAGGTGGGGCGGCCACGCCTGTGCCCGCGGCGCCTGTGCTGAGTCCCGACGCTGTGCGCCCCACTCCCGAGGCTGTGGTTGGGGGGTCGCGGTCGAGCTCTAGGGCCCCCGGCCGCAGAGCCCAGGCGCGGGGAGGGCGGCGGCTCCCAGCTCCCGGTCCCCGGCTCCGCGCCGCAGGCGTGAACGCCCAACGGAGGGCGCCGGCGCCCGGGAGAGGCGCCGCCTTGGTTGCAGGGGCCGGGGCGCGGCGGCCCGGGCTTTGAGAGACGGGCCGCTCTTCCCGGCGCGGTGCCTTCCAGGGAGGCTGCGCCTGCAGCACCGCAGCCAGAGCCGAGACTCCGCGCCTTTCAAGGAGGAGGCCCCGTGCAGGCGCCCAGGCGCAGAGGAGGCGCGGGGGGCGGGACCTGCCGGCCAGTCCCTTACCCGGGGACAGACGGGGAAGGCGGGAGCGCTCGCAGTTCCCTCCTGGAGGGACCACACCGCCGGGAGCCCGAGCAGCCTGCGGTGGCTCGGCTCGGGCCGGCGGAGATCTGGGAGCATTTTCTGGAAGCCTCCACAGACTTCAGGCGGACCGGAAGGACCTGGCGGGAGGCGTAGTAGGCGGGGTGAGGGGATCTCGGTGGCAGCGGGGACAGCGCGGCCCCGAGAACTGAGAACTGAGAGGGAGACGCTCTCGGGCCTCTCAGACCAGCATTGAGGAGCTGAGCCCTGCGGGCCAGGGGCGCAGAGAGGGTCCCGGGCCGTGAGGGGAGGGTCCCGGGTGAGGGGAGGGTCCCGGGCCTTGAGGGGAGGGGAGGATCCTAGGCCGTGAGGGGAGGGTCCCTGGCTGTGGGGGGAGCGTCTTGGCTGAGGGAAGGGTTCCGGACCATGAGGGAAGGGTCCCGGGCCGTGAGGGGAGGGGAAGATCCTAGGCCGTGAAGGGAGGGTCCTGGACTATGAAGGGAGGCTCCTGGGCTGTGAGGGGAGAGTCCCGGGCCGTGAGAGGAGGGTCCTGGGCTGTGAGGGGAGGGTCCCGGGCCATGAAGGGAGGGTCCCGGGTGAAGAGCAAGCTCATGACCCTCATTTACTGGGAATCCATTGCTCTGGCCCCGTCATGAGTGGGGTTCGCAGACTGGGCCAATCCCTACAGCGTATGTGTGCTCTGGTGTCTCGGGGCAGCACAGACGTTGTTACTGCTCCATCTGGCCTGGGTGAACACCTGGGTCTCTCTGTGGAGTTGGGGGATGCCGCCTGCTCAAGGGTCGCGTTCCTAGTATGCGTTCCAGGAATGCTATGCACCACCAGTGCTAAGCCGCAGAAGAGCTGTCAATCTGTCAGTCCTGTCCCGCTAAACCTGAACTTTTTTTTTTTTTTTTTTTTGAGACGGAGTCTCGCTCTGTCGCCCAGGCTGGAGTGCAGTGGCGCAACCTCGGCTCACGGCTAATTTTTTGTATTTTTAGTAGAGATGGGGTTTCACTGTGTTAGCCAGGATGGTCTCGATCTCCTGACCTCGTGATCCGCCCGCCTCGGCCTCCCAAAGTGCTGGGATTACAGGCGTGAGCCACCGCGCCCGGCCAAACCTGAACTTCTGAAAGAGCCAGCCTCTTAGGGAAGGCCCTCCACCCTACTTGCCTGGGCTTTCTCTGCAAGCTCTGTGCAGAAGGGAGCAAGGTCTGCCTGATGCCACCACCGTGGGCCCAGTGTTCATGGTGTCCTAATGGAAGCTTTGAAATCACTTTGTGTTAGTCCTGGCTCTTAAGAAAATCGATGCAATGCCAATTAGGCACCACTATTTTTTTTTTTTTTTTGTATAAAACATTTGAGGAAGATGGTGCAGGGTGGGCCCTGAAGGGAGTGGGGTCCTGCCTGGAGCTGCTGTTTAGGCTCAGTCTTGGTGCTCTATATACATATCTACCATTGCAGTGTCATACAGAATGTTCCATTGCCTTTTTGATTTTAAAAAGTGTTTATCACACAGGGGAGTTTTAGGGCAGTGCAACTATTCTGCATGATCCATGACATTATGCACTTCTCAAGACCTAAAACTGCATAACAGGAAGCATGAACCCTCAAGTAAACGATATGCTTTAGTTAGTAATGATGTATCAAATTGTAATGTATGGGCCACCAATGCAAGAAGTTATAATAACTGTGGAAGGAAGTGGGGCAGAGGGGGAGTATACGAGGACTCCCTGTACTTTCTGCCCAATTTTTCTGTAAAACCCAAAACTGCTCTAAAATATAAAGTCTATTAATGTTTTTTAAAGTGCTTATTATATAAAGAAATGATTTTGATTCACTATCTTTGGGATCTTTTTTTATGAGATTTGTTTAAAGTAGTCACTGCTTTGCAGTGATGGCACCATTCTTCTGGGATGCCTTTTTGACCTTGAGCAGCAGTTCCTGCCCTGCTGAGCAGGAAGACACAGTGAGTGGGAGACAAGCCTGGATGCTCACATGGCCTCATGCCCTGGTCTGCGAAATGGGATGGCATCTTGCATCATGGCGGTTCTGTCTAGTGGGAGAATGATAAAGTGTGCCTGGCACAGTCTGTACCTTCAGTAAGTGTGGTTGTCAAAAGCAATAATTGGGTTGGCACTGACATTCATCATAGATGTACAAAAGTAACATGTAGATGGTGAATTGATGAGGAGGGGCCCATGGAGAGATGGGTTTGTGCCGTGTACTTTATTCTTCTAATTTTCTTATTCTCTTTGGGACTGTCCCTGTGGCTTCCATGTGGCTTCAGACAGGTGAGGAGCTGCTGCGTGTTCAGACCGGAAACCTGAGCTCATCAGCACGCCAGCCCGGGCTCTTCTGGGGTATCATGTTTTGAGAATATTTGTCTTTGAAATTTTAAACTCTCTTCCATTTGTATTTGTTGAAATTCTAGAGCTTTTGATAACTCATGCTAAAATTTTTAAATCACTTTTCACTTTATCATCTTTTTATTTGAAATGTCAAAATTTATGTAGGAAGCATCATTTTGCCACCCTGCCAAAGTATTCTGACTAAAACTATCCAAGATCCTCCAAGAAATACATATGACTAAAGATAATGTTTCTCCCTTTCTGATAAAAAAAAAAAAACTATAGTAACTTTAATCCCTAAATAAATAAAACACATGTGGTTGTGACCCACATGAGATAATCAGTAGCTAGATACCTTGTGGTAAACGTATTGCTTTGTTTAATTTTTAAAACCTATATTGAAGTACATGCCTTACTATAGGAAATTAAACATTGTACAAATGGGCTGGAAGTGGGAACTACAAAGACAAGTCAGGGTTGTATTCCAGAGGGCTCAGAGGGACTTAGAGTTCTGTGTCTGCTGATCCAGCCCCCTTGAGATTTTGCTGTGATGAAAATGGGTGTCACAGATGAGGTTTCCTCAAGGTCATTGTTTTCCTCTTAGGTGGTGAAACTGACACCTAACACTCCTTGTTGTCTTAGGACTTCCTTTTGAATGAATTCAGATACAGAACCTGAATAAAGGGTGTATTTAGGACTCGTAGTCAGAAGAGGCACTGTGAGGATGCGTATCCCGTGGCTTTACTTTAGAAACTAACCCACAAAAGACTTCATCCCAGGAAGGTGGAACAGACATACTTTTTCTTGCTCTTCCCAAGAGTAAAACAAAGAACCCTGGACTCAATGTAGGAAGCACACACAGGACAACTCTGAGGGGGGGAGGAGGAGGCAGAATAGTCACGGGCCTGAGGACCCAGGGAGCAGTGGCAGGGTGAGTTCCCAGGGTTTCTTTTGGTCTCGTGCGTCCTAAACGCAGGGCTTGTCTACTGTGGTGTGTTTGTGCTCCTATAACAAAACATCACAGACTGGGTAATTTATTAAAACCAGAAATTTATTTCCTCATGGTTCCCAAGGCTGGGAAGTCCAAGATCAAGGAGCCAGCATCACAGGGTGAAAGGCAGGAGGGCCAGTGAAGCCTCTGTTAGGGAGGAGCCCTTGTCCTAACCACCTACCAAAGACCCCGCCTGTTCACAGCATTGGCTATTAGGTTTCAACGTGTGATTTTTGAGGGGACACATACAAACCATAGCATTCCACCCCCAGCTCCCCAAAATGCATGTTCTTTTCACATGCAAAATACATTTATTCCATCTCAATACCCCAAAAGTCTTAGCTCATTCCAACACCAACTCAAAAATCTAAATTCCAGAGTCTCCTCTAAATAAGGTGTGACTGAGACTCAAGGAACGATTCATCTGATGCAAGTTCCTCTCCAACCGTGGGCCTGTGAAATCGCACAAGTTCTGTGCTTCCACAGTACAATGGTGGGACAGGCATAGGACAGACATTTCCCTTCCAAAAGGAAAAATAGGCAAGAGGGAGTAACGGGCCCCAAGTAAGTCCAAAACTCAACAAGGCAAACAACATTAAATCTTAAGGCTGCAGAATCATCTTCGACTCCATGCCCCACCTTCTGGACACCCTGGGGTGGGGTTGGGCACCCCAGGTCTCAGGCAGCCCTGCCCCCAGGGGTTGCTGGGCTCAGTTCACCTCAGCAGTTCTCCCAGGCTGGGGCTACACACTGGTGGCTCAGTAGGTCTGGAGTCTCAGGGGTGGCCCTACCTCCGCAGCTACACTAGGCATTGCCCTGGTGGAGACTCTCTGTGGTGGCTCTGTCCCTACAACAAGTCTCTGCCTGGGCACCCAGGCTATCCACAGCATACTTTGAAGTCTGGGTGGAGGAGAAAGCCATGCCCCCACAGCTCTTGCACTCTGTGTGCCTGCAGAATTAGCACCACGTGGACTCTGCCAAGGATGACTGCTTGCATCCTCTGGACACCTGAGCCATAGCTGTGTGACCAAGGAGTGCTGTGCCAGAATGTGGAGAATAGAGACCTCAGATGGCTGTGGGCAGTGAGGTTGCATGGGTGTCCTGGGCTTCTCTCCCTAAACTATTCTGTGCTGTGATGGGCATGGCAACCCTGAAGATCTCCGAAATGCCCTTGGGGCCGTTAGTCCATAATCTTTATGAATAACACCAGGCTTCCTTCAATCCATACTAATCTTATGAAAGTAGGCCACACTGTTGGTTTTCTTCCCTAAATACTCTTTGTTGTTCTTTACATGGCCAAGCTGAGAATTTTTAAATCTTTATATTCTGCTTCCCTTTTAATTATAAATTTTGTCCTTAAATAATTTTCTGTTCTCAAATTTTACCATAAGCAGTTAAGGAAAACTATTCTGAATACTTTGCTGCTTAGAGATTTCTTCTGCCAAATTATCTTAGTTCATCACTCTTAAGCTCTGCCTTCCACAAAGTCCTAGGACATGGACACAATTCAGTCAAGTTTTTTGCCACTTTGTAACAAAGAAAATGAAAATACAGCATATCAAAATTTATGGAACACATCTAAAGCAGTACTGAGAGGGGAATTTTTAGCACTAAAATGCATGCAATAGAAAATAGGAAAAGTCTCAAATCAATCTCAGCTTCTACCTCAAGAACTTCTTGTCTACCTCTCTAGAAAATGAAGAGCAAAATAAACCCAAAGAAAAGCAGAAGGAAGGAAATAACTGAAATCAATGAAATAAAACACAGAAAAGTGGCTGGGCATGGTCACTCATGCCTGTAATCTCAGCACTTTGGGAGGCCAAGGTGGGTGGATCACCTGAGGCCAGGAGTTCGAGACCAGCCTGACCAATATGGTGAAACCCCGTCTCTACTAAAAATACAAAAATTAGCCAGGCGTGGTGGCATGCACCTGTAGTCCCAGCTACTCATGAGGCACAGGAGAATTGCCTGAACCTGGGAAGCGGAGGTTGCAGTGGGCCGAGATTGTGCTACTGCACTCCCACCTGGGTGAAAGAGCAAGACTCCCCAGAGGTATCACTACAGACTCTGCAGATATCAAAAGGATAATAAGGGAAAAAACTGCAAACAACTGTATACACATTAATTTGATAACTTAGACAAATTGGACTACTTTCTTAAAAAGCACAAACTACCACAACTCACCCAACAGGAAGTAGATCATTGAATAGCCCTATAGCTATTAAATACATTGAATTCATAATTTCAATAAAGAAACATTCAGGCCCAGATGGTTTTTCTAAAGAATTCTACCAAACATTTAAAAAATTAGCACCAATTCTACACAATCTTTTCCAAAAAATAGAGGAGGAGGCAATACTTCTCAGTCATCTCATGAAGCCAGTATTACATTGATACCAAAACCAGACAAAAACAAGAAAGAAAGCTAGTGACCAGTATCCCTCATGAATATAACACACAAGCCCATAACAAGATATTGGTAAATATATTAAGCAATAGATAAAGAGAATTATCCACCATGACCAAGTTTTGGTTTATACCAAGGATGCAAAGCTGGATCAATATTTGAAAATTAGTCAACGTAATCTACCATATTAATAGACTAATGGAGAAAAATCATATAATCATGTCAACCAGTGCAGAAAAAGTCTTTGACAAAATTTAACACACATTCATGATTAAAAAAAAAAACAACAAAACTCTAGGACAGATAGGAGTAGAGGGGGGGACCGTCTTACTTATTAATGACTACCTACAAAAAATACCCACAACTAACATGACACTAAATGGTGAAAACTATATACTTTCTCCATAATATCAGGTACAAGGTAAGGTTGTCTGCCTTCATCGCTTTTATTCAACATTGTACTGGAAGTTCTAGCTAGTGTAATAAATCAAGAAAAATAAAAGGCATATGGATTGGAATGAAATAATTGAAACAGTCTCTGGTTACAGATGACATGATCATCTGATTATAAAATCCCAAGGATTCTACAAAAAAAAAAAAACTCCTAAAGCTAGCAAGTTCAAAAAGGTTGCAAGATACAAGATAAACATAGAAAAGTCAATTGTCTTTCTTTGTAGAGCATAAATACCAAAATTATGTACACCAAAATTAAAAATACAATACCATTTAAAATTACAAAAAAAAACCACTTAAGTGTAAATTCACCCAAATATGTACAAGACTTTTGTGCTGGAAACTGCATGATGCTGATGAGAGAAATCAAGGAAGATCTAAATGCATGGAGAGGCATACCATGTTCAAGGATTGGAAGACACAATATAGTAAAGATGTCAGTTTTCCTCAAACAGATGAACAGAATTCTTATCAAAATCCCAACAGAATTTTTTTTGTAGGTATAGTCAAGATTATCCTAAAATTTGTATGGAAAGTCAGAGGAGCTAGAATACCTAAATCAGTCTTGAAAAAGAAGAATAAGATGAGAGGAATCATTCTACCCAATACTAGGGCTTATTATTGCCACAGTAATCAGGGCAGTGTGGTCCTGGGCAGACTGACAGATAATAGAACAGAACAGAGAACTCAGAAACAGACCCACACAAATATGCCCAACTGATTTTTGACAGAGATGTAAAATCAATTCAGTGGAAGAAAGATAGTCTTTTCAACAAATAGTGCTGAAGTAATTGGATGTCCACAGGGAGACAAAAGAACCATGAGCCAAGTTTTACACCTTATATTAGAATGATAAGTTCTAACAATGAACTACAAATTTAAACATGAAATATAAAACTATAAAAGTTTTAGGAAAAAATATAGTAGACAACACTTAGGACCTAAAGCTGAACAAAGAGATCTTAGACTTGATGCCAAAAGCATGATCCATAAAAGGAAAAAATGATAGATTCGACCTTACCAGCATTGAAAACTTATGCTGTGTGAAAGCACCTGCAAAGTGGATGAAAAGACAAGCTACAAACTGAAGAAAATATGTGCAAACCACATAGCTGATAAAGGATTAAGAAATCTCAAATCTCACCAGTACAAAAACAAACAATTCGCTTAGAAAATGGGCAACAGACATAGAGACATTCCACCAAAGATGCCACAGTGAGGGCAGAAGAGCACACGGAAAGGTGTCAGTCAATAGTAGCCAGTGGAGAAGTGCAAGACCTGGGTACCACTGCACACCCTCAGGAGAGCTAAGATAAAAGATAGTGCCAACTTCGAATGCTGGCAGGGATGTGGATAAACTGGGTTACTCCTAAGTTGCTGGTGGGAATGTAAAATAGTATAGCCACTTTGGAAAACAATTTAGCAGTTTCTTTTAAAACAAAATATGCAACTCTCATATGACCCAGCAATTGCACTCCTGGGAATTTATCCCAGAGAAATCAAAATTTATGTGCACATAAATACAGGCATATGAATGTTTATATTCGTTTATTTGTCGCAGTCAAAAACTGGAAAGAACCCCAATGTCTTTTGGTGGGTGAAACGTTAAATTGTACGTCCGCACCATGAACTATTGATACCTGTGACAACCTGGATGAACTCTCCAGAGAATTATGCTGAGTGAAAAAAGCCAATTCCAAAAGGTTACTGTATGATTCCATTTACATAACATTCTTGAAATGGCAAAAGTGTAGCTGTGGAGAATAGTTCAGTGGTTGTGGGGGGTCCACGAGGGGTGATCTGGGAGGAACATGGGTGTGTCCAGGAGGGGCCACAAGAGGGTCCTGTGGGTAGAGACAGCCCAGGTCTGGCTGCGTCATTGTCAGTATGCTGGCTGCAGTCGTGTGCTGTAGTTTGGCAGGATGCTACCCCTGGAGGAAAACGGTACACAAGACCTCTGTTTACTGTTTCTCACAACTGCATGTGAACCTACAGTTATCTAAAGCAAGAAAAATCAGTTCACACCTATTCACTCTCTGTCAACAAACCCACATACACGCACCGCATTACAAGGGCTTTACCAATATGTAGAATCACGTGAAGTGGGAAGAGGGAAAAGGGCTTTCCTTTTAGGGAATTATGACCTTGACTGACTTAAAATCAATATTTGCTTCAGATTTGCAGGTCCAGATCTAAAAGTTTAAATAGATGTCAAAGTAGGTTAATTCAATTTCAGTGACCTTGGTGTTGAGCCTTTGAAACACTGCCTCCCAGTTAAGGCTTGAATAAGTTAACAGTTCTAAGGTTGAATCGGGTGTGTTTAAATATTCAGAGCCGGGCAGAGGGAGGTGGAAGGCAGCAGGCTACACTGTGCTTCGGGCTCCCTCCTGCTCTCTGTGAGCCTGGACTGAAGCCTCCTCTGGTTCAGGCTCAGAGACCTTGCAGCCCCACCCCTCCCTCCAGCCAGGTGGGTGTGGGTGGCCCAGGGATGCTTCAAGTGGCAGGTTTGTTTTCTGGGGATCCCAATGTGATCGTGAACTTGCTGCATCACAGTTTCCTGCCAACCACCTCCTTCTAAAGGAGAGGTGAGGAGGAATCTCCGTTTTCTTCAAATGTTTGGGTCTCCCACAGACCAGTCACCGGATCCTCTTGGCAAAATGAGGACCCCAAGGGTTTAGAATCTGAATAACTTTGCCTTCCTTCTCCTTATCTTTTCAATAGTTTGTGGATTGTTTGGGGCATATCTGGTGGGGAGAATCTGAAAGTTGAAAATAAGCAATAAAATGAAGGGTAAATGCATTACTATTAGTAAATTTCTAAACAGGGCAATGAACACCAGCTAACTAGAAACTGGCATGTCCCCAGCATTTGCTGTTTGGGACTGGAGTCATGTGGAGCAGGAACATAGCATCAGTTGCATCAGCACTCAGGTTTCACTGTGCTGGAGCTCCCAAAACCTAGCGTTTTATGGTCCCAGGGTGTCCATTGTTCCAGCTTCCTCTCCATCAAAATGTCAGAGCCACTGGCCAGAGAGAACACGGGGCGCCCCGTGTGATCAGCCACAAAGCAGGCGACACTAAATGCCCACTTTTGGAATGGACTGTTTACACGGGGGGCAGTTGGTTCTCAGAAGGTCTAAATGGGATGGGCCCGAGGGCTGCTGCTTCTGGGTGATCCTCTGTCCTGTGGCCTGGACTTGGGCCCCACTCCTCCTGGAGAGAGTGAAATGGAATGGCCTCTGTTTACTTCAAGAGTTAAATAAATACAGGCCTTCCTTGCTTGGAGCCGTGTTTTGGAATCAGTATTTACTTGGTGTGCTCTTGGTGAACTGGAAGGTACGTTTCCAGGTCTGCTTTTCTGTAGGAATGTGGGGAAGCTCTGGCCATCTGACAACTGTGTCAGCCTTGGCGTCCTCCTCCTCCAGCCCCCATGGACAAAGGGTGGGTGGGGTTGCCTGGCCCCCTTCTCACTGAAGGAGCTCCCAGGGAACATGGCCCAGACAACAGCACAGCTGCGGGGAGGGGCTCCTCGGTGAGAGGTGGTCACTGGTGCTGAATTGATATGGTGTCCGCTCCCCTCTCAAAAACAAGCTAACCGGTATGCACGGAGCCACAGATCTGCCAAGGGTGTTGGGAGCTCGAAGACCACAGTGCCTGCTCTGTTCCACGTAATTTACCTCTGCAGAGACAGGAACAAGGGTCAGGCAGAAAGCAGGGGTGGGAAAGATCCTGCCTGCAGACTTCACCTGTGGCCGGTGGTTCTAGAGGCCTGGGCAGGAGACCAGCTCAGTCTATGTTTTGTCTGCCCCCAGCTGACCTGGGTTCCCAGCCACCTGAGGCCAGGCCTGCCTTGGTCCTGCGTCAGAGCCCTCCCTGCCCAGGGGAAGTGCAGACCTGGGGCTGAGCCTGACCCCAGCCAGACCCCAGCCTGACAGGAGCGTTCAGCCACCTGGTAGGGGCTGGGTCAGACGGCAAAGGCAGGGAAGACGAGGAGGCTGCCAGGGCCCTGCTGTGGGCACTCGCTGCCTCACCTCTCCTCCCCCTGCATGTTTCCAGGTCGCATATGAGTGTCTAGGTTGGGAAAAGGGTCTCTGTGTGGCCAACGGAACTGTCTGCTCTGAGAACGCTGTGGCATGCTGGGCTTGGCTTGTGCACCACTGCCCTCAGAATGTCATTTTATTGTTGATCTTGTGCCTGATGTTGCGAAGTGAGGTGAGGCCATTGTGGAATGTGCACTCATCCTGGGACTTGCTATGCACTTGTCTTGTCACCCGAGGAGAGGGGAGGTGGCCTGGAGCCTGGGGCCTGCTCTGTCTCCCTGGAACTCCTGTTTCCAGGCCTCACACAAAGCCACATTGGAAGAGAAAGTGTGCCCAGCTCTGCCCACCAAGCACTGTCCTGGGCTTTCTCAGCTGAGCCTTCTCACCTGTCCACACCCCTCCTCCCTGCTCCAGGACACCTCCTGGGGCTGGAAAGTGGCCGAGGCAACCACCCTTTCCTGAAACCTCGAGGAGGCAGCACCCCCGGCTTCTGCCAGCTGCATCCTGACGTGCTGTTGATGCCCTGCTTCCCATTGCGATGTGGAGGACCTGCGGTCATTTTCACTCCCTCCTCATTTAACTTCACTATCCCTTGGCCTTAGTGGAGTTCATAGGGTGAAACCAGAGGAGGGTTTGCATGGAATGACTGCTTTGCTTGGAGCGAGCCTCCCTCTGTGGCATGGCCCTCAGTGGGCTCTTCCCACTGGGCTCTGACTGGCTCCCGAGGGGGCATGGGTGGGCTCAGGGTGTTTTCAGCCCCAGTGGCTCTAACCTGCCCCATGGTGCAGAACAGCTGCTCCAGGACCTCTGGGGTGCTTTTTGCACTCTTTATGGAGCTTGGCACGTTGCTGTGTAAATAGCAGGTGCTCCTAGTCGCTGCTTTGCTGTGAAAAGAGAAAAGCAATCCTGAATATTTAGAGCTCTGTGTGCTACACCTTCCTGCTGTCACCTGTGGGGCAAGTCCAGCACCTGGGGGGCCTGTGGGAGCCATGGGAACTCATGCTGTTTAGGGCGAGTTGGTCACGATGGCTGTGGCTGCAGGGTCCCAGCTATAGTGGAATCCAGCAGCCACAGTTTAATGTAGATGCTGTGCCGTTGGTGACATGGATACTTGCATGCATCAGACCTCCAGAGCTCTGCTGAGTGACGGGCAACATGGCCGGGACCCTGGTCCCAGGCGTAGCCTCTCTGGGGACTCAGGGACCCGAGGGAAAGCTGCCTGAGGCAGCAGGAGAGGAGTGAGGGGCTTCATGAGGTGGGGACCCCGTCCCATTGCTCAGTGCTGGGTCCCCAGCATGAAGTGTCTGACACAGAGGAGGCCTCACACGTCCTAAACCTGCATCAGAGCAGGATGAGTGGAGCCCAGCCCTCCGTCCTGGGTCCCCTTAGGCAGTAGCCAGAGGCTCCCAGCAGCCCCTCAGGAAGCTACCAGCAAACGGAGACATGGGAGCCGCACCCGATGGGTCTGATTGGGTGTGGCTATTTCCATGGCCCATTTTTGTGTTCAGGTTCTGATTGTCTGAACGTTGTGACATTGGCTGATATTTATTTATTGCTCACCACATGCCCGGTTACTGTTCAAATCAATTATATGCATTTAATCCTCGAAATAACCCACAAGGTGGGGACTTTGTGACCCCATTTTACAGATGGGGCTACTGAGGCAGAGAGATTGAGTAACTCCCTCAAGGTCACCCCCTGATAACTAGGATTGGAACCCAGGCAGGTGACTCTGGGACCCAAACTCTGAACCCCTTTGCCATAAGGCAGACTGCGCTGGAGGCTGTTTCCATTCCCCAAAAGAGCCCCTGCGCTCAGCATTTTGTGAGCTTTGAATGTGGAAGCTAAGACCGAGGGCTTGTCTGCTGTCGGAGAGTGGCCACCTACACACATCTTGAATGTGGGTGCCTTTAAAATACAGATATCCAGGAGATCCCCAGAAACGCTGGAGAATAAACGTCAGCTCAGGTTGCCATCATTTAGACGTTGCATTTAGTCCCGGAGGATGGATGCCATACCCAGGGGCCAGAGGCATTCTTCCCTCTGGCTTTTCATTTGGTTTCTTTTCAGTATTTGGAACGTAGAAATCAAGTCTGGATGTCAGAGTATTGATTTAGTTTTCTTTTTTCCCAGGAGGCGTGATTAACAAAGAGCCAAAATGGCAAACTGTGTGGAGGCCGTGGCGTGGGCTGTTCCTCGAGAGCCGTGCTTGTAGGGCTGGCCTGGGAGGGCATCCCTGGTCCGCAGAGGCCGGTCTGTGCCGCAAAGCCTGGGCGCAGGCACGGGAGTGGCAGGAGGGTCCTGGAGTCAAGGGAGCAGCTAAATTTCAATGCAGCAGCTTCTTTTTGCCAGAGATCCAGGTTAAAAAAAGAAAATGTTTCACCTTTTAAAAAATATCATACTTAAGACCTGCATTTGTTCTATACCCAGATCATCTTTTTAGAGCCAAAACATCAAGAAATATGGCCTGAAAAAGGCTCATGAAAATACTGTTCTGAGAATTAAGTGTTAATGACATTCTGAAACCTCACTGTTTAAAGAGATCCACTGCTAGTATAACAGGACCCCTGATATATTTATGCATTTATAAATTTATAAAATTCATTGTTAAAATCGAGCAATGCTGGAAGCGTCTGGCCCACGGATGATGAGGAGGCAGAGTTTTCAGAGGATGCTGGAGGACAGTGCACAGCTCCCTGCCAGTGGCTGCGGCTTTCAGGCTGCTGGGACAGTGGCCGGATGCAGACCTGTGTGGAGCAGCTGCTGCTGCTGCAGCGAGGTTGGCCACATAGGTGACGCCCTGCTAGGCGCATCCAGGTCCAGCCTCGAGGTTGTCCACTTTGAGGCCAGGTCTGCTGGGAATCCAGGCCTGCTGTGTCTACACTCTCACACTCCTTAAACTCTCCTGACCGGGACACACGATGAGGTTTTCCTATCAAACTCTACATGCATTTCGTATGACATCTCTGGATTTCATCAGCTCCGAGTAAACCAAGCCTTACTTACAGCCAGGAAGGCATTCAATACCCAGATCTGGTCACATTCTGCCCATTGGTGCATGTTTTAGAAGCATGTGTGTGTTTCTGCCCACCTCATGGCTGCTGAGGAACAGTGGCTACTGCGTGTCGTTCTTGTGATGCCTTTGTGATTTTGTGTGCAGAGCCTTATTTACAGGCCGCCCCCGAGAGCAAAGGATAATGGTGCATTATCTGTTGACGTGACCCTGGAGAGCTCTAACTGAACTGCACAAATGGGAGAATCCTCCCCTACCGGCCCCTGCTGCTCACAGACAGTACGCTCAGCTCAGCAGGGGCTGCTCTTACAAATGCCATCGCAGCACAGGCGGTCAATGCTTGGCATTTTCTGGGGCCCCTGGTTTCCTTTTAGAGGACGCAGTATTTTCAGAAATGGAGTTCACATGTGTGCTCATCAGTCAGCAGCAGTCAGCTGTGATGTCTCCAAACTGTAGAGGCTTTGGACTTTTTGGCCCACTTTCTTCATAGAACGATAGAGATTTAGGATCTTACTGCCCTAGTTTAATCTTGGTTTGCAGATGAGAGGCCGAGGCCCCGGGGTCCTGAGCCACGTGAGCTGGGCTTCCACCCTGGACTCCATGCCGCGCCTCCTCGCCAGATAGACGCCAGATAGACGCCAGATAGACGTGGCCAGTCGTGCTGTTTCAAGGTCTTATTCCAGTCAGGTTTTTGTTTTATTGATTTTTTTGTTCATGAAGTAGAATATGGTTCATGTATTACATACTTTTCTGTGTGTGTGTTTTTATTACAATATCTCATTTTCATGGGTTTTTATAACTTAAGTTACCTCTAACCTATGACCCTTGTAGTCTCTTCTTCCACCTTGTGTATCCTAATGTGGGAATTCTGCTTTGGTGGATGACTTTTGTGAAGTGAATTAACATACATTTCATTTAGAATAATGCTTTGAGCAACTCAAAGAAAGTGAATTTAATTTTATCACTTAGTTTTTATTTTATACTTAAAGAGCTCTATTTGCCTTATTCAGATTTTTGCTATCAGTGTTGTATATACACAAAGGGAAGCTAAGCAAAATAACTTGGTTAGATTTTCCTAAAATTTCTTCATTCAGCATCCAACTCTTCTGACTCCCTTACCTGGGACGTTCCCCAGCTGTCGCCGTCAGTCTTCCTCAGATGCCAGTTTGTTGAGGTGTTTCTCTTTCCCTGATGCCTCTTGTGCCAACAAATAAAGACTTTCAGCTCTTCCTGGGCTCTCGAGACCAGGCCTGCTGCATTCTCAGAGAAGCAGAACCTTAGGAGATGCGTGGACGTGCGTGGTTCGTCTGTGCCCCGTGTCATGGGCTGGCTTATGTAATTGTGCGGCTGGCATGTCTGACCTCAGTAGTGCAGACACAGGCTGGAGACCCACGCAGGATTTCCATGTGACAGTCTGCAGGCAGGTGTCCGCTTCTCCGGGGGACCCTGTCCTATTCTCTTAAGGCCATGCAGGGATTGAATGAGGCCCAGCCCACTGTGGAGGGGCACATGCTCCATTCGGAGCCAGCTGACCGCAGGTGTTAATCAGCCACATCCACACGACACCCGCACAGCCCCCGACGAGGGTGGGACTGGGTGGCGGGGGCTGGGGCCTCAGCAGGCTGACCCCTGACCCACCAAAGACCAGGCTGCATCCTGACTCACCTTCCTCATTTCCCTGAAATGCATCATTCCTTCCTGGCCACCTGCCTGGCACACGCCCAGGCTGACCGCATGGACCATTTGCTGTCTCCTAGGGTTTGTTACTTCCCGTGCCTTCATTACCCCTGGGGCCTCTCCTCATGCAGCTCCTCAGGCCTGGAATGCCCCCAGCCCTGCTCGTGTGTGGGATACGTGTGCCAGGCACCTCCTGGTGGGATTCCAGGTTCTGCCTTGGGGCTAAGAGCACCTGGAGGCTCAAGGTGACTTCTTTGAGACCCTCCCGCACAGGGTCTGGATGGCTCGTGGGAGAGCCGTGAACACAGAAGCTGCCGTGGAAGCAAATCCTGGGCGGGAGGATGGCTGCACCTCCCCCCGGAGAGCACCGGGGTCCTGCAGGAAAAGCAGAGGTCTCCTGTGGCCGCTATGCCTCTTCCAGAAACTTCCGTACGCACAGAATGAGCGTCGCATCCCAAATGCCTGGTAGTGGTATTGCGGATAAATGTTAACCTAGAGGTTTTTATCTGAAAAGTTCCAGTTTAATTTTTAAAGTCTTGTTTTTACCAATTCTGCTTGTTCAAGACATACCATATGCTTTTTTCCTCTAGTTTTTCTTTTAGAAAGAATTTAATGAATTGTGCTGGGATCACCCTCATATCGTTCTCCCTCACCACCCCCCGTCCTCCGGGTCTCTCCACTCTGGCCCCAGCAGTTGGCGTGTCAGTTATATTTATATTATACATCCTGCCATCTGGGGCTCTCATCGAGAGTTTCTCGGACATGGTGTGACATCAGTGGGTCCTTTGTTTCAGAACAAGCGCGTTCTCCTTACTCTCTGGCACGGCCTCGGTGTTTAGGGGTTTCCTCTCTCTGGGAAGCTGTTCCTTCTCGAGAACACAGTGTGCTTTGTTCCTGCAGTGAGGGAGGAGGGTCATCCTGGGGGGAGAACTCCTGGCAGCATACAGAACAATAGGACAGGAGGATACTGTCCATGGCTGTCTAGGTCTGAGCTGTTCAAAGGTATTCTCCATGTTTCCATGCGTTTGACTTCTAGGTTAGATTTTCTCCCTATTAGAGGGAATATCTCATTCCTCTAGCATAGACAGAGGGGGAATATCTGTTGGCAAGAGGGATGTCAAAACCCAAAAGTGAATTATTGGTAGCAACCCACGTGCAGTACACACCCACGACAACCAAGCTGCACAGTGGCCTGGCATGGTGTGTCCACAGCAGCAACGCACCGGTGCTGGAAACCGAATTTAGACTATTTGGAGTGCACACAGGCTCACGAGGCTTTCTGAATGGTCGTGCCTGTCTCCATCATGGGAGATGCACAGTGGACACGCTGTGGCCTGTGCTGTCTGTGACGGCAGCAGCACCTCCTGCAGGTGTGGGGAGAGCCCTCTCTCTGTTCTCACGCGTCGGGCTGCGGCAGAGGTGCCTGTGTCACCGAGGTCCCTCGGTAACTTCAGGGCAGAGGCCTTCTGTCCCGGACGCCTGCCCTCAGGGGCTGTGTCTTTGTCTGTTTTCTGCTGCTATAACAGAGTATCACAGATTGGGTAATTTACACACAATGGAAGTTTAGTTGGCTCATGGTCCTGGAGGCTTGGAAGCCCAAGATTGAGGGGCTGCATCTGGTGAGGGCCCCTGAGCTGCGTCTTTCCAAGAGACGGCCTCACCCGGTGAGAGAGCGGAGAGACCGAGAGGGGGCCAAGCGCGCTCTCACAACTGAAACAGCGCTCGTCCAGTCATGAGGGCAGGGTCCTCAGACCTGGTCACCTCTTCTTAGGCCCCATGTCCCAGCACGGCGGCATTGGGGGTGAGGTTTCCCACACACGACCTTTGGGGGACACATTAAACCCCAGCAGACTGCCTTGTCCCCTGCTCATTTTGGTTGTTGCATTGAAATGTGGGTGTGATGGATGCTGGAGTTTCTCTCCAAGGGGGCGGGATAGGCTGTCATTCTGGGGAAGGGGGGCTTTGGGGTTTCGGTGTCCAGGGCTGTGTCAGTTTCCTATTGCAGTTGACAGATCACTGCAAACACTGGCTAACCACACACATTCATGGTCTATAGCTCTGGAGGCCAGAAGTTCTAACACCAAGGTGTGAGCAGGGCTAGTCCCTTCTGGAGGCTCCAGGAAGAATCCTTTCCTCGCCCTGTCCAGCCCCAGGTGCTGCCTGCATTCCTGGGCTCATGGCCGCACCACCCAGACCCTTACATCCATCCTCACATCTCCTCCCTGCCTGAGCCTCCTGCTGCCCTGCTGGAAGGACCCTGGGATGACCCTGGATCTCCTGGATAGCCCCCAATGGCTCTCTGTGGTACGTGGGGGCCCAGGTTCTACCGTGAGTGACTGCAGGCCGTGCCGCAGCTCAAGTGGGGGCCCCTGAGGGGCCTCCAGTGTTTGGGCTGCAGTGACCAGGCATCAAAACACACACTTCCAGGGATGTTGGGGTCCTCCCTGACCCTGCTCTTCCCATGCATTCCTACCAAGGGGAGTCTGCTATGCCTCCACGTTGCATCTGCTATGCCTCCACGTTGCACCTGTTCTCCACGTGTGTCCATGTGAGCACACGGCAGAGCCCTGAAGACTTCTGAAGATGCGGGCTGCTAAGCTTTCTGCATATACCAAGTCTTAAAATAATACAAAATGTGATGAAGTGACTCTGCTGTTATTGTATTGTCATTATAATAAAATACAACTGGGCACTAATTTGAAAGTGTCGAGTGATCTTTGCAGGTATTCACTGCTTTGTACTTGGGCAAGCATTTGCCTTCCCACGAGCAGTCTTCTGCCTTGGGGTTCGGTTGGCCCTGCGAGGAGATGCCTGGTTCCCCAGGGGTAATCGTGCAGCAGGGCTGGGGGACAGGGCCTCAAGTCTTCCTCTAAAATCTGAGGAGCTCTGGTTCCTCCTCAGGGAACATGGTCAGGCCTGGTGGGACTGGCCCTGCCGTTCCCTTCCTGCTGCTGTGGGCTTGGTGTGGGGTCCCAGGCCCAGGCCAGAGCCCACCCCTCTCGAGGCCCTTCCTGCCATGGCCTGGCCGGGACCTGCAGCCCTCCTTCCCATGTCTGTGGCCACACACACAGCTGGGCTGTTGAGGGCATCCCCACTGCTACTTCCCGGGAGCTGCAGTCACCCTCAGTGAGCCCCTCTGTCCTCCTAGTTCAGGTCCTTCCGGAAGGTGCTTCCTGTGACACTGAGTCCTCGCCCCAGCCCAGGAGAGGCCACTGATGGATGGCCTGCTGGGGTACGGAATCAGAGGGGCCTCCTGCCTTGCTGTGACCACGAGAGGCCACTCATTCACCCTCACTCCCACCCTCCCGCTCTGCTCCTCACTCACCCACCTCCTCCAGTTTCTGCCTGCGCCAGCTTCTCCGTTGCACAGCGAGGGGACATGCACACACACATGCACACACAAACACGCTTACACATGGGCTCACACCCAGGCATGCACACACACACACGGACACGCACACACATGCACACACAAACACGCTCACACCCAGGCATGCACACACACGCACGGACACGCACATGCATGCACACACACACTTTCATGCAGACATGCTCACACCTGTGCATGCACAGATGCACACACACGCATGCACAAACATGCTCACACACTTGCACACAGTCACACTTACACATGCACACACACTTGCATGCAGACATGCTCACACATGTAGGCACAGATGCTCACACACGCATGTACACACACTCAGGCACATGCACATACACATACACACCTGCACACACACATACAAACACACATGTGGATTTTCCATCTAGTGAGGTGGTGCTGTCTCCTCGGAGGCCTGCATGTGCTGGTGGGTTGCGGTCCCTGTGTGGTGTCGGCTGGGCCTGCTGTGCTGTGAGGAGCCAGCCATGGGGGTGGGCCTCACTTCTAGCCGACCCAGTTGGTGGCCACATCCCTGGTGCCCAGGCCTGGTCCCTGGCCAGTGCAGCCTTCACACCTGACAGCATGGACAGACCCTTCTTGCCCAGACCGCAGCAATCAGGCACTCCCTCTCCTTCAGCTTAGGGCTGCTGGGCAAAGCACAGGCCTAACTCCGGAGCAAAACCCCTGAAGGCCCCAGCTCCCTAGCCGTTCTCCCGGGACCTCCCCCCAGGCTCTGGGAGGGAAGGCCCCAACCCCTACCCAGAGAGGGTATGAGGAAGGAGCCCCCCGTGTGCACCGGCTCTGCCCCTTTCTCCAGGGTACAGGCAGAAGGGGAGCCCCCCAGGCAGCCGATGCCCTCAACACAGTAGTTTGCTGAACCCAGAATCCAGGCATCTTTGCCTTCATTTTGGCTCTTCCAGGAAGAATCCCGTAGGTACCCACTGCTGACCAAGCATCTGGCCTGTCCAGATGCGGGGTGTGCTTCCCCTCTCTGAGCAGCTAAAAGGTGTTTGAAGGGGTGGGTCCCGTGGGTGAGAACCTGTCTGGGCCTGGAGCTCTGGGAGGTGGACGAAGGGGTTCTGGAATATTCCAGGCTGGTGCCAGATCTGTCATGGCAGCCTTCTCTCATGCCTGGCTCGGCTCTGCCCTGGGCACAGACGTCCCCTCTGAAAGGGCCCGTGGCTCCCACCCACCTCCACCACTCTCAGCAGGGAATGCCGCTGTCTCTTCACGTCCTCCTCCCAAACTGGGGCCCAGGCATGTCTCGTGGAATCTTAAGTTGCTTTTGAAGGAATTCTTTCTCCATGGAGCAGATTCCTTCTCCTCCTCTGGCAGGGTCTGACCGTGCTCCTTCTGGCCAGGATTCTGGGGCCTGGCATCAGAGCGGGTGGAGGGTCACTGAGCCTCCGCAGCTCCTCAGAGCGCTCTCTTTGCTCAGGACTCCACAGCGCGGCATGGCTAGGAGGGAATGACTTGTGTGGGGACTGGGATAGGCACCAGGTGGAACCTCAGGTCTGTCAGCAAGGGCCCTCAGGGGGTCCCCAGGGCCACTCACCTCCCTGCACCTGTGTCTCCAGCCAGTCCTGCATGTTGCTGCTCCATAGCCTGTCTTGGTCCCTTTCCTGCTATTGTGGGTAGAATTGCGTCCCCTGAAAAGATGTGTTGAGTTCTAACCCCCAGCGCCTGTGGGTGTGGCCTCATGTGGAGGTAGGGCCGCTGCCTCTGCAGATGCATGAGCTCAGATGGAGTCGCCCTGGAGTAGGAACCATCATCCAACCACCGGTGTCCATGGAAGACAGGGAGAGATACAGGGAGACGGGCTCGCAGCTGGGTGGGGCCACAGCCAAGAGTGCTGGCCCCCCAGAAGCTGGCAGAGGCAGGGCGGCTCCTCCACTGGCTTCAGTGTGCACGGCCACGCCAACCACCCACTTGCTCCAGGCCCCAGAGATTCCACCCCAAGGACGCAGGGGACTCAGAGAGGCTTGGCCTGCAGCCCCCACTGGAAGGGCTGTGGATGGGGTTCTGACACATTCGATGTAACTGAGAGAGGTTGGGTTAACCAGGCTGCCTGGGAGGAGACGGCGTCCACTTGCAGGTGCACTTCGGTGCAGGGTTGCAGGGGGCGGGGGGGCGGGGGGGCCCAGCTGGGGCTGTGCATAGCCCACCTCGGATGGCCCCTGCCCACAGCAACAACTCTTGAGGTTCCCTTGAGGCAGCCCCGGCACCCCAGGTTCTACAGTTGCCCACGTTGATGTCAAGCTTTGAGTTGTGGTTCTTGCCTCAGGAGCAGGTCTCCCCACCATGCAGAAATGGTCTCTAGCTTAAGTGAGTTTGCCTTTTGTTTTTTAACCAAACAAACCCATCCTAGCAATACCCGGGCTGCCCCCAGGATGGCATGAACCCATCATGATGCTCCCTGCGACAGGGAACCCCTGCCAAGGAACAAGGTGCAGAATCCCACAGCGCCCTGTGTCTGCTCATGTGGATGCATGTTACCATAACACGGCACATATAAAAATCATGTACAGATTTCAGAAACTTTAAAATAGCCATACCCTTTGTCCTGTATCTCTACTTGTAGGAAATTAACACAGAGAAACAATCAGATGTGAGATAATGATTTGCCTGTGTGTTTCTTTGCCACAGTGTTTATGACAGTCAAGAATCACTAGAAAACCTGATTAAAATTTGAAACACACATCCCAGGAAATATTCACTCAGCTATTTAAAATCATGTAGAGTAGCAGCATCATGAAAAAACGTTTAAGTGAAAAATTTGTTACAAAGAATAGACATTGCTGTTACAATTTTGTATAAAAAGGCATCAGAAGGATAAAGACCTCTAGGTGATGCTGTTAAAGTATATTTTATTTTTATTTTCTATATTTTCCAAAGTGAACACAATGATTTTATACTCAGACAAAAATACATATTAAGTTACTTGTTTCATGCATCACAACGTAATGGTCATTTGTGTGAGAACTTTAGATGACAGAGTCCAGGTCAGCAATCCTGCCAGATTTTATCCCCAAAAGACCATCTCCTCACTAACTGTCCTCATCAACTGATTCTGCGTTTATAGTTTATGTTAATGTGAATTCCAGACTTCCTTGCTGGGCAAAGCCATAAAAAAAGTCAGAAGTCCAGCAGCTCCTCCTCTTCCTTCCTCTCCTGCCCCTCCCCTCCCTGTCCCCCACTTCAGAAGTGCAGTCCTTCAGTCGTCCGTGTGTGGACCAGGACCTGCTTGCTGCTGGGACACAGGGACCTGTTCACACGTCACACTGGCCCCGGAGGGGGAGGTGCCAGCAGGTGCCCTCCCGTCACCACATGGAGGCTGTCACATACCCAGGTGCCATGTCACCTCCGCTGCAGCATGAGCTCTGGGCACGCAGGAGTCACCAGCCTTGCTCAGTGCTGCACCTCAGAGCCAGCCCTGGTTGTCCGGAATCGAGGGTTCGTTTCCAGATTTCTGGGGCCACGGCTCCAGTGCATCCCTGACATGCTGGGTGTTGTCCCGCGGGGCTCTCCCAGTCACAATGAGCTTGTGAATTTCCTCACAGTCCTTTTCCAGTCTCTACCCTCTCTGATACCCCTCCCAAGACATGGAGTGAGGCTGTGCAGGAAACACCTATGCCTGCCCTTCTGTGGCCGGGGCCACTGTGCCACTCCATAGCCCTGCTCCCCTAGCCTCGGGGTTGGCTCTGGGAGCCTGGCCCTGCCTGCTCCAGCTCCCATTTCTCACCTCCGCTTTGTGGCTGATCATCCAGAAAGGTCGCCATGAGGATGTTTGGTATCCAGGTGTCGCTTTACCTTCAGCCTCCCTCCTGGGGCGCCTCTGGTTCCCGGGAGAGAGGCCGAGCCAGGGATGGAAAGAAGCCCATCCCTTGGGACACACGGCTTGGGACCTTACCTAAGTGTCCTGGGTCTACCTGTCGGGAACTCTGTGGATGCCATTCCCCTCACGACACTACAGGCGTCCCCGATGCAGACACCACAGGTCTGCATCTTTGTGCCTCTGTGTGGCCTGGGGCAAGTCGCTGAACCTCTCTGCATATTCTGTAAAACGCGAAAAACAGTGCCTTCTCCCAGCTCTCTGTAAAGACCAATAGTTTACAGCATGGGGAGCACTCTGGCAGGTACCTGGAGCGCCTAGTGCTCCCTAATGCCAGGTGTAATGGTGACAATCGTTCTTTAGGCAAGTATTAAATGATGTTTATGGAAAGATGGCATCATCTGTGCTATAATTTAAGGCAGAATAAAGACTAGACAGAGCTAGAGAGAGACTTAGCTGAACAAATCAGCTCCTGAAATTGTGGGTGTTGGAAGGTCCAGGGGCAGCTGGGGACTGGGGAGAGTTGGGTTGCAGTCCAGGCTGTCTGGGAGCAGAGCTCCCTCTTCCTCAGGGAACCTCTGTCTTTTTCTCTCAAGCCCCTTGATAGATTGGGTGAGGCCCACCCACGTTATGTCACACACCTTACTCAAAGTCTACTGATATAAGTGTCAATCTCATCTAAACATACCTTCACAGAGACATCTAACCTAGCATTTGACCCAATATCTGGGCACGGTGGCCCAGCCAAGTTGACAAGTAATAAAGCCAATGACCACAGAGACCAAGGGTCTCCACCCTGGTGCCCCAACATGACATGGTGCCAGCCAGAGGATATTGGCCAGGGGACAGAGTGGATGGCACAGGGTTGAGGAAAGAAGCCAATAGCATGTGTGGAGATGCCCAAGGGGTGAAGAGGGAGATCGGAGAAGCGGGACAGGCCAGAGGGTGTGGCCCTTTCCTTTCATCTTGCTTTTAAGATGCAACAGATTTCAGCAGTGTTTCTCAAAGTGTGGACCAGCACATTCAACATCCCAGGAAATTTTGCTAGAAATGCACATCCTCGGGCCCCATCCCAGACCTCCTGGATCAGCAAGGAGCCATCAGAGCCCAGCTGTGTGAGCTTAACAAGTCCTCGGTAGATCCTGACGCAGCCCAAGGCTGGGCAGGCTGGAGGGCACCTGCATGCCAGGAGAGCGGCCGGGAGAAGAGGGCAGGTGCTCAGAGGGAGTGTGGCCTAGGGCCGTGTGGGCTGAGGACCAGGGAGGGTGTTGTGCCTTAGACTAGTGGAAAGGGCAGGGCCTGCATTTCAGGACCCTTCTGCCTGATGACAGGCTTTCCCTGAAGCTGGAGGGGCAGGGTTGGGGTGGGGGGGCGGTGGGGGATGGGGAGTGGTGAAGGTTCCCTGAACTGACAGGGAATGAGAGGAGCAGACCCATTTGAGGGCACTTTTTGCAGACCATGTGTAGACAGGAGGTAGCAATTGTGCCGCCGTAGGCACCCTGGGCAGCCCAGGGAACGCTTGTCCACAGAGGGAGAGGCTCCCATCCACTCTGAGGCCTTTCCAGAGTTCTCCTTTCACTGGTCTCCAAAGAGATTCTGTAGAACCAAGTGAAACTGCTGATACTCAATACGTTTCTCATGTTAAACAAAAACAAAAACAAAGCAGCCATTTCTTACAGATTTATTCAATACTTTCTATCTGGTTATTATGCCTCTTATTCTGTAATTATTTTTTATTATGAATTATTTATTTCCAGATCTGTCTGGCCTATAAGGCCTGTAGGCACTATAAGGGGGAGTACTGCGTCACCTTCATCTTTTTATCCCTTTGGCCTTGCTCCGTGCCTGAAAGCTCACCACACTGGAACGTCCAGGTGCACATGTGCCACTGGACACCGGGATGTTGCCGGATGCTCTTTTGGACGCTGGAATGCTGGTGCATTGTTGCCGGATGCTGGAATGGTGCACGCACGCTCTGTTGGACGCTGGAATGCTGGTGCATTGTTGCCGGATGCTGGAATGGTGCACGCATGCCCTGTTGGACTCTGGAATGCTGGTGCATTGTTGCCAAATGCCGGAATGGTACACGGATGCTCTGTTGGACGCTGGAATGCTGGTGCATTGTTGCCGGATGCTGGAATGGTGCACGCATGCTCTGTTGGACGCTGGAATGCTGGCGCATGTGCACATGTTATTGGCATGAGCTGTAGTTCAAACCTCAGCCATATGATGCTTGAATTCCCAAACCATTCGTGGAAATGTGTACTTCTTCCTGCTGGAATTCTCTCTCTCTCTCTCTCTCTTTTAACTGATTGGGGAGTGAGGTGGGGGGGGGGGTCTTGCTACATTGCCCAGGCTCAAACTTCTGGGCTCAAATGATCCTCCTGCTTCTGCCTCAGCTTCTGCCTCGGCCTCCGGAGTAGCTGGGACTACAGGCCTGAAATACTGTTTCTTTAAGGAAGGGCATGTTACCTATAATACCAAACCACAAAAGGATAGCTGCGGTTTTGGGCGAGGAGAGCTCAGAGAGTTTCTTGCATATGGCCCTGTGATGGCGGCCATGGCCCTGCATAGACACGAGCTGGAATCTGCAGGTGGCAGCCAGGACGCTGCGTGTGTCGAGTGCACAGTGTGGCTTGGTGCCAACCATGGCGAGGGTGGAGAGCCCCGTGCCTGCAGCGCGCGCTTCCCTCACTGGGTCCTGCGTCCTTGGGCAGGCGATGCCCCTGCGGGGAGGGGCTGGTCCATCCCCGGCCAGCCACGGACCCACGCATGGACCCAGCGACCCACGGACCTGCTTACCTGGGCGCGGCGCGGGTGGCATGCGGCCACACGGAAGGGGCGCGCTGGGCTGCTGCGGCCTCTGCAGCTTCTACACCTGCCACGGGGCGGCCGGAGGTAAAGGGAGGCGGCGGCCAGGCGCGGCCCCGCGGAGGCAGCTGCACTCGCTCGGTCCACTCGCGGCTTCGCGGCTGCCCGCAAACCAGGAGGGCGTGGAGACCCGGAACCGGGGGGAAGGGCGGGGGCACTTGTGCGGCACCCGCGGGGCTCCCAGGGGACCTCGGCGGTGACACGAATTTCTAGGTGACCTTGGCGGTGACACGAATTTCTAGGTGACCTGTGTGATACACTAGGTGACCTAGTGACACAGGTGACACTTCCAGGTGACCGCGGCGGTGACCCGCGGGGCTCCCAGGTGACCTCGTTGGTGAGCCCCGGGGCTCCCCGACGACCGCGGCGGTGACACGCGGGGCTCCCAGGTGACCCCGGCGGTGCACTCACAGGACTCCCAGGTGACCCGCGGTGGTGACACACCGGGGCGGGCGCGCGCCGCTTCCGCTTCCGCCGAGCCGCCCCCCGCCCCCCGCGGCGCAGCGCGCGCCCCCCTCCCGGTGGCGCGGAACCAATCCTGGGCAGGGAGGCGGCGGCTGGAGGCTGAAAGCGCTGCCGTGGCCCCCTCCCCGCCTCCGCCGCGCCCCCTCCGCACTCGCACGGCCCCACCCGCAGGCGCCCCCCGTGCGGAGGAAGCGGATCTGCCAGGATCATTTTTGTTGTGTCGGAGGATGAGGTTTTGGCTGAGGACTGAAGAGATGGCCTTGGAAGAAATGGTGCAGAGATTAAATGCGGTTTCCAAGCACACGGGTAGGAGGAGCTGCTGGCCGTCAGTGATCTGTGCTTAAGCTTGACATCATGGGCTGAAATGTGGGGAAATGCGTCTGATTTTTGTAAGCCGCCCTCGTGTTCCTTTCTAGCCGTGGTAGCTGTGACATGGGGGGCACTGGTTGGCAGCTGGTGTGTTTTCAGAGGCTGTCGGCGATCGTATGCTGCCCGGGATAGTCAAAATGACTGCACGTTGGTGACACTGGCTCTCTCAGGGTTGCTGGGTCTGCATGCGGAGCCATTTGTGTGTCTGAAGTCTGCCCATCAACCTGCCTGTCCGCAGCCCTCGCAATGGAGAATGCATTGCGAATGGAGAATGATCTGAGCCAAGGGCTTTCAGAGCTTGGGGTTTCAGAGCCAGGGGTAGGGATGGTGAAGCTACCTGGAAGCTCGTTTTGAGGATGAAAAAACCTGGACTAATCAGGTGGTTCTTTTCTTCATTAAATGCAATTTAAACCTAAGACAGATGTTTGAGACGGTATGGGTAAAGAGTGGACTGGACGTTCATTTTCAGTATTAATCGAAATATTACTTCAAATAAGCTTTGAAGAGTAGTTCAGATCGATTCTTTTAGGTGTAAGCAGAGACTGGGCTGACAGCTTGCATCTGGCCGTGGCTTTCAGGCGGTCGCATCTGAGTTCTCAGGCTGTGTTATGCAGAAGGGAGAGGCATCCTTAACTCGTTTTCCTTGAAATGAAGAGGAAATAATGATATATCATTAAAAGTAAGTTGCCAAGTGTTTTGCCTGATGTTGCCATATGTTATGTCATATATGCCATTACTAGTTGTCTAACTAGTACTTGCCTGGGAGATTAAAATGTCAGTTGCTTGGTTTGGGTGTGGTTCTCTTTCTCTGCCCACCCCGATGGATTCTGAGAGTGAACCAGTGATTAAATCAGCATAAGCACCATCGTATGGGATGGTCTAATCAAGATGTTTTTAATGGGGGCTTTTATGATCAAAGCTGCTGGGTTTATTGTATGTGGGTCGAAAGAAAACAAAACCATTTTCATGCCGTCTGCTCCCTGATTCTTAGAGAATCAGCTCTTTTTCTGAAGCTTGAGTGGAGCTTTTCCGTGCAGGGTTTGCAGGGTTTGAGTATGGTGAAGGGCTGCGTGGATGCCAGGTTCACAGGGAGGCTTCCGATCGGCTGTGGGGGTGGAGGAGAAAGCCCCCCTTGCTCTGCATGCCTCTGCGTGCCGTTCGGTGTCAGAGTCACAGAGTGGGAACCGCTCCAGAGGCTGATGTCATTCCCCAGGTTTTTAGGGATTGGGGTTTCTTCATGAGCTCCAAGAGACATGTGCGCATTTTTAATTGGAAAAAGGCTATCTCAGAAGAGCAGCAGTGACACTGTCTGCTCACTGAATGTCGTGCGAGCCGGGCGCTCGGTGTGGGCCATCGTCTCATCTGGAACAGGCAGTGAGATGTGCGTCCTCCCACACATCTGCATTACCGATAATTGCATGCTTCACCAGGACTTTCAAGTCCAGCTTACCAGATATCCTCGGTTATGAGCACCCTGTAGCGTTTAGTTAGGGGAGGTGACCCTGCATCATACTCCACTTACCACCCATTAACACTGGCCTCTTCCTTCAGCACAAACCCATTTTCTGCTCACGCTGTGTGAGGTACTGCTCAGCGGAGGCAAGTTATTAGGTTGAAGGCTGTAAAACCATCATGAGGGGGTTTATGATGCAGTATTGACATGATGCTACCACAGAGTGTACGGGTATGTGGTGCACATTCTCTGGTAGGGGTGAAGGTCAAGGTAAACCTGATCCCCACCTCGGGTTTAAATTCCAAGCACTTCCTCAGGAGAGTTCCCCACCTGCAGCCAAACACTCTTCAGCGGGAGGTCATGGAGCTGCTTCTCCTTCTGGGGTCATGCTAGGATCCGTGCCAGGTAAAAGCTGATGGCAACAGGACACTGATGTGGCGGCTGGTGTAGGTCCTCAGGGCAGTGGCGGGGCTAGGTCACAGCTGAGGGATTGCGTACAGCGGCTGGCCTTAGAGCAGCTGCCTCATTCAGCTGTGCAGAGCTTCACCCTCTGTAGATTCACCCCCAACCCACAGGCATTTTATCTTTGCTGCTGTCCAGGACATGCTGCTGTGTTTTAATTTCAGATTTATGCATTTCTTCTGTCACCTAGAACCTTCATTAGCTAGGCTAATCTGCATGTAAAGGAGGATAATGTGTGCTGTCCATATGGTCTGTGAATCTGTAGCCTTTGACCTTGAGAATTGACATTTTATATACTTTTCTGAACCTGATCTTCAGTAACAAGGCCAGGGGCACTTTCCAGTGGCAACTTCCCCCTGGCCCCCCTTCTATGTGATAGGGCTCATTTTCGTCTGTTTTGGTTTTCTCTTTGGAATTTTAGTCATTGGTGAAAAGGTAGAAGACATTCGAGGGAGCAATGCTATGGATCTAGTTGATTTAAGCATTCGATGAAACAGAACAGTGGTCCTCCAACTACAGCATGTACATGCGTCACCTTGGGGGCTTGTTAAAGCACAGGCTGCTGGGCCCACCCTCAGAGTTTCTGATTCAGGAAGTCTGGGGTAGGGTCTGATAATTGACATTTCTTAAGTTCTTGATGAAGTTCTTCAGGAATCAAACTTGGGGAACTACTGTGGTAGAAGAATCTTTAAATCTAGCCCCACCTTTTCCATTAGTTGACCTAATACTAACTCTTGTCATAGACAGATGATGATAGATGGATAATGCATGGATAAATGAGTGGATGGATGGATGAATGGGTAGATGGGTGGGTGGGTGGATGGATGGGTGGGTGGATGAATGTAGGGGTGGATGAATGGATGTGTGGGTGGGTGGATGGATGGATGGATGGATGATGATGGATGGATGGATGTGTAAGTGGGTGGATGGATGGATGGATGGATGGATGGATGGATAAATGAGTTAGTAGATAGTGGATAAGTGGGTGGATGGATGGGTGGGTGGATGAATGTAAGGGTGGATGAGTGGGTGTGTGGGTGGATGGATGGATGGATGATGATGGATGGATGGATGTGTGAGTGGATGGATGGATGTGTGGGTGGATGGATGGATAAATAGATAAATGGAGGATGATGAATGGGTAGATGGATGGATGAGTGGATGCTTGGACGGATGAGTGGATGGATGGATGGATGAATGAGTTGGTAGATAGATGGATGAGTGGATATATGTATGTAAGGTAGATGGAGGGGTAGGTGGATGGGTGTATGGATGGATGGATGACTGGATGACTGGATAGATGAATGGGTGGGTGGATGGATGGAGGGAGGGAGGGATGGATGCATAGATGAGTGGATGCATGGAGTGGAGGAGTGGATGGATGGATGGAAGGTGGATGGATGGATGAATGGATGGATGGATGGATGAGCAAAAGCTGTGTGCTGCCTCCTGTCCTTAAGCTCTTCCTGGGAAGGGCCTGTGGCCTGAGCAATGGGCTGAGGGACACAGCAGCACGGAGGGGCTTTGGGGGATGAGGGGGCTTCCCAGGACCACCACACAGGCACAGCTGTTCGGCACCCCCCAGTTGCAGGTCTCAGAGGAAAAGCTCTGGGGGGACGCGCCCAGGAGGCAGGGGCACGCATTTCTGTGTGGAATTGAAGAGCTCTCAGTGGAGTAGGTGCGGCTCCCTGGCAAAATGCCACCTGCTTATTAGCCAGCCCAGCGGTTTCTGACGGACGCCTTAGCACTCCCCTCTCACGCCTCTGCCTTCGGCCTCAGTGATTGGCGTCTCCTCAAGGAGCCATGATTTCTTTGTCCATTTTTTAAATGTGCTGAGGCCCTTTAGGAGAAAAACCACGCAGCCAAATGAGGTACGTCTGTGTGGGTTGCTGACTATTTTGTAACATGAAATTTAGGTCTCTAATTAGATAGGTGTGACTATAAAGTACAGAAACATTTAAAAAACAATTAGCTTTCATGGGATGTTGTTATGGATCTTGTTAGTAGGGATTCCGGAGCAGGTTTTAGAGATTTGAGCGGAGGGAGGCTTGTGAGGAAACCGTGAGTCCTCTGAGCATCCTTGGTGTCCTGTGTTGCTGACCTTCTGTGATCTGACGCCACGGCTCAGTGCTTCCCAAGAGCTCCTGAGAACGCAGCGCTCAGGCCTCCCAGCTGGGTGAGTCTGACGCCCTCCATGCGAAGACGGCGCGAGCACGGCTTCACCTGTGGAACCAGGGGCAGACTTATGAGCTCCCGGGGGTTTCAGTTCCGGCCTGCTCTGAGGACACTGGGGGGCCGGCCCTGTGTTTGCTTGGAGCGCCCTTCAGGGAGACCCGTGGCTCCAGGGGCTGGCGCTGAGTGACCACAGGCAAGGTCTCAGGAGTGAGTGATGCCAGGCAGCACCTGAGAAGGGGATGCCTGCGAGGTGTGTTCCGAGTTTCATGGGGACTTGTGTTGGCCACCGCCTCCTGAGTCACTGGCCCCTTTTCACGCTGCACCTGTGCCTTGGGATGGTGGCCGCCTTCCAGCGTCTTCCTGATCTCCGTCTTCAAAGCCGCTCCTGACTCTTCCACTGCCCCCTCTGACCCCATCCCCCACTGTTTCATCAGCTCCCATCCTGGCGCTTCCTCACCTGGTGCCTCATTGCCCGGCACTTCCTTATCTGGCATTTCATCACCTGCCGCTCCACATCACCTGCTGGCTTCCTCCTCCTTTAGTCTTACGTTTGGAGTTCCCTGCATTTGGCTTCCCTAAGGGTAAGACCACCTTCTATAGTGGTGCAAACTCCCCCTCAGAACTAGGGGCACCAGTTCCGCAAAGGCACCCGGGCATGGCTAACCTCTGAGTCTGCAAAGCCCCTTGCGTGGCTGACTTCCAGGTCTGCAAGGGCCCCCGGCGTGGCCAACCTCTGAGTCTGCAAAGCCCCTGGCATGGCCAGCCTCTGAGTCCATGAAGCCCCCGGCGTGGCCAACCTCATTGGATGAGTTTGCTTGGACTTTTGCACCCCTGGCATGCTGCTGTTCTGCTGCTTTTCATAAGCCTGGCCCCTTGGGTGTGGAAAGTGCATGGATTTTAGGGGTTCCACTCATTTTGCAGACGTTCTGGGGAAAATCACATTTGTTGATCATCAATACCAGCTGAATACCAGAGGGTGCACTCCAGAATTAGACCTTCAGGGACTAGTAAATATGAGAGATACTGGAGGATGAACTCCAGAATTAGAACTTTAGGGACTAGTAAATATGAGAGAAGCTGGCTCGGGAGACCTGCTTTCGCCATAATAAAAAACAAGGCATAAGCATCACAATCAGAAGTTCTCCAGGCTTCAGCTGCTCATGAAAGGCATGCTATGTCTGACAAACACATTTTCATGAGTAGAGAATAATTTTAACAGACTCTAGGGTCTACTGACTCATAATTTAACCAAATACAGTTTCTGGAGCCAAGCTGGTTCTGCAGCCTAATTATGGAAAGCTCGGCTGCCTTTTCCGTGTGTTTCGTTTCCTCCGCCGCCTACGACGTGCAGGCAGCACTCTCAACATAGCCCCTTCTTTCACCAGAACTATCGTTTCCACGTCAGCTCACGTCACCATCCGTAGAGTTGGAAGGATACCACTGTAAGTAGTATTTTCACACTTCTACCCTTCGGATTAACTCAGAAGGTATCTGGTCACATTCATTTTATAACTCTGGGTGTGGAGAAAGAAGCATCTGTTACGCCTTTTGGAATGTTTACAAGCTAACTGCCCTTGTCTGATACACACACAAAAATGGAGCTGCCTACATTGGAATTCTAGCGAAGTACTGAAGTTAGAATGTCTAATGTCTGGTGGTCATATGTGGATAAGATGTGGGATGAGGTTTGCACCTTGTGAGGTTAGCGGGGCCCCTATGAAGGGTTGCATTGACTATTAGGTTAAAATCACTGGTGCTGGACCCGTGACCTGTGAGGTCAAACCCCAGCTCTGCCATCTGTGGCTGTGTGGTGCCTCGGTTTCCCCATCTGCAGAATGGACTCAGGAGAGCACCTACCTGCTAGGGTTGATGTGACAATCAAATGAGTTAAATCTGCATGAAAAGCACTGAGAAGCACCCAGCAGGCAGGAAGCTGTGGGGACCCGTTTGCTGTTAGGGTCACTTGTGCACATGGTCAGTGCCGGCGGGTACCCGCCATGAGCACCTGTGCACAGCAGGGAGCCGCTGCCGTGGTCATCCTCAGGGAGCCGCTGCCGTGGTCATCCTCACATACAGTTAGGTGTGTGACCGCACTGACGATCCCAGTAATGAAGTATGTGGGGATTTTCCAGGTAAATGAGAAGGAAAAGGAAGGTTCTGAGAGGAAGGGTCTGTGGTTGACCTCGTTGCGGTCGCACGGTGATAGAGGTGACATCCGTGGTCACTGTTCTCCCAGATGCCCACGGTCGCAGAGAGCTCGAGCCCGGGCTTCAGCACGCAGCACCTCACAGGCCCCTCTGCCATAGCAAGCTCCTGGCCTCCCTCCCTCCCTCCTTCCACCCCAGGAGCCTTTGTCCAGTGTAAACCCCAGGAGATGCGCAGTGCTGGGAAGAAACTGAACCTTTGGGAAGAGACACTCAAGAAAACTTACAGTTGCGAGTTTGAAAATACAACAGATCCGATTGTTCCTTCTAAATTATGGGATTGCCTGGCATTTGCCTCTAAATTGGGCTCTCAGCGAATGTTCCGGGTTTTTTTTTTTGTTTGCTTGTTTGTGTGTGTGTATGTGTGTGTGTGTGCGTGTGTGTGTGTGTGTGTTTGCTTTACTCCTTTATTAATAATGTTAAAGAAATGAGACAAATCCCCAAAGCATGAAAACCAATTTCTCAGCATTAGTCATATTACTTAATTGTGCTACTTAATTCACTAAAGGAAAGAACTAGTATTAAGTTTCATTAATGACATTTTTGGCAATATATTAGAGATGGTGAGCTAATGCCCCAAACAAGACTTCGTTTCTGTAAGAATGCCTTATCTTTTAAAACGAAACTTGTCATGGACAATGAAGAGAAGCATTCCAGCTGGAGCACCTGTTAAACGCTGCACAGGGGACCACACGCGGCTCTGGGCTCGGCCTTCAGGTCGCTCATGGGGCGGCAAGGCTGTGGCGGACGGCAGTGTGTGATGCTCACGCGGGGAGCAGCACTGGGTCACCTGCACCTCTGAGGCAGAGCTGTGTGGCCTTCCCAGCCATTCACCAAAGGTGCCTCCACCAGACCGGAGCCACGACCTTCCCTGGCGGGTCCCGGGCTGGGACTGAAGGAGAGGAGGGGCTGCTCGGTGAGTGGCCTCTCAGACACCATGGCGGGAAGACGACAGAGCCGTGAGGAGACACACACCAAACCGGACACACAGGCCTCCTGGGCAGCGGGAAACCTGGAGACAAGGACCTGGTCCAGCAGGGCTGGCGCAGAGGGGTTGGGGTCGCCCAGTCGGACAGTGCGGGGCTTCCCAGTGCTGCTGTCACTACCCTGTGGGGGCTGCATGGGGGAGTCATCGGTTTCCACAAGCACGCTCTGTCCTTCCCTGCACCCCACGCTTTACTGAGAGAGGAAACGAGACACCTTCGTCTGTGCCACAACCCAGGTGTGCACGGCGGCTCCCACCCGCATCAGCCCAGGAGCGCTGAATTTTAAATCACCCAACAGCTCATTTAAGACCGGCCCTAAACAACTCCCTACTCCACGACTAATGGAGTGGCTAATGTAAGACTCTTTTACTGCCAAAAATGATACCACTTACTGATATGGATTTCTTAACAGTAGCTTGGGGCCACATTGTATAAAATAGACTCCCGGGGTTCACAAAAGTCAACCCACTTCTCAGGGGCCCAACCATTCTCGAGCCTCCCTGAAGCCAACCAGCGGGGTGACAGGAAGAACTTGGATCTCACATGGGTTTTTTGTGTTTTCTCATGGAGGGGCTACCACGGAGCTTAGGGAGGAAGTGGCCCCCACCAGCCAGGAGAGGACGGCCGCGTTTTCACGATGGTCGCTGAAGCCAAAGCTTGTATGAGCTACATATAAGAAGAAATCAGCAGATCGTGAGTGAGGTTCATATCTCAGGATTAATTTTTGAAAAATGGTTTTAATTAGTAACATCTTTAAAACTATTTAGATGTTTAGGACATTGAATGATGAACGTCTGTGCACATCCAATCTGCGCAGCTGGAAGTGGCCCTGCTGTTCCGATTTCCTTGACTTCCTCAGCACCTTACCACGCACAAGGGAAGGAAAGGCAGAGAGAGAGGTTTGGTGTTGACCCCAGAGGCGACCCTGATGGCTCCCGTGCGCACCGCTCACTGCTTCCGTGAATACAAAGCCTGTCTGCGTCTGTCCTTGTGGATGAAACCAACATTTAGGGCTTGATTTCCTGGTTATTCAAAGAGGCCCTTGGAGGCTCACCTTAGGTCAGGAGTTGGAGACCAGCCTGGCCAACATGGTGAAACCTGGTCTCTACTAAAAATACAAAAATTAGCCGGGTGTGGTGGCGGGGGTCTGTAATCCCAGCTACTTGGGAGGCTGAGGCAGGAGAATTGCCTGAACCCAGGAGGTGGAGGTTGCAGTGAGCTGGGATCATGCCACTGCATTCCAATCTGGGGGATAGAGCAAGACTCTGTCTCCAAACAAACAAACAAACAAAACCAAAGAGGCCTGAGCTCTGGAAACACCACGCGAAATGCGCCATCTGTTTCCCCATTTTCATGTGAGTCAGGTTAGGGCTGACCTGTCCTGGGCTTGCACACAAGCCCCCAACAAAACGGGGTTCGTGGTCTCTGCTCCTGGGTGGCTGAGACATCGATCCCATCACCCTGCTTTCCTCTGTAGCTGTTTTGGGGGATGCAGCACAGACAGCAAGCGTCCAGCTGCTTCAGGGGACGGCAGCCTTGGGACCACCTTGTTGCGTCTGGCAGGTGGGTGTGGAAGGCAGGAGGGGGATGGTATGTGGAGCTCTGTCTTTCCTGGCAGAAGCTGGCTCTCAACACCTGTAGCTCTCAGAGGAGCAAACCCAGCACAGAACACTTTGAACAGAATCACTGTATTTGTGGAGGCTAATAGGACACCAAGGCGCCACCTCTCAGGCTGTGGAAGCAGCCTTTTCCTCTTGATGTCCCCGATGCCAGTGGGAGGACATGGTAGGCAGGGACCCTCCATACGTTCTGGGAGCGCCTGTGCAGGGTGGCAGGACGGGTGTGCACTCAGTAAACAATGTTGAATAAATGCCTTCTTTTGCTGCAAACCAGATGCGTGTTCTAATCACATCAGCTCACAGAAGGGCACATGTGGTGCTCCAGACAGCATGTGGGCTTTCACAAGCAGGCCTGAGCGCCAGCCCTGCCACCTTCTCTTCCTGTGGCCTGGAGCACATAACAATGAGTTAAAATGGCACTAGGCCATTTGCACGGCCTTGCACATCAGCTGTGAGGCCTGGAGCCCTGTGTGTGCCCAGCACGGTGCCCAGGGACTCTGAGAGCCTGAGGGTGGCACGTCACCTCGGGGGCCATTGGGAGCCCTGGATGCTGTCACCTCTCACCCCTCGGAAGCAGCCATGGGGCAGAGGGTGGGAGCTGCTGGCTTGGGACGGGCTCAACACCTCTTGGGGAAAAGCATCTCCGGCCACGCAAAGCAACCTCATCACTTCCTCCCTCGAGGAGCTCGGCAGCAGACGGGAGCCACAGGCGTGGAACTTCCCACTTTGTTTCAGGACAGCCAGCAGCACGTCCCTCCCTTCCTCTGGGTTTGTAGTTGTTTGTTTGAACTTGAGACTTCCTGAGGCCTGGAAGGTGTTTTTGGCTTGCTCCATAAGGCAAGGAGGTCCAGCCCACGCAAGCCCCCGCCCTGTTCGAGGAAGGAAAGGCCCAGAACTTGCACACAGCAGGCAGGCCCAGCGGCTGGGTTTCTCTAGCACCTCGGCATTGTCTGCCTGCTCTTCCAGGCGTGCAGGGCAGTGGTGGCTCGGGCCAGGCTCTGGGAGGCCGGGCACTCTGAGGAGGTGGCTCAGCCCTCTTGGGTTCTTTCTTGTGAGTTGGCGAAGCCCAGAGTCACCAGGGTCCTGAGCACCTGTCTCTTGTGACCATGCGGCACCCGCCCGGCTTTTAGCTGTCGCAGCAGAGACCCGAAGGCTGTGGCTCTAGCATCAGGGGGTCGCCTGTGGTCCCTGCGTGAAGAACCAGAGCTGCCTCCGCTTTGTAGCAGCCTTTGTGACAGGGCGGTTCGATGGCCGAGAAGGGAGCATCCCGGGGAACCCTGCGGCGGCTGTGGTCACTGCCCAGGAGGCGCCGGGGAACTGCAGGGCGCTCGAGGCCAGGTGAGATACAATGGGGTCGCAGGGCATGGGGGCAGGTGCTGTGTCCCCTCTGCAGGTGTCCTCTCTGCGGGCAGGTGCCTCCCTGGGGTATTTCTCTCACCACTTGACCAGCAAAAACCTGTGCAGCTCGGAGACTTCTTAAAAAGGTAGAGATAACTGCTGAGCATCCCACTCCAGGTCTGTGGGTCCAGTTTTCTTTGTTCATCTCTGGGTCGGCCCTGTCCTGCAGTTCTGGAACCTGGGCTTACGAATTTCCGCTCCGATTGGAAAGACGAGTGGACTCAAAGCGAGGGAAGCGGCAGTGGTGGGTTTAATGAGGCTCCCCGGGCACACGCGGTCTGTGGGCAGGTGGGTGTCCTTTGCATCACAAGAGGTGTGTTTTGGGTGGGATGAGGGTGCAGAGCTGTCACAGGCGTGGCCCAGGCCAGGTGGACCAAGAATGCCATTCAGGAACAGCACGTTTGCTCGGCCTGATGGAACAGCCTAAACTCTCACAAGTCACAGCCAGTGCTTTTGTTCACTTCAGAGGAGCAAGGGCATTCTGCTGGCTTGAGGGGGAGAAAGGAGCTTGTTGCTGATTTCCGCTCCATCCTGCCCTTTCCCCTGTCTGGCGACCTGGAACCACGGTGGGCTGTGGAACGTGGGGCAGAAGTTGGCTGGGGCCAGCCCCCACCCCTGCTTTGACTTGGCTCCCCACGGAGTTTGGGAGCATTTATTTCAGAGATGGATGGGCGGCGGCTGGGCATTGGCAGGTGGGCGTCAGGGAGAGGAAAGGGAGGCAGCGAACACATCCAGGCGATGCCTGACTGTCCTGGGGCTGAGCGGCGCCAGCCAGGAGGGCCACCATGCGCAGGAGAGCCTCTCAGGCTGCCGCCTTCCCCTTTCCCCCGCCTTCCCCTTTCCCCCGCCTTGGGCACGGACAGAGCCTGTAACACTGAGGAGGGCTGTGTCACTCACTGCCGGTCAGCTGAGCGTGCACCGTGTGGGTGCAAGTACCCCAGGGCTAAAATAACAGATCCCAGCCTCCCTCCGAGTCCACTGACATCCACCACAGCACCGTGTGAGGGAGGCAGCCAGGGGCTGTGCGTGAATCCCGCACACGCCAGGGTGTCCAGCGCTCCATTCACGCCCCACCACCCTCCCAAAGCTGAAGTCTTAAGACCCTGGACATGAGCACAGTGGGGGCTTGGAGATGGGGACCCCAACACATCCCCTTCCTGTGCACTGGGGACCCTGATACGTCCCCTTCCTGTGCACTGGGGACTCTGACACGTCCCTTTCCTGTGCACTGGGGACCCTGACATGTCCCCTTCCTGTGCACTGGGGACCCCGACACGTCCCTTCCTGTGCACTGGGGACCCCAAGACGTCCCTTCCTGTGCACTGGAGACCCTGACATGTCCCCTTCCTGCGCACTGGGGACCCCGACACGTCCCCTTCCTGTGCCTGAGAACTCCTGAGACATCCCCTCACTGTACATAAGGACCCCCAAGATGTCTCCACACCATGGGGTACCACCCTGTTCCTTGTGGGAGCAGGAGAATGCAGGAGCTACAGTGAACTTGTCCCTGTAACTCTCACAGCGACAGGGCCTCTCTGCGGTGGCAGTGTTGGGAGACGCGATGAGAGTGTCATCCGCTGTGAGTTCTGCGGTGCTCTGGTCCCCCGTGAAGACATCGTCCACGACATTCACACTCACTGAGCCACGTCCTGCCCTTGGCTGGAATGTGAGGGCGGTGAGACACCCCCATCCTGTAAGGAAGTGTGCACCGAGCCCTGGTCCCCAGATGCACCGAGCCCGTGGCATCTGGGTGGAGCGGCCTCCGCGGCACAGATCACCTGGGTGTAGTGAGAGGCAGACTCTGGGTCCCTGGGCCTGCGAGCCTGAGACCGGATGACCACCAGCTCCTGGCAGGGTCCACACCCCGAGGCACAGGCAGGGGGACGCATAGCCCAGGTGTGGGACCTCCTCCTTCAGGCCGGGCGGTGCGGGTGCGGCTCAGAGCCCAGTGCCCTCTGCCTCCTGTTGCCTGGGCCGCCAGCGTGACCCACCTGGCATGGACGCCTGGGGACTGAGCCTTGTCCGGCCCCCTCCCAGCCCTGGCTGTCTCCCTCGGCAGGAGCTCGGCACCCCGCAGGTTTTCTTCCCAGGATGTGCGTCTCCGATTGGAAGGTGGAGGAGTCACAGATGCCCCTTTGTGTTTCCAGGCCTGGACTGGGCAGGCCCCGGTCAGGGCTGGGGGAAGATGCTCAGCTCATGTTGGACCTGAAGGTTGTGGGAAACTAGGCCCGGAGTGCAGCAGTGGAGGCCTTGTCTGAGGGGTCGGGCAGTGGGGGCCCCAGCAGAGAGCATGGGGCCGACGAGGGGGACAAAGGGACAAGAGCTCAGGAGCTTTGGAAAGAGGTCTAGGGGCCTAGTGGGCTCCAAGGAGGGCAGAGAAGCCCCACGTACTCCTAGTAATGGAGGCCGTGCCCACCTCGTGAAGGGGATTTCTGAGCTGGGGCCGAAGGCACAGGATGTGGTGGCGTAGGAAGAGCAGTGATGGAGGCTTTCTCCAAGATGTTGGCCGTGCCGTGGAGAGGACTGGACGCTGGGCCAAGGGTGGCCGCATCCATGGGGCCTGGAGCCTGCGGACTGCAGGAAGCCACAGAGTGGGTGGCAGCAGGGGACCTAGGGATGGAGCGAGCCCAGGCTCCGTGGCAGGTGGCCGGGGGCATCTCCCCAAGGCTCTGCCCCTCTGCCCATCAGGTGGGAGGTGCGGCAGATGGGGAGTCTGGGGGGCCTCCTGCGGAGGAGGGTGTGCGCCACGGAAGGCTGCTGAGCCCTCATTGTGTCTGGTGGGAGGCGGGCGTCACAGCTGTGCCGAGAGGCCTGCTCTCGCGTGCTGTGGGAGGGGGGAGACGTGGTGAGGGAGAGCTGGGCAGGGACCATGCCGCTTACCCTCAGGACAGGGTGAGCTGTCCCAGCAGTGGCTGAGCCCGTGCTGCATAAGGGACTTGGCGTGATGTCTGTGATCGTGTCTGTGGTTGGAAGTGACGTCTGGGCTGGAGCTGACACCCAGCTGGAGCTGTGACAAAGGACAGGATGATCAGGGAAATTGCAGAGAACAAGGGCGAGGATGGAAGCTTGAGGGGCGCCGAGGTGTGGAGGGGGTGTCGGTGGAAGAACCCTCAGGAGCTGGGCTGGGGCTGGGGCTGGGGCGCAGCTCGTCCCCGAGTCCATGGTGGTGACGCTCAGGAGGCGCTGGTTCCAGTGGGGAGGTTGGGGAAAGCACTTCCTGATGCCTTTGGGTGTGGAAAGTGGTGGGGGCAGCCAGGCTGGTTCAGTGCAAGGCCTGAGGTGAGGTTCAGGTGCGGCCCACGGGCTGTGGCAGGGACGCAGCACTCAGCAGGTGCCTCAGGGTTTGTTGGAGGTGAGGGGGTAGCAGAGCCCCTCACACAGGTCTAGGTTGCAGGTTCATGGCAGCTGGGTAGGGACGGGAAGCTCCAGTAAGATTCACCATGGGATTTTTCACCAGAAACTCCTAGAAGTTAGTTCTGTGTCGTGAGAATAAAAAAGTTAACATGTCTTTGGCTTCCCATCTGCTGGGGAGTGTGCCCAGTGGCACTGCGGAAACCCAGGCCGGACCTCACAATTGCAGGATGAGCCTCCTCCCTTCTATCCGGCAGGTGGCCTTCTCCAGGCATTGCCCTGCACCTCGAGGGGCAGCGGGGCTTAAGTCAAGCTCTGTAAATGCGGCACCCGACGTCTGAGGCCCGCCACGCTGCAGGTTCCCATCTCCAAAGCCCGTGGTGCTGGGCACGGCAGAGCCGTAGGCGGAGACAGGGAGCCGGGAGGAGCGTCAGATGCCTGTGGCCTCTTTACAGCTCTGTCCCCTGCCTTATCTCGCTGGCTCTGCCCTTGGTCATCAGGATGTGAGGCGGTGACGGACACTTCAGTGCTCTGACGCACTGTGGCCCCGGGGAAGCGTGGTGTCTGCAGCCTCCTGGGCCTTCCCTTCTGCCTGGCTTCCTCCTCCTCCACCCGTCCACCTGTGTGTCTGGGTCAGGCTGGCTTCTGCATCTCTGTGGACAGACCTCTCCCCGTGCTGCAGCTGTTTTCCTTGGGTTGAGCACTGAAAAGAGCCCCTTTGGGTTAGGAGGCAGGTGGACTTCCACTCACATGGAGGAGGAGCCTCCTCTGCCCGGAGGAGACGGTGCTGGGAGAAAATGTAGCTGCAGGTGGAGATTTTCTGATAACCAAGAGTGGATGTTGTCTGTTTACTGAGTGGAGGTTGGGGCCGGTGCCAGGGTTGTCCATCTCCCCTCTGTCCTGCATGGCATGGTGGCAGAGATACCACCATACTTCAGAGGCAGCAGCACCCTCGCCGGGTGCCGGATCTCCCAGGGTCCACCTGTGCTGCCCTGCCCTGGGGTATTTGGAGCTGAGTTCCAATTAAGCCAAGAAAAACAGATTGTTTTACTTAGAATTTAGAAATTCTCCTTTTTTTTTTTTTGAGATGGAGTCTCGCTCTGTCACCCAGGCTGGAGTGCAATGGTGTGATCTTGGCTCACTGCAACCCTGCCTCCTGGGTTCAAGCGATTCTCCTGCCTCAGCCTCCCGAGTAGCTGGAATTACGGGTATGTGCCACCGCACCTGGCTAATTTTTTTGGTATTTTTAGTAGAGATGGAGTTTCGCCATGTTGGCCAGGCTGGTCTCAAACTTCTGACCTTATGTGATCCGCCCGCCTCAGCCTCCCAAAGTGCTGGGATTACAGGCATGAGCCATTGCGCCCGGCCTAGAAATTCTCTTCATAAAACGTGTTTGAGATTGGCACAGGAAGTTTCAAACAGAATCAGGATTCACCATAAGAAGCAGATAAATACATTTGAGGCACCCAGGGTGAGTGATCTCAGCGGAATTCCCCTTTAAGCTTCCTAGTAGCGCGTGCAAAAAGGAAAACGTGTGGATCTAAGACTGTGCACAAACAAAAGCTGTTCTTCTGGGAGGAACCAATCCCTCAGCAATCACACTTGACTCCCTCGAAGGAAAGCTGGAAGGGGAGAGGGCGTCAGGATGCAGGTCCCGGTGTCTCTGTGCAGCTCATCCTCCTTCAGAGGCCGCTCTGCTTCTGTCCATCCCTCCAATTGCCAGTGGTGTCAGCATTTGGGGCCGTGATCAGATGGAGGAAGACTGGCAAGCAGTCACCCCCGACAGGACTCTCTGGCTCAGCCTCCCCAGGAATATGCTGCTCCCCAGGCACAGCGGAAGACCTGCTGCGTTTCATCTTCCGGCTGCCTGTTTAAAGCAAGGGAGGCCATGCCCCCAGCGGGGTCCCTTGTGCCTGGACCCAAGGCAAGAATAGCTCAGGCTTGTTCCTTTTTCCTCAAGTTCCTCTCGGGCGGGCACGGTGTGTCGCCTGGACCTGCATGTAAACATCAGGGCGGAGCAGGAATCGGCCTCCAGGAGGGTAATTGCCTGGCGTACTCTGTCCCAGGTAGTGGGTGAAATGAAAGTAAAAAGCCAGCTGGTCCCTCATGCAGATTTTAGGGGACAAAGTTCAGCATAGAAAGGTCCTGTTACAAGGAGAGGGTTGTGGCGAGCCCAGGGCAGCGCGCGTCCTCCCCGGCAGCTGATCCTCGCCATGGGGGACGGAAAGGCTGTCCGGATTTCCGTGGCGGAAATGAAAAGCTACTACCTGTATTCTGAGTGGTGCTCCTGGCTGCTGTCCGTGGCTGAGGGTGAGTCTCCTCGTCCCCTGTGAGTCCCTCGCAGGTGGTGTGCTCGGAGCAGTCGAGGCGGCCTCTGGGTGAGGCAGCATGGAGGTGCCCTCTGTGGATGCCCCGTGCTCCACAGGGCAGTCTGTGTCCCCTGTGGAATTTGCAGTAGCTCAGGGAGTGGGGATGAGAAGCAAATGAGCTTTTCACCCTAAAGTTATCATCTGATCCTAATTTATGTCACAGTTACCAAAAGCAAATAACCTCCTTTTGTCTGGCAAGCCTGAGCCTCACAAACTGTGCAAACAGCTGGGGGCTCAGCCTGCACCAGGCTGCCCCGCGTCTTGAGAGCTCTGATGTCCCGGGGCCATGGCTGCAGGTGCAGGACAGAGACAAGGCCGTGACCGAACACTTTGCTGGTCCCCTTGACCATGGGACACCCGGTGACGTGCCTGAGGATCGGCCCCGGCACACCGAAGCCCGGTTTATGCAGAGCTTCCCACGGTCAGCCGTGCAGGGAGCTGTGAGCCCCGGCCACTCTTCCTCTTCCCGTCCCGTGGTCAGTGAGCCCCCAGGGCCGTGCGTGGGGCTGAGCAGGTCTCCTGCCTCAGAAGGCATTTCCTTCATTCCACCTCGAAATCCAGAAAATGCCCTGGAACAAGGGCTCGCCCCTTCACTGGCTGAATGCCATCTGTGTGTCTGCCTGGCATGACCTGCGGTCGGGGTCTGATCCTGCCTGTGAAGACACAGTCTCTGTGAGGATGGGGCCGCGGCCGGATGCCATGTGGCGCTTTCCCGGGGCCCAGAGTGCTGAGTCCTTGTCCTCAGAGTTGCAGCTTTGCTGTTTATAAAACTGCATCCACTCTCTTCTGAACTCACCCGTTCTGCAGATGAGGAGAGTCAGGAAGTCACGGAGAGAAATGCGCATCACAGGGTTGTCAGAGCGTCCCACGAACGGTGTGGGAGGACACAGCAGTAGACGTCAGCACCACCACCGCCCCATTCACACCTGGGCTTCCCCCAAACCTCCCACCTCCCCACGGTCCCACTGCCCTCGGAGGACCCACCGCACAGGGGTGTTTAAGACAGTGGCGGTGCTCCCGGGAGACCACGGGGTGTCTCTGAGGACAGGCGGTCCCCTGGGCCCCCTGGTTAGGACAGAAACGCAAGAGCCACGCAAACCTCTCTGTGACACTGGGGACCCCCTGAGGGAGGGAAGCCCCATCGGAGGGTCTGCTGGGCGGGCCTGCCTGCCTGTGGGTGGACACTGGGCCGAGGGTGCCAACCCTGCCCACGGGGCCTCAGTCCTGCAGCCGGGTCTGCACTGCGCCCTCACTCCCCTGCCTGCCTCACAGACCGTGGGGGCTCCCCCAACAGTGGCGCGTACGCTGCACTCTGCCAGGGCCGTCTAGGGTTCTCTCAGGACTGTGGGGATGCCTCAAGGGTGGCAGGAGCCACTTTTGGCCAATATGCAGTTAGATTTGATAAGAAAACAAGCTGGCGTCCTGCCCAAGGCTCCGGGGAGGTTTCAGGTGGGACTCGGAGCCAGTGTCGGAGCTGGAGCACATGAGGTCGCGGGGCCACAGCCACCCTGGGCTGCCGCATTTCCATCTCGGTGGGTCCTTTTACACAGATGGCACCCGGTGAACTCACTCAGTGGAGCTGCCTTTCCCTGAAGCCATTCCTTCACCCGGCTGCAGGGCCGCAGACAGCACGGGCCGCAGGGTCTCTGCAGCTTGTTCAGGTTCAGATTGGATGGGGTCCCAGAAGGCATCTCCCTCCACCTGCCCCTTCCAGCGCTTTCCCGAAACGCTGTTGTCTGCAGCCACGCAGAGGGTGGCGTGCGCCTGGAGCACACCTTGTGGACGCAGCCCAGGGCTCGTTGTCTGCCCCCTGATCCACCCAGCACAAGGTCAGCACCAGCACCCATTGGTCTTTTTCCTCTCTTGCTTTTCACTCACTGCTCACACTCCCTTCCTCAGACAAATTAAAACCAAGTCGGAGAGGCCCAGCAGGGGAAGCAGAGTTGGCCTTCTGCAGCCGCACAGTTGAGTCCTGGAGTTCAGAGATTTTAGCTGCTCTGCCCAAAACGGTCTGGCAGACTAAGGAGGAGGCCGGGTGTGAGGTCTCGGCCTGCGCTGCATGCAACGTTTTCACTTCCATGGTAGTGGCAGAGGAAAGGGAAGTCCTCCATACTGTGGCTTGCTGGTCTTTGCACGGTGGTGAGAGGGTTGGGCGTTGGGCTCCCTCGCCCCCATCCGGCCTCTCATCCCTGTCCAGGGCCTGGAAGGGGCCAGTGTGTGTCTGGAAAGTGTGAAGTCTGGCAGGGGTGTGGGAAGTACCCATGAGCACCATCGCTGTGGGCGGACAGTGATGGGATTGTCCCCCTCGTCACAGCGGACCTGTGAGAAATGACCAGAACTGACCCTGCCCAGCCCACAAGGGGACAGCCTCATCCAAGCAACACACACCCATTGTCACAGTTACTTGGAATCCTGCTCTATATTTTTGTTCTTCAGAGAAGGGGAAAAGGGCTGGGCATCAGAAGATTGCTCTGAATAAACAGTGTGTTTAGAAGAGAGTCACAGGGTCAGGCTGCGGGGCGAGGAGGCCTCCTTCTGGAGGTGCACATGCCACTCGTCTTGGGGCTGAGACCAGGAGTTTGCACCGATTCAGAGGGAAGTCGACGGCATCTGTGGCAGCGCACATGTACACACCGTGTGTGGTGGTGCAGCTGCCTCTGCCCGGGATGCATGATGCTCTCTGTGGTCCTCGTCTACTGTGTTTTTTTTTTTTAATTCTACATGGTGAGCCAAAAAGGTTGTTAAGCACCTTTGGGGTACAGCCCTGCCATGATAAGAATGTATTTCTAAAATAGTGGAAAGGAAAGTCGTGGAGAAGGCCAGCACCTGCCCGGTGTGGGGAGCAGGGCCCGGGCACGTGAACCTTTCCCTGCGGAGCTGGTGCCTGTGGGTGCACGGGTGTGGTGCGTTTTAATTCTCGGCAGCTCTGTGCGGCCTGGAGGGACGTTCTGTCCTGAGCAGGGGATGGAGCTACCACACCCGAGTCCTCCCTGAGCAGGGGATGGAGCTACCACACCCGAGTCCTCCCTGAGCAGGGGATGGGCTACGACACTGGAGTCCTCCCTGAGCAGGGGATGGAGCTACCACACCGGAGTCCTCCCTGAGCAGGGGATGGAGCTACCATGCCCGAGTCCTCCCTGAGCAGGGGATGGAGCTATGACACCGGAGTCCTCCCTGAGCAGGGGATGGAGCTACCACACCCGAGTCCTCCCTGAGCAGGGGATGGAGCTACCATGCCCGAGTCCTCCCTGAGCAGGGGATGGGCTACGACACTGGAGTCCTCCCTGAGCAGGGGATGGAGCTACCACGCCCAAGTCCTCCCTGAGCAGGGGATGGAGCTACCACGCCCGAGTCCTCCCTGAGCAGGACATGGAGCTACCACGCCCGAGTCCTCCCTGAGCAGGACATGGAGCTATCACGCCTGAGTCCTCCCTGAGCAGGGGATGGAACTACCACACCCGAGTCCTCCCTGAGCAGGACATGGAGCTACCACGCCCAAGTCCTCCCTGAGCAGGACATGGAGCTACCACGCCCGAGTCCTCCCTGAGCAGGGGATGGAGCTACCACACCGGAGTCCTCCCTGAGCAGGGGATGGAGCTACCACACCGGAGTCCTCCCTGAGCAGGGGATGGAGCTACCACACCGGAGTCCTCCCTGAGCAGGGGATGGAGCTACCACACCGGAGTCCTCCCTGAGCAGGAGATGGAGCTACCACGCCCGAGTCCTCCCTGAGCAGGACATGGAGCTACCACGCCCGAGTCCTCCCTGAGCAGGGGATGGAACTACCACGCCCGAGTCCTCCCTGAGCAGGACATGGAGCTACCACGCCAGAGTCCTCCCTGAGCAGGGGATGGAGCTACCACGCCCGAGTCCTCCCTGAGCAGGACATGGAGCTACCACGCCCGAGTCCTCCCTGAGCAGGACATGGAGCCACCACGCCCGAGTCCTCCCTGAGCAGGGGATGGAGCTACCACACCGGAGTCCTCCCTGAGCAGGGGATGGAGCTACCACACTGGAGTCCTCCCTGAGCAGGACATGGAGCTACCACGCCCGAGTCCTCCCTGAGCAGGACATGGAGCTACCACGCCCGAGTCCTCCCTGAGCAGGGGATGGAACTACCACACCCGAGTCCTCCCTGAGCAGGACATGGAGCTACCACACCCGAGTCCTCCCTGAGCAGGGGATGGAGCTACCACGCCTGAGTCCTTCCTGAGCTCTTAGACTCCATGCGAGTTCAGTGATGCTTTCTTTTCTAATTTGCCAATCTCTTAAACCAGCAGTCCCCAATCTTTCTGGCACCGGGGACCAGTTTCATGGAAGATAACTTTTCCACAGATCAGGGGTAGGGATGGTTTCAGGGTGAAACGGTTCACCTCAGATCATCAGGCATTAGATTCTCATAAGGAGCTCACAGCCTAGATCCCTCGCATGCACAGTTCACCATAGGTTCGCTCCTAGGAGAATCAAACGCCACTGCTGATCTGACAGGAGGCGGAGCTCAGGCAGTCCTCACTCACCCGCCACTCACCTCCTGCTTACCCCCTGTTCACTCACCTGCCGCTCACTTCCTGCTGTGCAGCCCGACCAGTACCGGTCTGTGGCTCGGGGCTTGCAGACCCCTGTGTTAAACCATTCAGATCTGTGGGAACCTTGTCTATCCTGAAAGTGCAGGAACTACCACACCCTTCGTCACTTTCTTATGTTTAAAGACCCCTGGAACTTACAGAATGTGGTGGCTACACCAGGTCCAGCCCTGTCGTGGGATATTTGTTCCAAACCCTGCAGTGTCAGGTAAGTTCGGGGACAGGAGACCACTTTGTCTTCACCCCAGAGAAGCCTGTTTTTCAAGGACAAAGTAAAGAGTGTGCTAAGCAAACCCAGTGCAAGTGCTTATCCCACATACGGTGCCTTGAGAAGTGTGACATAATAAACCACCCGGTGGCCGAGGCGGGGAGCAGTGGCTGGCAGAGACCCTCGCACAGTTTCCTTCAGAATCACATGGAGGGGTCTGCTCTTGCAAGGAGACCTTTGCTTTCCATGATTGCCAAGAGCAGTTCAGAGGACTTTCCACGACTTCTATGTACAGGCACGAATTTTCAGAAAACCAAACTGCTTTCTGTGTGGAGCTAAGAACAAATGAATTAGCAGAAGATGACAAAGGTCCCAGGGGTGCTTTTCTTCATCCCGTCCTTCTTCACTTACTTGGGAAGTGTGTGCCCAGCGTCTGCTCTGTGCCAGGCCAGGCCAGGCCCAATGCTGCAGGGAAAGCAAAGAATCAGTCCCTGTTCCCTAAACAACGGGCAGGGATGACCTGGGGTAAGGAGAACTGGCGTGCTTATCAGCTTTGAGGAGAGCGCAGCTGGCTGAATGCGCTCCTGAAAACCCGCTGCCTCCTCCCCTGAGCCACCACCCTGCAGCCATGTGACAGTAAACTAGGTGTTTGCTGGTACATTGTTGCCACAGAGACAAAAACAAAGAAAGCCTGCTCGGCCTCCGCCACCTGGCTCTGCACCTGGGGCTCTGTACCTGGGTCCAGCTGCTCTGTGGGGCCTGCAGGAGGGGACGGGACAGGAGCTCTCCTTCCAGGAAGCAGTCTCAGCTGAACTTGAGTGTGGCCACAGCACTGCCCTCACTGAGGCTTTCTGCGAAATCCGGCCGCCTGCCACCTGCTTCTGTTAACTTTGTACACGTTGTGTGGGACCTGATTCGCTGTGTTTTGGGGGGCATCTCCCGGGACCTGATTTGCTGTGTTTTGGGGGGCGTCTCCCAGGACCTGATTTGCTGTGTTTTGGGGGGCATCTCCCAGGACCTGATTCGCTGTGTTTTGGGGGGCATCTCCCAGGACCTGATTCGCTGTGTTTTGGGGGGTGTCTCTGAGGACCTGATTCACTGTGTTTTGGGGGGTGTCTCTCAGGATACGAACACCTTTCAGACACATTATCCAGTTACAGTACTCATTCCACAAGGAAATAATAGCAGATTTTTAAAGTGTGACTTCATTAGAACATTGGAAATTTTATTAGAAGTTGCTAAGTATTTCAAAAATCTATCAGAAGTTTGCAAATGATTTTATAAAGACAGACCCTCAAGATGACAGCTCAGGATGCAACTGAAATTTGCTTTTTTGAGTGTATTTGGCGTTTGCTGTTTGTGACCCTGATTTTCATGCTCTGCAGCAGTCTGTGCTCCCTGGCCGGGAAAGGGGGTCATTTGCTCAGAGCCAGGAGCCCTTCCCTGCGGGTTAAGTTACCGGAAGTCATGTCTGGCAGGGCAGGATTTGGCTGGTTCTGGTCTCAACCACAGCCGACTCCACAGGGCTTGGCCTATGTGGGATTCAGCCCACGAAAACAATTTCTTGTTAAAAGCACCTGTCTTACCCTCCCTAGTGATCTCACTGTATTTAAAATATTTATTTAAACAAGGCAAGTATTCCCTTTTTATTACAGGTTGAGTGCCCCAATTAGAAAATCCAAAATGCTCCAAAACCTGAAACTTTTGAGCTCTGACATGACATCACAGGTGGAAAATCCACACCTGACCCGACAGTCACAGTCAAAACTTATTTCATGCACAAAATTAAAACAGTGTATAAAATTACCTTCAAGCTACGTGTATGAGGTGTGCGTGAAACATAAATGAATTTTGTGTTTAGACTCGGGTCACGTCCCAAATGTCTCATTATGTATATGCACATAGTCCAAACTCTGAAAAAAATCCAAAATCCGAAACATTTCTGGCCTTAAGCATTTTGGATATGGGATACCCAGCCTGTAGGAGATACTTGGCCATGTTTAGTGGGAGCCAATGGATGTATACCTAAGAATCTGCCTAAACCTCGACCGTGCTTCCTGATGTCATGAGGCCCAGTCGGAATGTGCCCGACTTCCCCATCTCAGTGAGGGCAGTGGAAGGGGAAGCCGTGCTCCTGTGGGGAGAGCCACCACCCACCCAGGTGCTCCAGACGTTCCCGCCGTGCGTCTGTGGTGGCCACGTCTCATCCTCAGTGGCTGCACGTCTGTTCCTTGGGAGTGGATTAGGGAAATAAGCGTGGCCTGTAGGAAGCTGAGTTTGAAGCAGTGAGCTGGGCCCACTGAATAATGATGTGGAAGCTTCTCAGCCCAGTCTCGTTTTTGTGAAATGGACACTGAATATTCTAGCTGGGGAAAGGTGGAACTTGGCACTTACGTAACTTACCCTTCTCCCCTTGGTGTTTCGTAGCCAATCATTTTTATTGCATTAGGTCTCCTATACTGTAAATCTACAGAACATCGGGAACACTGAAAAGTTCACCTCAGTTCTGGCTTTAAAAGCACTGACTTTCACATTATATTTGAGCTAGGACAAAAGAAAACATTTCTCTGCAATGTGTGTTCATCTCGTAAGGGTGTCTACACTGAGGTCAGACCCTGGTGCAAACCCCAAAATACTTACAGTGGCAGCCCCGGCTCAGTCTCTGCCAAACGTGCGCGGGCATCAGGCAGGAGTCCATGGGCCATGGGGGTGAGGAGAGAGCGGCTCGCTGCCTTGAGAAGCTCCCGCTTCTGCAGTAAGGTGGCTTTTAAGCCAGAGATTACCACGCGCTGCCGCGGAGGGAGAGGTAGCGCGGGGCATGGGGAGGCCACAGAGAGGCTGTACTGACAGAGGCTGGGGGAGGATCTGGTGATGGAGACACGATGGCACAGCCCCGGTGAAGCCACGTGATGTCTTCGTGTGAACATGGTGGCGGGGGAGCGCCGGGCACACAACATGGTGGGTGTTCCTGGGCAGAGGCTTGGTGGGCAGTAGGGGCCGACCTGAGGGCTCTGGGGTCAACACCGGTCCAGGAATTTGACTGTTAGCCACAGAGACCGCCAGGAGGGCTTTTAGGAGATATGTGAAATGAGACTCAGCTTTCAGCAAGGAAATCAGGGAGCAGGTGGCAGTCGGGAGGGACTGCATGGAAACAAGTGGCTTAGGACCACCCTAGTCGTTCAGGCGTGGGATGAGGCTCCAGGATCGCAGCCACAGAAGTGGCAGTGGGAGGGGAGGGGGAGGGTGCCTGGAGAGAGGTTTCAGGGCAGGAGGGACGGGGCTTAGGGATGTTTCTTGGAGAGAGGGAGCGAGAAGTCATCGTCAATGGCCCCACGATGTCAGGCTTGGAATTTGGGGTGGACGGTGGTGCCATCAGTCAAGAGAGACTTCAGAGGGAGAGGTTAGGTGATCCCATCCCATTTTAGCACCAGAAGTGGCTGTGTGAGCTGGGAATGGGGTCCTGGGTGAAGATGACACCACAGATACCTTGGAGATCTGCCTCCAGTTAAGAGACGTGTTTGCCTCCTGGGTGGGTAGGATTTTCCCCTCCCTTAGATCGGAAGGCGAAGAAGGTGAGATCCACAGCTCGATTTCCCTTCAGATAAAAGGCACAATCACAACAGCAGCAAACACACCTTCATTTTAAAGACAGCAGAGGAGGGGTGGGGTGGGAGGGCAGTACCCAGGACAGGGTCCCAGCCGACCCTCCGCCTTCGTCTTTTTCCTGATTAAAAAAAAGCACCTTCATGCGGGGTGCGGCGCTTGGGACCCCCCAAGCTGACGTCACTGTCTGTGCCGGTGTCTCGGGCAGGGGCAGGTGTGGATGCCAAGCTGACGTCACTGTGCCAGTGTCTCGGGCAGGGGCGTGGCTGCCAACGGGGCACGGTGCGTGGGATGCCAAGCTGACATCACTATGCAGGTGTCTCGGGCAGGGGCTGGCGTGGCTGTCGGCGTGACGGGGCGCGGCGCGTGGGACGCCAAGCTGACGTCACTGTCTGTGCCGGTGTCTCGGGCGGGGGCCAGTGTGGCTGCCAATGGGGCAAGGTGCGTGGGACGTCAAGCTGACGTCACTGTCTGTGCCAGTGTCTCGGGCAGGGGCTGGCAGGGCTGCCCAGGAGGCTGTCGGTGGGGCAGTTCCTCATGAATCTCTGAGCTGAGTTTGTAAAAGTGTGTGAGAGTGGGGAAAATATGGGTGAAAATATTTTCAGACATTTGGATTCCCCTTTGGTGAGCTGTCTCGTTTCTTCCCGCTGGTCAGGGATGTGGCTGCTTGAACAGCTGGGCGCGGTGACCAATGTGTGGAGAGCCGGGAAGCCTGCGGTGAGGCCGCGCGATGTCCTTCATCCCGGGCAGTAAATCCAGCCCCGAGGGTGGGGCATCCTCCCGGGCACAGGCTCTCCTGCCTGGGGTCGCCGCTGCGGGCAGGACATATGGGCCTCCCAAGCGGTCCCATCTACACAGGTCGGGTAGAGTGAGTCGGAAAGGCCACCGAGGTTGGGGGCTGCGCAGCCAGTGGGCTGGGCTCAAACCCAGGCCTGCGCTTCCCCTGTGAGCCCAGGCAGCCCTCGACCTGTGTGTGGCTCGGTTTTATCGCCCAAAAAGGGGAACAACGCCTGCGTCCGTGTGCACCGGGCTGCGGAGACTTCCCCAGGTTTGGCTCCAGGACGGTCCCCAGGGGCGCCTCCCTCCATCCCCTCCTGTCCTGTCACCTTTCTGCACACGGTGTCGCATCCTCTGACCTGCGTGGCACTCACGTGTGTCTGCCCCTCCCGTGTTCTCCTCTCCAGGATGCGGCTGTTTGGTGGCACTCCGCTGTGTCGAGGCACTGTGCCCGTGCCCCGGGCTCCCCTCGTTTTACAGACTCGCTCACGGAGGCTCAGGGCGTCTCTGAGGGCACGAAGCTCATGTCAGCCAGCAGAATGGGGATGTAGACCGGGGCTCGCTCTCGAGCCTGTCCGCCTCCTGAACATGCCTGTTTGCTGAGCATATGATTAAGAGAAAGAAGGAAAGAGGGTCCATTTGAGAGCTTAGGGCAGCGCCCAGTATACCGTCAGCACTAAGCTGTATGAGAGCTTAGGGCAGCATCCAGTATACAGTTGTGCTTAGTACGTGTTGGCACTGCAACTGCTGTCCTTGCCGCTGTGTGAGCTGCTGCTGGGTGGCAGTGTCTCAGGGCTGCCACTTCTGCCCCAGGAGAGCAGAGGGGAGCTGGCGGCCGAGGTGGGGTCGGTGGTGGGGTGAGCCTGCGGCGTTGTGGCTCCAAGGCCTGCTGGCCTGAAGTCACCCCCGGGATGTGCCCCGTGTGGGACCGTGCGGGATGCAGGGAGGAGCGTGGCTCTGGGTGTGGAGGTGGCGGGCTGCTGGCATCCTGTCACCGAACCCTCCTTCCACAGGAACGGGGGAATGAGTGGGAGAGCAGTGGGAGAGTGTGCCCTCTCCCCCAGACTCCTCTCTCCCTGTGGCATGAGAAGGGTGGGATCTGGCTTACCAGGTGAGTGAGCAGGCGTGGCCCGGAAGTCCGTTCAGTCCTGGGCGCACCCACAGGAACTGACATCCGCATGCCAAGCAGCACCTGGCGGCCACCGGGGAGTGATGCCGGGTGCAGCCTTTACATTCATCCCAAGCACAGTACAGCCCTGCCCTCACCCCATGCCAGGCTGACTTTCACCAGATCCAAGCCTGACGTCTTCTCTCCACATAGTCCCGAGTTCCCCTCCCAGGGCCCCATTTAGAGACCTCCCCTTTTCCCGAAGCCACCAGACTCATGCAGTCTCCAAGGCTGGGCTAGCCCTCGTCATCTTCTAAGGTTATCCTACATCACAAAGGTAAATGGCATTTAAAATAAAATGTAGGCCAGGCTTGGAGGCGTGCACCTGTAACCCCAGGAGACTAAGGCGGGAGGACCACTTGAGCTCCGGAGATCAAGGCTGCAGTGAGCCGAGATCGCATTATTCCACTCCAGCCTGGGTGACAGAGCGAGGCCTTGGCTAGAAAAAATAAATAAAAGGCGTTGACTTTAGAGAGTTTCTGACAAAAGAATGGAAATGTTTCTGGTCCCTGCATCTAGCCAGCTGTAGTGACCCCGACACGCCAGGATGGGCCGTGCTACCCTGGGCTATGTGTGCAGCGGGGCTGGGACGGGCCAGGCTCGACCTGTGCTGTGATTTTCCACCCAGAACGTCGCAAATGTTTCCCACCATGTGGAACGTCTGTTGGGGAAATGGTGTTCCAGAGTGTGCAGTGCCCTTCAGAGGCCCTGCGTCTCCATCTTTTCTCCACGGCATCCTGCGACCGTGCTCCTCAGGTGTGCCCCACGGGCCCGGGAATGTCCTTCTTGGATGCGCCCGATGGTCCCGAGACTGTCGTCCTCAGATGGGTTCATGGCCCAGGATGGCATCCAGGCTCCTGGTGAGCCCTGTGGGTGGAGACCTGGTGCCGCCCCTCCTCTCTCCTGAGTCCTGATGGCTGGCAGTGCCGCCCACGGCACCTGGACGGGGGCTGTGTTGTGTTGTCTGCATCTGTGCACAGCTGAGCCCCTGCCTAGGATCCTCAGCTGCTTTCTCTGGCTTCACCACCCCCATGAAACTCCTGCACAGATCTGGACGCACCCTGGCAGCTGCTGGGCCAGTCCCGCCCTCGCTATCTCAGGTGTGGCCGGGCAGCTGTGGGAGCTGGGCCTAGGCGGGTGCTGCTGCCAGCCCCGGGCCGCCCTCGCCTGCACTGCTTTCCCAGCTGAGCGGCTGCTTCCCGTGAACGGAGGGACTCTGAGATCATCTCGTCCTCACGTCTCCATCTGGGGAGAGCAACTTCCCAGCTCAGTGGCAGACCCAGAGCCCCAAATTCCCATCGAGAGCCTCGGGTGAGTCTTGAGACCAAGACCACTGTGGGTCTGGCCCAGGAAAACACACTGCCCTCTCTCTGCTGCACTGAACCCAGGCAGCAGATGCCATCTGCGCTTCCAGGTTTGCGATGGGGTTGCTGCTGACGCCCCTGTGCAGGGTGGGAGCCGAGGAGCTGGCAGACAGACTCTCAGAGCAGTGTTACACAGGCAGCTCCTGCAGACACCTGTGTAGACATCCACGTCACCCATAGCTGGGACCCCGTACGTGGACAGCAGAGTGGGGGGCATGGGTGTCACTGACCTTTGCCCCGTGTCCACTGTCCCTTCAGCCCCAGCCACCTGGTGAGCCGCGCCCTCTGCATCTGCTGCTACAGAGGTGTTTTATTTGACTTAAGGTTTAGCTGTTTGCTTTGGCAGCAGGTCCCACCCCACAGCCTGATGGCTCCAGACAGGGCTGACCAGGTTTGTAAAATGAAATTGTCCATCCGGGAGGAGGAGAAAGCAACCCCCCATCCAGGTCGGTCACCCCACCCTCGTCCGTCACACCTGGTGCCATCACTCCCACAGCTCCTTGGGGTGGGAAGCGATGGGTCGAGTTCCTGCTGGACACGGGCCTCAGGCCCCCCGGGTGTCCCCAAGGTGCAGGGACCAGCGTGGTGACGCTCATTGTTCAGAGCTGCTGATCTGGGGCTGGCGTGTGTGGTTTCCTCTCCAGGCAGGGAGCACCTTCCTGTTTAACTGATTGGGACAGGGCAGGAGTGGGCTCTTGGCTGAGGTGCTGGGCCTGCCCGCAGCAGCAGCTGTATGAAGCCGGTGCGTCGGCTCTGTGCCCTGCGTGAGCCCATGTGTGCGGGGCCTTTGTGTTGCACTTCACTGAGGGCCCCGGGGTCCACTGGGCACCTGCTGGGCTCAAACTGCAGTGCCTGGGCCACTTTCCATCCTGTGTTCCGAACCCCGTGCACAGCGCAGCTCCTAGACACGGTCATTCATGTAATTTCTAGGCACATTTGTAAAGCACAACACACAAATAAAAGGTAAGGGCCAAATAAAGCACGAAGTCTCCTCACTGCTGTTCTTGGGAAGGCAGAACTTAAACGTGTGAAAAAGCTGGAAAACAGCATACCAAATACAACAACTAGAAACCCAGGGCCCTGGCATGTCAGGGAAGGGGGAGCTCAGAGCCAGGCCAAGCGTGAGGAGGCCGTGAGCCACAGGCCTGGCCGGGGCTGTTGGGGAAATGGGCTGGGGACATTTCTGGAGGGTTCCGGAGGGTCCTGGAGGCCTCACCAAGGAGGCTGGAGTGATTGGTTACATTATTCATGGAGCTGACTGGGCTCCCAGGACGGGTCTGAAATCACACCAAAGGGAAGCCTGCAAGAAATCACAAGAAATGTGCTTTCCTGGGGGATGGGATGGTCGTGTGTTCAAAATGTGTGTCCCTGGGGAACGGCTGTGTGTCTGGCATCGACTTGGCCTGGACTTGGCTTCTCTACTGCGCTCCCGATCCCAGGTGTGGGGTCGATTCTGTCTTGCGCCGATTGGAGGCCTCTGCTGTGGGTGTGGTTTCACGTGCACTGTCTCTGGCTAAAGGTCTAGGTGCTTGGAACAGCTTTTATGAATCGGAAACTGGACAGAAACCAGCCTGAGGCCGTGCGAGCTCCCACGGCCCTTGGAGGAAAGCTGTTTCCCATCTCCAGCCAGAGAAGCTGCAGGGATGCCTTTGGCCTTGACTTGGTCAGCAGGGAGCTGGAAGGGTCAAGAGCTGTGGGTGGGGAGCCCTCAGTCTCCTGGACTGAGTGAGAAACGGTGGGTGAGCAGCCATGGCCACAGCGATGAGCCCGGGATGGTTTCCCGTGTGTGGTTCGGGCCACGTGTTCCGGCCTCTGATGGGCATTACTGTGGCCCCCCAGGGACACAGAGCAGGGCCAGCCCTCCCTGGCACAGGGCCATTGTGAGCCAGTCCCTCCTGAAGATGGCCAGGTCCTCCCCGGCTTGGGGCCAGACCGCCTGGGTCTGCCCTATGGTGACTGTTGCGTGGCCCCCTTGCTTGTTGAGCAAATCCATGAGACTCCACTGTGTACCCTGAAGGAGCACAGCCTTTGCCCACCAGAAACTTCAGTGTGACAAGACATCGGGGGCCAGGAGAGACGCACAGAAGAGGGGAGCAGCTGATTTCTCGGGGTCCTTGCATCTGTACCAGGGGCCCCTCCTTCCCCACACGACGCCCTCTCCTTAGAGGACAGCCTCTGGCACCGCTCACTCACTGTCCCTCTGTTTAAAAACTGAGGCCCTTCTGTGAGAGCCTCCTGCTCAGAACACAGTCCTCTTTTTCGGCTGATCTTTGCTCACTCCATCTGCATCAGCCGCTGTACGGCTGGCTGCCTGAGACGTCCCAGCCCTCCGTGTCCTCCAGTGCTGGGAGCACCGAGGGAGGAGGTGGGCCTTGGGCCTCGGGGGTCTCTGCAGGCCTTGAGCACATTGTGGGAGAGGGGGTGTTTGGTACATGTGTCCCAAGCCTGAGGCCTCTGGGCGTGCTTTGCTGTTGGGGGTTGGAAGCTGGAGGTGAGGACACGTTGGACTGTGCTCAGCTGTGAGGGGACCCACCGTGTGGCACCGTGATCTGCTCCTGTGCCCCTGCCGCCTGATAATGTAGGAGTTGTGCCTGCAAAACATGCTTCGGACATTAGAGTCGGCTGGGAATGAAGATGCCTGCAGGCCCCAGAGCACAGGCAGGGCTGAAGTGCGGGCGGCGAGTGGGCTGGGAATGAAGACACCGGAGGGCCCCAGAGTGGAGGCAGGGCTGAGGCACAGGTGGCGAGTGGGCCGGGAATGAAGACGCCGGCAGGCCCCAGAGTGGAGGCAGGGCTGAGGTGCAGGTGGCAGGTGCATCGGCTGGTGCCGTGGTGACGGCGTGAGGGGCCATGATGCCGTGGCCTCCCCCGGGGCTCGTGTTCCAGGGATAGCTCATCTGGGATGCGTTCTGACGGTAGAAGATAGGAACACAGAGATCCCAGACACAGGAGGTCTGGGTCAATGTGCACAGCCCAAACCTGCTGTGGCTCAGGGGGCAGCTCACACCGTGGGTACCAGCCAGCCCTAGGTCCAAACTTACAGGGAAGGATGGCTGGGCTGGGGAGGACAAATAATTATGGATGGACATCACAGCCCCTCGGTGGTCGTGAGTGGGTGCAGAGGGGCTTGCAGAAGCGACATTCCTGCCCCAGGGATGAGGCTGCCTCTCAGAGGACCCAGGCGTGGAGGAAGCAGTGGCCCCTCTTAGGCATCCCTCCCCTAAGTGTGTGCAGCGTGGAGATGAGAGTCTTGGCCCAGGAGGAAGAGTGAGCTTCCAGACTTAGCTTTGGTGCTTGTCAGCGCAATCATGGCTGCAAGAAAAGCCTCCATGGCTGATGTTCCCAGAGGCAGGGCCTGGCGAGGCCACGCTTTCCTCTCCAGCAAGCGTTTGGACCTGAGGGAGCCGAGGTTTCCAGAGGCAGGAGCCAGGTGTCTGGCATTTGGGGTCAGCCACCCCCAGAAGCCGGTGTTCCCAGCGGGAGAAGCTGAAGCCTGGAGGGCTGGCTGTGCTGTGCTGGGCACACGCAGGGCAGGAGTCAGTGCACATGTAAGGCTCTGCGGAGAAAGGCGCCGGAAGAGGCCGGGGCCAGCAGGGACATAGCAGGCCGGGGTCCCACCCAAACCCAGCACCCCTCCCAGGCCTTCTCGGCTGGGGCTGACTCCAGCAGTGGGTGTGATATTCTCAGGAGATGTGCGTTGACTCCAGCACTGGGTGTGATATTCTCAGGAGATGTGCGTTGGTCCCCTTAGCTCCTTGGGATTTTCGGCTCAAACTCTGGGCCTGGACAAATGGTCTCAGGTAACTTGGGAGCTCGTCAGGGACAGAACCTGAGTTTGAACGAGCTCTCTGTGGGACTCCCACCCAGGGCAGCGGTTAGGAGCCCCCTCCTGGACTGCCAGTTTTCAAGTGACGTATTTAAGTATCCCCCTCCCGGTCCTGGAAAAGTAGAGAGGCAGCCGGGAGCCTGCCTTCTGTGTTCTCGGTGCAGGGGTATTCTGAGAACGGCCCCTGCTCACACGGGTTTAAAAGGAACTCAGTGACCACAGACGGATGAGAACAGCGGACGCAGCTGCCTCCCAGGCACTCAAAGGCTCAACTCCCCACAGGCGTGTGTTGCCAGGGGCAGAAGGCTTGGCCCCTGGGTCAGCATACTCTCCGGACAGCTCATCCCTGCCAGCCCAGGTCCCTGCAGCCCTGGGGCTAGCACAGGGGATGCGGACCTCGGCCTAGGTCCCCACAGCTGTGGGGCTGGCTCGGGGGACGGATCTCTGCTAAGCATGGCCCCTGCCAGCTCAGGTCCCTGCCACTCAGTGGATGGGACTTTGGCGGAGTGTGGGGCCCCTGCAGGGAGGGTCTAGACAAGCAACACCAGGAACCTGAAGCCTCCCTGGCCGGGGCTCAGCTGTCGCCAGGATCGCAACAGTTAAGCTGCCTGCAGCAGGATAAGTGAGCCGATGCTGCTCCTTAATCAGGGACATCGAATCGGAGGCCCTGGGAGGAGCAGCCGGCTGGCTGCCCTGCAGAGGCCAGGTCTGCCCAGCAAACCCAGGAAGGTGTGGCGTCCCCGCTTCGCGGCCAAGATGGTGCTGGTGCTGCGCCATCCTTTGTGTGCCCGGGAAGGGCGTTCCGGGAGCCGGGTCGGGGGCTCCTGACTCGCACTGGGCAGCATGACGGTGCGCCGGCTGTCACTGCTGTGCCGGGACCTCTGGGCGCTGTGGCTGCTGCTGAAGGCCGGCGCAGGTGCGTGGGGCGCGGGCGGGTCCTCGCCTCCCCGGAAGGTGTTGTGGGGCGACAGTGCGGGGACGCCGGGCGGGGGTGGACGTTCTGGGCCCAGCCCTGTCCTCAGAGGCTGCTGGGGCAGAAGCCCGGGGCTGGGGGATGCCGGGGATGGATGTTGGGGTGGGTGCCTCCGAGACCAGAGGAGCCCTGTTCCTTGGCAGGGAAGGTGTGCACGGGCCTTGCCCGATGGATGGTTTAGGGCCATGGCCCTGGGGTCCCTGGTGAGCAGTGGGGCCGCCTCTGCCCTTGGCCTGTGAGGGACTGTCTGTGCTGGTCCCAGAAGGCTGGGATCACCTTTCCACTGGCTCCTTTGTTCGAGGTTTTTCATAGACAGGCTATGTGGACAAATGAGGGCAGCGCCCACGTCTGGCTGGTGGAGGGGCTGCGGCTCCTCCTTGGAGGGGACGCCTGGCCACTGCTGTCCCCACAATGGGGCCACCCGTGGTGCAAGGCGTGACAAGCTGCCCTCTCTAGGTAAGCAGGACTTGGGAGGCCCCTGGCCAAGCCTGTGGACCCGGCTGGGCGGCCTCTGTGGTCTCAGGTTTGGGTGTGTTTGGTCTGGTCAGGGCTCAGGGGCTGCTGGTCCACACTGGCCCCATCCTGACAATTGGAGCTTTGGGGCAAGGTCCCTGGAGAAGGGGTCACGTGGGGAGGAAACAGCCTGGGTTTTGTTGATGCTTTTCTAAGAATGGAGTACTCGTTTTCAAGAGATTTGTCCTAATTATATTTTCCAGCGGGTACTTATGCCAAGTATTGATGAATAATTCATAAAATAAGCATCTTTGTGAATTTTAGTGAATCAGACCTTAACTATCAACGGCAATGAATGAACATCTAAAGTTTCCAATTTTAAAGTAAAGAACTGGCTGGGTACAGCAGTTCACGCCTGTAATCCCAGCACTTTGGGAGGCCAAGGCTAGAGGATCGCTTGAGCCCAGGAGTTTGAGATCAGCCTGGGCAACATACCAAGACCTCATCTGTTAAAAAAAAAAAAAAAAAATTAATAGGCTGGGTGTGGTGGCGTGTGCCTGTAGTCCCAGCCACCTGGGGGGCTGAGAGGGGAGAATCATTTGAGCCCAGGAGGTCAAGGCTACAATAAGGTATGATTGCACAACTGTACTCTAGCCTGGGTGAGGGCGTGAGCAGGTGCAGGTGGCCACCCCAGGTTATGGGGTTGGCTGTGGAGCACTGGGGAAGGCTCCAGGGTAAGCAGGGGTAGGTGGCCCCCGTGGGTTTTGGGGTTGGCTTTGGGGCACCATGGAAGGCTTCGGGGTGAGTAGGGGCAGGTGGCCCCCTGGGTTATGGGGTTGGCTGTGGAGTACCGTGGAAGGCTTTGGGGTGAGTAGGGGCAGGTGACCCCCTGGGTTATGGGGTTGGCTGTGGAGCACCGTGGAAGGCTCTGGGTTGAGTAGGGGCAGGTGGCCCCCTGGGTTTTGGGGTTGGCTGTGGGGCACCGTGGAAGGCTCCGGTGTGAGCAGGGGTAGGTGGCTGCTTTAAGAGAGGTTGTGTCCCCTGGGTGCCCCCTGGTTTTGCACCCCTGAAGCCCTGGCCACCCCATCCTGCAGTTCCCTCCTGAAGGACCAGGCAAAGCCAGGACCACCCTGGACAAGAGGAGGAATTGTCCTTCTGAGCCCTGACGGTTCCGTGATCAGACCCGGGACCTGCTCCAGGCTCTGTTTTAGTGTCTCACGTCCTCTTAGGGTACATTGAAGAAGCATTGTCGGTGCCAGGGTCAGCCAGGGTCAGCCAGGCCTGTGTTCCTCACTGTGCCCCTCCTCACTCCTGCAGAGGCCTAGGGACCTGGAAGGAACTTGCCACCTGTGGGTGACCTTTCTCAGAAGGTAAAATGCAGGGTGGGGCGAGCCCCACTGGCCTTGGAGAGTCTGTCCTCGGGCCCAGAGGGTGCCAGTTGGGGGAGGCGCAGAAGGACTGAGACACTTGGATTCCACAGAGAGGTCACCGTGGTACAGTCCAGACTGTTGTTTTTAATTTTAAAGGAAAGAATTTGTTATGACGACTGTTCTCATTCTCCTTTAGGCATTTTTAACATGTGTTCCAGGCAGACCAGGCTGTGGCCCTTCCCTCGTGGCTGGTGCAGGCCACGCCTCCCCCCGGCCCAGCGAGTAGGGAGGTTTGGCTCTGGCATGACCCTCCGGGGCACAAGTGTCCTCGGGGAGCTGGTCCCTACTACATAGAGGCCACCTGGCGTCACTTGGCAGAGGAGGACGGGGCACCACCCTGCAGAGAAGCGTCCATCTGCCCGTCAGTGTGCGGCCACACTTGGTGGTCCTCTTCACCTTGGCCTCTTGTTGAGCGCACCTCCCACCTGCACAGCATCCTGCGTCGTAGCCAACACCACCTCCTCCATGGACCTCAGTCTGCAGCCGTCACTCCATGTCTGCAGCTGGGGCCCTGGCCAGCCCCCATGGCGCAGTGCTGGGGGGTTCCTCTGGGTCCCTGTAGCCTCCATAACATAACCTGGGAGCAGGAAGATCCCCCTGGGTCTGCTCACCTGGTGGGGGGCAGCCATCACCAAAGCCGTCTGCCTGCATCACCGGCTGAATTGCAGCCATGATCCCACAAGGAAGCCTTGTCTCAGCTTTACAGAGGAGGAGGAGGCCCAGAGAGAGAAAGCAACTGCCCAGAGTCACACAGCTCAGGGAGGTTGTGTTCAGGGTGAGGTCTGTGCTCCCGCAGGGCCAGTGAGTGTCTTTCCTGTGGCAGCCGCTGGCCCACGTGTGTGGTGATGACACCAAGCACACGGACCACGCGTGTGTTCAGATGCTGCCTGGGCTTCACGTTGGTGCCCATTTCTCTCTGGACCTTACGAAGACAAGTTTGCGGAGGCATGGCAGCCCGTGCATGCTGTTGGTGGGCACGTAAGTTGGTGCAGGTATCACGGAAAACAGTGTGGGGTATGGAGGTTCCTCAAGTAATTGAAAAGAGCACTGTCGTTGGAGCCAGGAGTCCCCACTGTGGGTGGGTATCGGGGAAAGGAGTGAGCGTGTTAAAGAGCCACCCGCCCTCCAGAGCTCACCAGCCCACACGTGGAATCGACCCCAGTGGCCGTTAGTGGATGGGCGCGTGAAGATGATGTGGGGCACACACAATAGAGTGCTGCTGGGTCTTTGTTAGAAAGGAAAGCCTGTCATTCGAGACAGCACGGATGAGCCTGGAGGACAGTGCTGAGCAAAATCAGCCACAGGCAAAGCCACGGCCTGCTGAGTAAAACCAGCTGCAGGCACAGAAAGGCAAAGCCACGGCCCCACTCGTGTGGGGTGTCAGAGACGCCGACAAGCACGGTGGCTACTGGGGGCTGGGGTGGGGAAGCCTGGGGAGATGCTGGCCGGAGGACACAGAGTTTCCGTTGTGCCAAATGAATGAAGTCTGGGGGTCTGTTCGTGGTGGGCCATGGACTATTCGTGGTGACTGACTGTGGTCTGTTTGTGGTGGCCGTGGCGTGTTTGTTGTGGCCATGGTTGGTTTGTGGTGGCCGTGGTCTGTTTGTGGTGGCCGTGGTTGGTTCTGGGTGGCTGTGGTCTGTTTGTGGTGGCCGTGGTCTGTTTGTGGTGACCATGGTTGGTTCTGGGTGGCTGTGGTCAGTTCATGGTGGCTGTGACCTGTTCAAGGTGGCCGTGGCCTGTTTGTGGTGACTGTGGTTAACGCTGTATTTGTACCTGAGGTTTGCTGGGAGTGGATGTTGGGTATTCTAACTGTAAAAGGAAATGGCAGCTGTGGGAGGTGACAGTCAGTCACCAGTGAGTTTGGTGGTGGCTATGGTTTCACAACGTGAACTATATCAAAACAGCACGTGTGCGCCTTAAATACATACAATTATTTTTCTCAATATAGCTGGAAAAAATAGCCAGAAGCTGTAAGCTCAGGAAGTGATGAGCCAGCCAAGGGCTCCGTTCACAACACCCTGCACAGTGAACAGAGCTGAGTAAATGGGGCTGCTTAGCGAAAATCATCGGACTCGAAGCTCCCTGATGGCTCCAACATCTTCCGTGACTCTGGGCAACTCCTGTGCAATGGGAGGCCGTGCCCTGCCATGTCCCCGCCTTCCTGCCCACAAGCCTGCCCTGTCCCAGCCACTGGGGTCTCACTCACCCATCAGCCTGGAAACAGACGCATGTCGGCACCCTCCCAGCCCCTCTGCGAGAGCCTCTCCATAGCCTCGCTGTTGAGCCCGTGGCAGTGAAGGTCCCAGGCGCTGGAGCAGACGGCGTGGGCTCAGTCCTGGCACTGCCTGCCCTGCAGTCCTGGGCTGCTTACAGCTGAGCCTGACCTTGAATTCCCCGTCTTTAAAACAAGGATGATGAGGCTTCATGCTCCCTAGGTCCTCGCGAGGACTCACTCAATGCACTGGAGCCAGGTGTGAGTAGGAAACCTGCCTTTCTGGCCTGATCCTCCCCCCGGGAGCACAGGGTGGTCCTCATCTGAACCCCGAGGGGGTCTCCCTGGCATGCCCTTTCTCCCTGGACCCCTAGCCATTCCAGGTGCAGCTGCCAGTGCGACCCCTCCTGCGGACAGGAGGTCCATGTGAGGGCTCAGCTGCCTCTGAACCGGAAAGGCGCTGGCAGGCAGTGGCTGGGAGAGCAGGCGCACCCTGGGCGGCCTCCAGGAGAGAAAGGGAGACGTGTGCATCTCAGTGGGGGCTGGCGGGAGACACTAAGGTGTTGAAGACCCTCGGGTCTGGGCCCTGTGGAAATGCTCCCTGCGGGTGCCACCAGCCCTGCCCACTCAGCAGTCACTTGAGAACGCCCCGAGCATCTGGCCCAGGAGGCTCGGCCTGGAGCCTCACATGTGCGGAGGTTTGGCTCAGCCCCCAAGGGCAGGCCCAGGTCTGTGGCGGGGTGTGGGGAGGCAGCGGAGCCATGGGTACTGTGTAGCGGGTAGGGCTGTGACCGGAGGTGGCAAAGCCGGCAGCCAGCCCGGCCCTTGGGGGAGAGGGTGGCAGGGTCAGGGTCTCTGAACTCTGGAAGGAACCTGCGTCCCTCATCCTGAAACCCGGCCTCCTGTGTCTCTCAGACAGTGGCTCTCAGTCACTTTGGTCTCTGGTCCCTCTGCCCCTTGATTTTTTAAGTTGTTCTAGCTCAGAAGCCATTGTGTGTATGGTGTGACTACACCCCAGCCAGGGCATGAGTGCACACAGATCCAGGGTCCGTGCAGAGCCCGCCAGGTGTAGGGTGGATGCTGAGGCCCACCTGGCTGAAACTGCACTCAGGCCATTTTACTGATGTCAGGAAACGTTCATGAAAATGCAAGCTGGTGAGCAGGCAAGTGCCCCCCTGCATGACAGACCCTCCTGGTGCCCCTGGCTCAGACAGTGTGACCTTGAGAACAGCGGGGGTCTAACCCCTGACCCCAGCGTCCGTGTCACCTGGGAGCCTCACCTTGAGACCCCTGCGTTGTGGTTCTGAAATCACTTGAGTGGGCCGTGGCCACCGTGAGGCGGAGAAAGAGGAAATACCTGCCAGAAGATCAAATTGCAATCCGTGTAATTTAAAGATCTCACTGGGCTTTGTTGGCGATTCTAGAGTGGGGCAGCACTGCATTCCATGAACTAGAATTAAGAGCTCCAGTGAAACACGCAGTGCGGGGCCGGCTGTACAGACAGGGCTGAGGAAAGCAGAAACTGTGCAAACGCGGTTCGGCGGCCTCAGTCACTGTCCTTTGTAAGCTTGGGGAGTCGGCGGGAGAGACGTGACCCACTGGCCACTTCAGGCGGCTCTGTGTCGTAAGGATCAGTTTCACATTAGGTGATTGCCGGACTTACATCAAGCTTGAAGAAGCAGAAGATCCCTGCACACACGTGTGGCCCAGACCAAGAGCCGTCACGTGACAAACTTTGTGCTTAAATGGGTTTTTAGTATGTGTATCTTTTCTTTTTCTTTTTTTTTTTTTTTTTTGAGATGGAGTCTCGCTCTGTCACCCAGGCTGGAGTGCAGTGGCACAATCTCAGCTCACAGCAACATCCACCTCCCAGGTTCAAAAGATTCTCCAGCCTCAGCTTCCTGAGTACCTGGGACTACAGGCACCTGCCACCATGCCCAGCTAATTTTTGTATCTTTAGTAGGGAGGGGGTTTCGCCATGTTGACCAGGCTGGTCTTGAACTCCTGACCTCAAGTGATTTGTCCACCTTGGCCTCCCAAAGTGTTGGCATTTATAGGCGTGAGCCACTGTGCCCGGCCAAGTACGGGTATCTTTTTGGCAGTGTGAAGAATTTATTTAGGCTTGACTGTTTTAAAGCACCATAATGAATGTATAATTAAGTTATGATAAAGTCTTAACCCTTTGTTACAGGGGAACGGTAATGTTGTGAGTGGCTGTGTCTCAGCCCCTGGACTCCAGCAGTCACCCTCATAGGAGTCCCACCTCTGCGGGCAGCTCAGAGCCTCCATGTTTTTATATTTAATTCTCATGGTTAAATTCAGTGCCGTAACTCATGGAATTAAGTCTTTTTAAAATCTAAGCAAACTGTCTTTAAGACAGAAAAAGTTGGGTAATTCTTCATCTATTTGAAGTGATGCTCTCTGGATGGGCTGCATCCTAAGAATGTATCAAAAGTGGAAATTCTGACCACTGTTTTGATTGTCCTTTTACATATTAAACAAGTTGAGAGCAAGAACAACAAAAAGAGGGACCTCCGTGACCACGCCGAGGAAGACAGAGCCTGGCCTGGTTGGAAGATTGGCCTCTCCTCTGTCTCCTGTTTTCTCCAAGGTCCGATAACAACTCAGTTTCCCTTGGAGTGTGGGGACTTCATTTTGATTTTCAGTCTGATCTGTTGGGGTCTAGGCAGGAGCTTGGTCCCAAACAACACACCCATGTGTGCTGAGGACACGCTCCAGGGGATTCTTACGCCCGCCTGCATCAGAGAACCCAGGTCTTGTGGGCGAGGCAGCGTGGAGAGGGAGCGCAGCTCTGGAGACGGCCCCCAGGGCTTGCGGGCGGGCGGGCGAGGCAGCGTGGAGAGCGGAGAGCGAAGCTCTGGAGACGACCCCCAGAGGAGATTGGCCAAGTGCGGATGTGCGAGTCCTCCCTGCCCGAGGCGCAAACTGTCTCACTCCAAAGGGCGTCCGGAGGGTTCTGCGGGGCGGCTGTGCACTGACACCTGCCCCCCACGTGGGAGTCCGCCGGCTCCTGGCCCTTGCCGGTTGGTGTTGCGCGTCTGAGATGACGCCCCTGCGGTAGGAGCGGGGTTTCCCTGATCACCGCTTCTTTTGACCATCTTTTCTGGCAGGGCCTTGTATTTTTAAAATGTGTAAAGGTTAAGCTTTCTGAGATCAGAAAAATAATATTTAGTGAACCATGTGATTTAAGTCACTGTGTATGTGACATGAAATATTTATACCTAACCCACTAGCAAATGGCTCGTTAAACATATTTGAGATTTAATGTAAGTGAGAATTCTGCCAACCAAGTCAGGATAAACCTTAAACATCGGGAATGCAAAATCAAACAGATCCTTTAACACACATCACAAACAGAGGTGTGGACGCCCCTTTTGTCCCAATGGCAGGGACGGGGCGCTGGCCCCCAGGGTGTCCTGTTTATCCCCTGACCCACACAGTGTCAGGAGCTTGTCTGGAGGGGACGGGGATGCTGGCCTCCTGGGGTGTCCTTATCTGAAGGCTGTGGTTTCAAGCATCCTCCTTACTGAATTTAGATTTTGTTCCGATTTTGTGGCCTGCGTTTCTTCTTACTGCCCTGCTCTGTGGCCCTGTTCTTCCTGGGTTTGGAGATCCTCAAGGATGGGCTTCGGGAAGGCCTCTGGCCGGATGATCTGGTGACGTAATCCCATCTGACGCTCAGCCTTGGACTTTGAAAAGGCACGACTGTCCTGTCTGATGGACAGGATGCAGAAGCCTTTGGGAATGGGCATTTTGCCAGAATAAATAAAAGAAGACAATTGGCAAAAGATGGACTGTACCCCATGGCCCCAGGCTGCTGTGTGGAGAGACTTGTCCTCTCCTCTGCCCACGGTCACCAGTGAGCACCAGGGACGGGGTTTCCTGCTGCACCTGGGCCTCTTCCTGCTGCCAGGAGCTGCCTTGCTGCCTCCACCTGTGACAGTCCACCCCCCATACCCCCCCCACCCGCACCATGAGAGGATTTCCAGGGCCCACCCGCCTCCAGTCCCCGTTCTCTCTGCTGCTTTCGAGGTCACCCTGGGCTGGAAGGGGTGCCTGGGATACTGCTCAGACGTCTTGGCCGCCCTCCCACCCCGCAACACCCCGCTCCTGGTTTTCAGGATGAAATTGTCCTCAAATAAAGCAAGCTTTTGAGTCAACTTGCAAGAGGAAGGAAGTTTGCTTCAGTCGTCTGGTTTTGTTGGAACAAAGAGATCTAAAGATAGACACATGGTCCCCCTCCCTGGACTGCCATTGCCAGGACCCTGTTTCTGTGAGGAAAAGTCAGTGGTGGGGCCTCACCTGTGTATCAGGTGAGCCAAGGGCACCTCTGCCCTTCCCACGCTTGGGAAATCTCACCACGTCGTCCCCGTAGTGGCCAGAAGAGATTGGCCCTCCCAGGTGGGGCTGCTGTGGTCGGTGCTGGGGATGGGCAGGGGCAGGCCTGGCCACCCCCTCGTCGGCCCCACCTGCTGCCTCTGCCCGCGTGGCAGGGGAATGGACGGGGCAGCCTCTGCCGGGCCTCAGATGTGAGGCCCTAACCCTCCCCTCTCAGACCTGCCTCTGAGCAGTGGGGTCATCACTGGGGAGTTGGTTGGAGCAGGGCTCAGTGAGGGAGCTGGGCCTGGCCTGGCCTTGGGTGGCACATACGGGTCAGGGGCCCACCACCTCCCAGACGTCTGACAGCACAGAGCCCCACAGAGGCCATGCTCGCCTGCCTGCATCTCCTCTGGGGACCTGTCTCCTGAACTGAGTGGCCACTATTGTTCCTCCGTGCGCTTCTTAGTCTTATGGCTGCAAAATTAAGTAGACTGGAACTTTTAAAGAAACTATGATCATAAGGGCAGATTTTCCCATCATTCTTGAGTGGGTTCAAAAAATCAAGAAGAATGAAAACTTACACACATAAATGGAAGAAACGCCCAGCGCCCTGAAAATCCCAGGGCCCCGCCTGCAGAAGGCCTCCATGAAGAACGGAAGAAGGCCAACACTCTGGTGTGGGTCAGAGAGCATCCACAGGCCTCTTCAGGTTCACAGAGTGGCCAGTGACCACTTCAGATGTAGCGATATTTTAGAGTTTATTTGTATGAGGGCTTAGCTGTGTGCAGTTTCTGATCACACACAGGGGGATCCCTGCTTTTCATACCCAAAATGAGGCATTTGATCTGAGGGACAATATTTAGAGTTTGTCCTGGCCCAGAGAGTCCAGAGGCACTGCGGGCTGCCAGCAGGTAGACAGTGCAGTGCAGATGATGGACAGGTGGTGTGGACGGTGGACAGGTGGTGTGGATGGTGGACACTGCAGTGCAGATGGTGGACAGGCGGTGTGGATGGTGGACAGGTGGTGTGGACGGTGGACAGGCTGGGTGGATGGTGGACACTGCGATGAGGACGGTGGACACTGCGATGAGGACAGTGGACAGGTGGTGTGGACGGTGGACACTGCAGTGTGGATGGTGGACAGGTGGTGTGGACGGTGGACAGGCAGTGTGGACGGTGGACACTGTGATGCAGACGGTGGACAGGCGGTGTGGACGGTGGACACCGTGATGCGGACGGTGGACAGGCGGTGTGGACGGTGGACACCGTGATGAGGACGGTGGACAGGCGGTGTGGACGGTGGACACTGTGATGCGGACGGTGGACAGGCGGTGTGGACGGTGGACACTGTGATGCGGACGGTGGACAGGCGGTGTGGACGGTGGACACTGTGATGCGGACGGTGGACAGGCGGTGTGGACGGTGGACACTGTGATGCGGACGGTGGACAGGCGGTGTGGATGGTGGACAGGCGGTGTGGACGGTGGACAGGCTGGGTGGATGGTGGACACTGCGATGAGGACGGTGGACACTGCGATGAGGACAGTGGACAGGTGGTGTGGACGGTGGACACTGCAGTGTGAATGGTGGACAGGTGGTGTGGACAGTGGACACTGCAGTGTGGATGGTGGACAGGTGGTGTGGACGGTGGACAGGCAGTGTGGACGGTGGACACTGTGATGCGGACGGTGGACAGGCAGTGTGGATGGTGGACAGGCGGTGTGGACGGTGGACAGGCTGGGTGGATGGTGGACACTGCGATGAGGACGGTGGACACTGCGATGAGGACAGTGGACAGGTGGTGTAGACAGTGGACACTGCAGTGTGGATGGTGGACAGGTGGTGTGGACGGTGGACAGGCAGTGTGGACGGTGGACACTGTGATGCGGACGGTGGACAGGCAGTGTGGACGGTGGACACTGTGATGCGGACGGTGGACAGGCAGTGTGGACGGTGGACACTGCAGTGCGGATGGTGGACAGGTGGTGTGGATGGTGGACAGGCGGTGTGGACGGTGGACAGGCTGGGTGGATGGTGGACACTGCAATGAGGACGGTGGACACTGCGATGAGGACAGTGGACAGGTGGTGTGGACGGTGGACACTGCAGTGTGGACTGTGGACACTGTGATGCGGACGGTGGACAGGCGGTGTGGACGGTGGACACTGTGATGCGGACGGTGGACAGGCGGTGTGGACGGTGGACACTGCAGTGTGGATGGTGGACAGGTGGTGTGGACGGTGGACAGGCAGTGTGGACGGTGGACACTGTGATGCGGACGGTGGACAGGCGGTGTGGACGGTGGACACTGTGATGCGGACGGTGGACAGGCGGTGTGGACGGTGGACACTGTGATGCGGACGGTGGACAGGCGGTGTGGACGGTGGACACTGAGATGCGGACGGTGGACAGGCGGTGTGGACGGTGGACACTGTGATGCGGACGGTGGACAGGCGGTGTGGACGGTGGACACTGTGATGCGGACGGTGGACAGGCGGTGTGGACGGTGGACACTGTGATGCGGACGGTGCCCCCACGGTCTGTGAGGCAGGCAGGGGATTGAGGACAGTGCCTCCTGGTTTCCTCTCAGGTCACAGTCGCTCCTGGTGAGAGAGAAAAACTTACCGTAAAATCTGAACATCCAACTGCGCAGTCTAGGCTGCCGTCGGCTGCACCAGACACACATTCCAGAGAGGTGTGCACCAGTGGAAGTCACCTTGCCAGGAGCATGAGATAGTATTTCATGCTTTACTGATTGACTGTTTCTGTCTTTCTCCCACAAAAGAAGCCATCGCCGAGACGTGGTTGCGTACTGGGAATGGGTCTGTGCCCTGAGCTCGCCCTGCAAGGCTCTGGGGAAGGGCCTTGACATCTGCTTGGCTCTGGCAGGTCCCATGACACCGTGGCCCTGCTGCTTCCCCCCCAACACCAGGGTTGTGTCTGGCTCGGAGGCAAAGCAGTCCCATAGCTGGCAGGGCCGCAGCCAGCACGGCCCAGGAGGGGCCCCTTTGTGTTCCACTGTGTCCCGTGTTTACACTTGTTTGTCTGCAAGACTGGAAGAGCAAGATTTAAGTCTGATGCCAGGTAGATATTATCTGGCAGCCTCCGCTGGGAATTTCCAGGTACAAACACCTCTGTCCCATATCTTCAGGCTGTTAGTGACCTGGGTCCTCAGGTGTGGAAAAATTGAGCGTTTAAGCCATTCTCAGGTCATCAGCGTGAGTCCTGCATCTTTTAGAGAGAAATTGTGTGGATGTTCAAGACTGCAAATGTGGCTATATGATGAGAGCGTTGGCCAGAAATCGTGTCTGCTCCGTGGTCAGTGGTCAGTGTCCCCCAGGCACAGTGGCCTGGCAGCCGCTCTGTAGCAGAGACCACCAGCCTGTCAGTCCGTACAGCTTTCCCTGGAGGGTCTTGCTGGCCCCATGCTCCCGGCTGGTGCTGGCTCCATGCTCCTAGCTGGTGCTGACCCCATGCTCCGAGCTGATGCTGGCCTAGTGCTCCCAGCTGGTGCTGGCCCCGTGCTCCTGGCTGGTGCTGGCCCCATGCTCCTAGCTGGTGCTGACCCCATGCTCCGAGCTGACGCTGGCCTAGTGCTCCCAGCTGGTACTGGCCCCATGCTCCCCCCGTGCTCCCAGCCAGTGCTGGCCTGGTGGCTGCAGGTGCTGCAGTGCGTCCAGAGCCATCTGGAACCTGCTGGGTGGGGGGATGGGTGTGGGGGTCGACCCTGCTGTTGCCATCCTGCCTCATTTGTGTCCGTCTAATGGCGAGGCCAGGGTTGTGGCACAGACCCCCGAGGGTCCTGTGTGTGCGGAGGCAGAGGCCCATTCCATGGCCAGGTTTTCCTCCTGGGCCACAAGTTACTGCACCTGCAACAGGTGCGGGGCAGGGGTCGCCTGAACATTTTCCCTAATGTGGGTGGGACTCAGACCAAAGTGTATTTATCCGAGGAGCCAGGACCAAGCCCTTTCCCACTGCTCCCCTGCCTCCCCTCTGCCCAGGTCTCTCTCTTTGTCCCTCCCTCTCTCTGTCTCTCAGTCCCTCTCTCTGAACCTCTTATATCACACTTTCAAAATTGATGGTGAATCACTCAACACACAGCTTTTATGCGCTGAGAAACAAAGGCCTCCACGTATTGGAAACTGAAAAGCCTTTTTCCAGCCACGTGACGCCACTCCCGTAGGTGCCTGTGGATGTGCCAGCTCCGTGTGGGATCGGGTGGGCGCTTGCAGGGTGAGGCAGCTTCCTGGGACTGACACGTGCCGTCTGCTCTTTCCGTGCAGATGAAATCATGCACCAGGACATCGTCCCGCTCTGTGCTGCCGACATCCAGGACCAGCTAAAGAAGCGCTTTGCTTACCTGTCCGGTGAGTTCCAGAAGCTGGGATGGGGTGGAGAGGGAGGGGTCTGGGGCCGGGTGTGGGCCGAGCAGCCCCCGTGGCCTGGCCCAGGCTGGAGCTGGGAAGGGTCATGCGAGGGGCTGTGTATTCACTGCCTTGGGTCTGACCTGTGACCTGGCTCTCCCCATCTCTGTGAAGTGGGCAGCTCCATGCCAGTTGGCACATGGCCACTGGGAGGAGGTGGGTGGAGGAGGGTCAGGGTCCCCAGGGGGATGTGGCCTGGGCACCCCTGACAGCAGCCTCCAGGGACAGATGGAGTGGTGTGTGGGTGGCCGAGCCCATGGGCCTCAGTGAACCCCAGTTCCTGCTGCATCTGGGCACCTCCCAGGCCACGCCTCTGTCCACTGTGGCCTCCAGCCCTGCGTCTGGCACACCTGTGGAGGTGGTGCCTGCAGCCATGGGGACATAATGAGGCTCCCAGCACCCCTGTGTGGGTACAGCAAGGGCACCTGCAGTGGCCCCGAGCTATGTAGATGCCGTTCTTATGTGAACAAATCTGCCCAACAGGACCCGTCAGAAAAAACACCATGCACATGCATGCCCACCCTGGGCCATCAGGGTGCCCCGATGCTGAGGAGGGTGCCCCGATGCCGAGGAGGGTGCCCCGATGCTGAGGAGGGTGCCCCGATGCCGAGGACGCGGTGCTCTTGGGAGCTCAGCCTCTGCCCCTCTGCATTCCCGTCAGCATCCCGGCCCCCAATCCATGGCTGGCACGGTGGGGCCTCCATCCCGCACCTGCACCTACAGAGCCAGCCTGCACCCCAGGCCGGGCCTTGGGGTCTGAGGGAGGCTGACTGCGAGGTGCAGCTGGTGAGTTTTATGAGACCAAAATCGAAGAGACAGCCAGCAACATGATGGCCAGAGGAGAAGTGCTGTGCAGTGACTTGGTCCCTGCTTCCCATGGCCAAGTGGCCCAGGAGGAGGAAGGAGAGAAAGCAGGGGGTCTCTGGAGAACTGAAAACTCCCAGAGGACAAGGGCTCCAATCCCCCTGTGTCGGGGACCAGGCGTGGTGATGGCTCAAGAGAGGCGCCGTGGTTTCTGCCGGTTCCTCCTGCGTCCCCAGCCTCTCCCCGCCCCTTTCACAACCCCAAAGAGGCTCACAGCTTTGCCACCAGGAGGGCCCCGACCTGGGCCTCCAGCCTTGACCTTCCTCCAGTTGCCAGGCAGTGCCCCCACCCCAGCGGTGCCTGGGAGGGCAGAGTCCCAGGACGGCCCCAGCCACCCACCTTTTCTCGATCGTTCCTCAGACGCCAGCCCAGGAGCTCTGGGGGGGATTTTGCAGATGAATTTAAGGCCCCAAATCAGCTAACTTTAAGATCTTCCTTGGTGGGCTTGACCCACTCAGCTAAGCCCTTAGAAGAGATGGGGCTCTTCCTGGCATGAGGGATCCCAGGTGCAAGAAGGATTTGACACAAGGGGGTTCTCTGTGTGGCCCCGAAGGAGGCAGAGGCCGCCTGACCAGGACAAGAGCCGCCCCACGGGCAGCCGCCAGGAACCCGGGGCCTCAACACTGCAGCTGGGGGCACAGCTCTGCCAAGCCCCTGGGGGAGCTGGAGAGACTGGGCTCAGGATCACAGCCCGGCAACCCCTCCACGTGGGCCCAGAGACCCTGAGCAGAGACCCGCAAGCTGATAAGTGCCTGAGCGTCAATGGTCTTGGGAACCACACCAAAGCCTCCGTCGGCTCCTCTCCCTCCTGGAATATAAGATGGAGTCCCCTGTGGTACTGCTGCCCCCGCGTCATATGCTGCCCCCGCGTCGTATCCTGCCCACCCCCTGGAGGCAGGCTGCCTCCCCATCCCCCTGCCTCCCGCCAACCTCGGGGCCTTTGCACAGCCGGCCCTCTCCATGCAGCGAATTTCTTCCGCGGGGCTTGTGGCTGGCCCGGCCCCTCAGGCCTTGCTCAGAGGCACGCCCTCGTACATGCCCTCTCCCTCCTCGCCTGCGCTCTGCTCCGCCCCCTTCGTTACACCACCTCACGTCCTCCCGTGTGTGGCGTGGGTCCCTCCTGAGGGCTGGGTTTGTTCACAGCTGCCTCCCGGCTTCTAGAGGTGCACCCAGCCTCAGAGCCATGTACTGAGGGCTCAGCCATGGGCCCATCTGGGGTGGGACCCTGGCACACCACGCTGTTCTCAGGATCCAGGTCGTAGCAGCAGTACCACGTCTGAGAAGGATCAGTGTCGGCTGGCGCTTCTCCTGCAGATGTGCGCGGATTTGGAGGAAGCCTGTGGCAGCCTCGGGTGTGTGCGTTGCCAATCGCCCCGTCCCCTCCTCACCACGTCCAGCACTGCTGTGTCCTGAGGCTGCGCCTGCACTCCGGGTTCCTGCCATGAAGCCCCCTTTTGTGTCCTCATGACAAAGGCCATGCACTGGGGGACCGAAACAACTGGGGCTCGTCTCTCAGGTTCCGTGGGGCTGTGCCCCTTCCGGAGGCTCCTCCTGCTTTGGGGACGCAGGTGTTCCTTGGTGTCCCTTGGCATCTTCATGCAGCCGCCTCACCTGTACGTCGGTGTCTCCTCTTCTGCCTCAAAGCCCCTCTGCCTTTCTCCCGGGACACCCGTCACGAGATTTAGGGCCCACCGTATAATCCATTATGGTCTCACCCTGAAAACTTTGTTACCTCTGCTGCAAAGACTTCTCCAAACAAAGTCATGTTTACAGGCTCCTGGGACAGGGAGTGGACGTGCCTTTCAGGGGCCGCCTTGGACTCAGGGTAAATCTGGCTCAGAGGTTTGCTGTCTTGACAGCTGCCCTCAAGGGGGCTCCCCTCCCGCCCCAGCATCACCCATGGGACTCGCTCTCCCTGTCTCGCTCCACTCGAAGGAAACACAGACTCCCCCGCCCGCCACTCCTGCACACTGACCACCATGGGGCTGGGGTCCAGCTGGGTGAGGCCCCTCATTGTGACTGGAGCCCACAGGTCGACACCCCAGCCTGTTCCGTGGACTTTTGCTTAATTCCCTGGTCTTTGGATGCCTGGAATGGCTTCCGTGAAGTGCCAGAGCAAAAAACTAAAGATGTCAGGAAGGAATGGCTCCGAATTTTCCTTTTCAAGAGGAGACTGCGTTTCTTTCCACTTGCCCTGCTGATTTCCCCTCCCTGCGACGTTCGTGCCAGCCCTGTGCTGTCTGCCGCGGAGCCATGGCTGCCACTGTGACATGTGCGGTCCCGTCTTCTCCCTCCATTGTCTGTAGACGCACAGGTGCCACGCAGAACCCTACAGCTCTGTCCAGATCCTGGATCCAGATGAGGCAGCTTTTGAAAGGCGGCCAAGTGAGGGATGCGTAAACCTCGGGGGCTCCGGACTCCTGTACGTTGCCGCCCAAAGTCAGGACGAGCTGCGGAAGTCACACCTGGACTCTGTGTCTGTCATCCGCAGACAGCAGCTCCCCATTCAGCCTGTGTCCCTCGTAATCCACACCCTCTACTCACAGTGACATCTGCCCCAAAAGCGCTTCGCTTAACCCTGAAGCTACGAGACCTGCCACCCTACTGTCCCCTCTAGTTTTCTGACATTTGAGGAACAAGGAATTGGGTGTAAAATCAGGAAATATCCTACATGTAAATTCTTGATTATTCTTGTCCTTCCGGGCAGAGCTGCCTCCTGAGTCATCCGTTTGACTCTTTCTTACTGAAGGCTGAGGGTTGGGGGGTGCATGGGTGCTCCAAACCCAGAGGCAATGGCGCGTCCCCTGGCATGGCAGTCGGAGCAGGCCCCGAGGAGGTCGTGGTCTCAGAACTCAGTCCTTGTGTCATCCTAGAAAAGATACTTCAACTTGCTGACCGTCAGCAAGAGCTAAAAACAGGGCGGGAGAATTTACCACTGAGGAACTTATGATCTGAAGTGAAAAACGCAGAGAACAGACTTGCCACCGGTGAAAACCACAAAGCTGAAATGGAGGCCCTGCCCGGAACGCAGAGGCCACCGCCACTGTGCGTCTCACTCCCTGCAATGGACGGCGGCCCCCCTCCCACTGCCCAGGCGGCTCTTGGGAATTTCGTTTTGCTTTTACGGGAATGTGGCATGGTCAGCGGTGGCCATCAGCCATCCAGGAACCTGGATTTGACAGGATTGCTCCATCCCATGTCCAGGCAGCCTCAGGTGTGTGGAGACAGGGCAGACTTAGGAGTTCCTCCCCTGGCCTGTGCTCTCCTCCCGGGAAGAACGCTGGAGACCTTCGTCTCTTCTCCTTTCCTCACCTTCCCCAAGCGCTCGCTGCACAAGCCCCCTCCTGCCTTGCCCCTTCTCCCACCCCATTTCGGTTTTGGTCCCAGCTTACATCTCGTCCTAAGGATTAAGTGTTTGTGCAGCTGAGCCGCAGTTCTCAGGTGAGCTGCAGGGCTCCAGCATGGCACCTGCCTGGGCAGTCCTGAGAGAGGGATTCGAAGTGGGGAAGGACCCCGGAGTCTCCCTGGCACGTGGTCTGAGGCTCCAGCCACCAGACCCGAAGCTCAGTCTACACTCACCAAGGCCCGACGGCTGCTCCAACCTGGGAGGACCGATCCGATCCTGCGCTCCCTGAGGCCGATGGCTTTTTGACACCCAGGCTTCAGCCACAGACAGACAGACGTTCCCTGCCCGTGGGGGTTTGCCCTTGCTGGAGAGAAACAGAAATGGACAGAAGGTCACTGGGGTGGCCCTGGGTGTTCTGCGGAGAATCAAAGTCATGAGACGGAGACAGGAATCCCGTTAGGTTTGGGCAGAGTCGCACGTGCTCCTTTCTGGACCTGCTTCAAGGAATCCGATGGTTTCACGACATCCAACCAGTTGCTATAGGATAAATGTTTGTGTCCCTCCAAACTCAGATGTTGAAACCCTAACCCCAGAGGTGATGTTTGGGGAGGTGAGGCCTTTGGGAGGAGATTAGGTCATGAAGGTGGAGCTCCCAGGTGGGATCAGAGCCTTTATAAGGGGCTGAAGAGACCAGATCTCCTTCCGCAGCATGGCCATGCCTCAAGGAGACCTCTGAATGGGGAAGCCGCCGTCACCAGACACCAAGTCTATGGGCACCTTCATCTTGGACTTACCTGGCCAGAGCTGTGAGATAAATTTCTGTTGTTTGGGCCTCCCGGCCTATGGTGGTTTGTTACGGCCGCCCAGACAGACCAACAAACAGCCTGTGTGAAAATGCGAGCCATAAACGAGTGGTGTTGACAAAGGCATCCTGTCCAGGTAGGAGTTCCGTGTGGCTAAGTAGTGTCTAGTTTCAGAATGTGATGCCTTCTTGATGTCATCTCCACACTGGCAGGAGGAGGTTTTTATTTAGTTCTTATTTTAAGATTTTTCTACCCGACAGTTAACTTAGGATACAGATGTCATAGTAAATTAACCACTGGAATGCTTTCATTCCTAAGCAGCTCATGTGGGTGAGTTTCTAAAGCCGTGTTTGGGCCGAGGCATCACACAAGAGGGTGTCCCTAAGATGCATCACGTCCGTGGAGAAAACAAAGCAGGACACACGTGTGAGTCGTCACACCCTTGGTCACCCGGCTTGGCCGTCACACATGCCTCCTGCCCAGGACGCGTGTGCGTGTGTGTATCTACCTGTGTGTCTCAACTCAGGCTGCTTGCTGTGACAAAGTCCCCTAGACTGAGTGGTTTAAGCCACAGTTTATTTCTCTTGGTTCTGGGGCAGGAAGTCCCGGATGAAGGCACCGGCAGATGTGCTGCCTGGTGAGGGCTCACTTCCTGATTTACAGACTGCAGCCTTCTCGCTGTCCTCATGTGGCCAGGCGAGCAGAGCAAGCCCACAGAATCCCATTCACGGGAGCCCCACTCCCACGGCCTCCTCCCCTCCCACAAGCCCCACCTCCCAGCACTGTCCCCGTGGGGGTCAGCATTTCAACACATGAATTCAGGGGAAGACAGACATCCAGTCCATAACAGTGTATATGTGTAGCTGTGTGTATGTGTAGATGTGTGTATGTATAGTGTGTGCGCGTGTGAATGTGTAGCTATGTATGTTTGCATGTATGTGTAGTGTGTATATGTGTGTATGTGTAGATGTGTGTATGTGTAGATGTGTGTATGTGTGTGTATGTGTAGTGTGTATGCATGTGCATGTGTAGCTGTGTATGTGTATATGTGTGTACTTGTAGATGTGTATGTGTGTGTATGTGTAGCTGTGTATCTGTATGGTAGCTGTGTATGTGCGTGTAGCTGTGTGTGTATATCCATGTGTGTATATATAGGTGTGTATGTTTGTACATATATGTACATATACATACCTACACATCCACATGCATATGTGTGCAGCTGTGTATACATGTGTGTGTAGGTGTGTGTCTAGCTGTATGTGCAGCTATGTATCTGTGTATAGCTGTGTACATATGTGTGTGTTTATAAGTAGCTGTGTGTGTAACTGTATGTGTGTATATGTACATGTATGTGTGTATAGGTAGCTGTGTGTAGCTGTGTGTGTATTAAACTGAGTGTGTATCTCACACTAAAGCAGATCCCGTAGGAACCACACTTCTTTCTGGTGATGGGGATGAGAGGGAGTTGCATCTGCCTTCTGCCCCTAGCGAGTGGATGTAGGCCCAGTTGCTTGGGTGCGAGAGTTCACATGCAGGTGTGACAGGTCTCAGCCAGGACAGTGGTTTTTGGACGTGGGTGGGGACCGGAGGCTGCCCCTGGTGCTGTGTGGACAGGGTGCTGTTCTGAACCACAGAGGAGCTTCGGAGCCCTCTGTCCTCTGCGGCGTTCAGTCCGCCTCCAGTTACTAGGCCGGGTGTAGACACAGAAGTAGAGCCTGTTCTTGGTGCCATTGGCCCCGGGTCCTGGCACTGCCCACCTTGGTGGGGAGGGTTTCTCCAGAGAGGGGCTGTGCCCCCAGCTCCGCGTCCAGCGGTGTTTTGCTGCCTCATAACCTGCAGGTACTGGGAGCTTTGGCGCCTGCTTTTCAGTCTCAGTGGACAGACTGGGATTTCCACTCCTGACTTGGGAAGAAAGAACAGGGTCTTTGCTTTGCATTGAGGCTGTGGTGGAGCACAGAGAGTTCAGAGATACCCAGGGTAGCAGCAGCCTGAGACCAGCACCAGCTACCAACTGAACGAGGCTGTGCGGCCCAGGCCAGGCCCCCGTGCGATTTCAGCTCCGGGTCACCTGGCCCCCATCCTCTCCCCTGGGCAGCTGGAGGCTCCAGGCCTTCCTGTGGCTAGCTCCTGCCCCAAGGCTGCCCTGCTGACTGCACCCTCGACCCTGTGGCTCAGGCTGGCCTCTGGGGGTCCCCGGTCTCTGTGGTTCCAGTGAGGCAGCAGCTCCCAGATGCCACCTCCACACTGTGGGTGGGCCAGCCAGTGCTGAGAGGGAGCCACTCTCCACCTCTGTGTCCACCATCCACTCCAAGCTCCCAGGCTGCCTCCACGTTGTGTCCACCGTCCACTCCAAGCTCCCAGGCTGCCTCCACGTTTGGGCATGAGGGGATCTTGTTGCATCCGCTCCTCTTCCTAGCTGGGCCCTCCACAGCCAGTGTACCCCAAGGAGCAGCTTCTCCCTCCCACCCACCCCCGCCGGCCAGGGGTCCTCATGCCGTGGCCCATGCCCATTTGCACAGGGACGCAGGGGGTCTCACACACAGGCAGGGTCCGCCCCCAGCTGCCGTCGGCGTCACTCCACACACATAGGCTTCTGGGCGGTGCTGGAAGCTTCTGGCCCCTGAACGTTCCCCCCAGGCCCCGTTTCAGGGAAAGGAAAGGCAGGCGCAGGCTGCGGCCGTTTCCACAATCCACCTCGTAGCTGGGGCGTGCCGCTTGCCTCGGCTTGTCCCGGCAGAACACTCTTACCTTTAATGGCGACTGAAAAGTTGCCACGAGTTCCTGATCATTGTGGTAGGTGCTGCGTGAAGCTGAGACGTGCGTGAGCCACATCCCAGGGGGCTTTGAGCCCCCACCGCGGCGGCGGCTGAGGGGAGGCTTGTCGTACTCGCACAGGAGGACACAGGGCTGCAGTGTTCACTCCAGGGCCTCTTATCATTGGGATCTGAGGAATTTTCCGAGAGGAAGTGCGAATTAACAATGATGAAAGGTTTGTGAGTGAGTGACAGGCACGTTCTATTGAGCACTGCATGGGGCATTATGTGCCACCAGAGACGGGGGCAGAGGTCAAGAGCCCTCGAGGGCTGGGAGAGTTCGGAGGATAGAAGTCATCAGAGCACAATGAAGCCAGACCCTGCAGCCGCCTTCCCCTTCGGGGGCTTCCTTAGAATGCAGCATTGCGGGGACTGAGCTGTCCCAGGTGAAGGGGGGCCGTCACGGTGTGTGGACGCCCCTCGGCTCAGCCCTCTAAGAGACTCGGCAGCCAGGATGGGCTCAAGGCATGAGCCCTCAAAGGAGGTTAGGAAGGAGCGAGGGAGAAAAGATATGCTTGTGTGACGTCCTGGCCGAAGTGAGAACAATTGTATCAGATAATGAGTCATGTCCCATTGAGGGGTGCCGACAAGGACTCGGGAGGAGGCCACGGAGCCCTGTACTGAGGAGACGCCCACAGGGAGCCTCGGGGGCCCAGCGTCCCGGGATCACTGGATGGTAAAGCCGCCCTGCCTGGCGTGGCTGGGCTTGGCCAAGACCCAGAAGCAGAAGTTCCGGAAGCTGGAGACAGTGGCTGTGGGGGGCGCAAGGCGGCGGGGGACTGTCGCTGTTACGAGACAAAGCTGCAGTTGTCGGAGGCTGTGTGCACCCTGGGTCTTCTCAGTGAGGACGTGGATGAGGGGCGGCGAACCCACCATTATCTGTTCTCCATAAAAAGCTACCCTAAACTTAGTTAGCTTGAAAAGCCCTATTTTACAGATTTATTCTTCATTTAGTGGCTCAGAAGTTCCAAAAGGGCTCAGCCAGGTGGTTCTTCACTCCACGCACGGGGCACTGACTGTGTCCTCTGCTCAGCTGTGTCCTCATGGGGGCTGGGCTGGAAGGTCCTGGGGGCTGCAGTCCCGCACCTCCACCTCCCTGCCCTTTCACAAAGTCCACCCTCAACCCTGGGTACTGGCCTCCTCAGAGCAGGTGGATGCAGGGTCGTGGGACCACCTGCCCAATGACTACAGGGCATGAGAGGGCAGCTGCAGTGTTCTGAGTCCCAAGCTCACTTCCGCTGAGTCCTGTGGGCAAAACAGATCGCAAGGCCAGACCCAGGCTCGGGGGAGGGAAATGGACTCCGTCCGGCCAAGGCAGTGTGGCAGGGTCAGTGGCCGGCTCCAGCAGGCAGACCTGGAGCCCAGCCTGTGTGACTCCAAAGTCAGTGTTCGAATGGAGCTCTTTGGAATTGAATTGCTTAAAAGGCGCCAATGTCGGAGAAGCTAGACGATACCCACAAACAGTACAGTTAGGCAGGTTATTAGTGCACATGCATATATGGAATATTATGCAATATTTAAAATAATGGTTACATTGTTTAAAAGCATGGAAGCGGTTTGTTCTCAGTGTCAGGAAGGAGGCAGGAGACAAGCTTCTCTATGCAGTATCACCTCAACAAGGTTAAAAAAGCCCATAGAAAAAGGCTTGGAAAGAAGCATGTTGAATTGTCACGGTAGCTGTCCCATGGTGGCCAAAATAACGAGTGATTGTCTAAATTCACATCACTTTTGTGTACTTTCCAAATATTTTCTTCAAGCAGCACACATTTCTTTCAAATAAAAATTATGCAACGATGAAGAACATGCCTCAGTTTTAACTGAAATACTGGGTGCTGATGAAAACGGGCCGACATCTGTGGAACCCCCGGGGGCATGGAGCCCTCGGCTAAGGGTCTGCCTCTGGTCTCTCCCCAGGTGGGCGGGGGCAGGACGGAAGCCCGGTTATCACCTTCCCTGACTACCCGGCCTTCAGCGAGATTCCGGACAAGGAGTTCCAGAATGTCATGACCTACCTCACCAGCATCCCCAGGTACGTGCACCCAGAGCCCGGCAGACATTGTGGTTTGGGGCAGAGTCCCTGTGAGATTTCACCAGGGTGGGGTCCCTGCAACTATGGGATGAGGCAGAGTCCCTGTGAGATTTCCCTGTCATGGGGTCCCCGTGACTGTGGGTCGGGGCAGAGTCCCTGTGAGATTTCCCCATCATGCGGTCCCCGTGACTGTGGGTCAGGGCAGAGTCTCTGTGAGGTTTCATCATGGTGGGGTCCCCGTGACTGTGGGTTGGGGCAGAATCTCTGTGAGGTTTCATCATGGTGGGGTCCCCGTGACTGTGGGTCGGGGCAGAGTCCCTGTGAGATTTCACCAGGGTGGGGTCCCTGCAACTATGGGATGAGGCAGAGTCCCTGTGAGATTTCCCCATCATGCGGTCCCCGTGACTGTGGGTCAGGGCAGAGTCCCTGTGAGGTTTCCCCATTGTGGGGTCCCCGTGACTGTGGGTCGGGGCAGAGTCCCTGTGAGATTTCCCCGTCATGGGGTCCCCGTGACTGTGGGTCAGGGCAGAGTCTCCGTGAGGTTTCATCATGGTGGGGTCCCCGTGACTGTGGGTCGGGGCAGAGTCTCTGTGAGGTTTCGTCATGGTGGGGTCCCCGTGACTGTGGGTCGGGGCAGAGTCTCTGTGAGGTTTCATCATGGTGGGGTCCCCGTGACTGTGGGTCGGGGCAGAGTCTCTGTGAGGTTTCATCATGGTGGGGTCCCCGTGACTGTGGGTCGGGGCAGAGTCTCTGTGAGGTTTCATCATCGTGGGGTCCCCGTGACTGTGGGTTGGGGCAGAGTCTCTGGGAGGTTTCATCATGGTGGGGTCCCCGTGACTGTGGGTCGGGGCAGAGTCCCTGTGAGGTTTCCCCATTGTGGGGTCCCTGCAACTATGGGATGAGGCAGAGTCCCTGTGAGATTTCCCTGTCATGGGGTCCCCGTGACTGTGGGTCGGGGCAGAGTCCCTGTGAGATTTCACCAGGGTGGGGTCCCTGCAACTATGGGATGAGGCAGAGTCCCTGTGAGATTTCCCTGTCATGGGGTCCCCGTGACTGTGGGTCGGGGCAGAGTCTCTGTGAGGTTTCATCATGGTGGGGTCCCCGTGACTGTGGGTCGGGGCAGAGTCCCTGTGAGGTTTCCCCATTGTGGGGTCCCCGTGACTGTGGGTCGGGGCAGAGTCCCTGTGAGATTTCCCCGTCATGGGGTCCCCGTGACTGTGGGTCGGGGCAGAGTCTCCGTGAGGTTTCATCATGGTGGGGTCCCCGTGACTGTGGGTCGGGGCAGAGTCCCTGTGAGATTTCCCCATCATGCGGTCCCCGTGACTGTGGGTCGGGGCAGAGTCTCTGTGAGGTTTCATCATGGTGGGGTCCCCGTGACTGTGGGTCGGGGCAGAGTCTCTGTGAGGTTCCACCATGGTGGGGTCCCCGTGACTGTGGGTCGGGGCAGAGTCTCTGTGAGGTTCCACCAGGCTGGGGTCCCCGTGACTGTGGGTCGGGGCAGAGTCTCTGTGAGGTTCCACCATGGTGGGGTCCCCGTGACTGCAGGATGAATTAGGGTCTCTGGGAGCCATCATTGAGTTCCCCGTGGCTTTGCTGAGGGGTTAGAGCTTTGTCAGCATCATGGTTCCGAGGAGCTCAGGAGTCTGCCTCAGATCTGATCTGGGGTCCGAATCCAGCTTTTTCGCTCCTGAGCTGCCGTTTTTTCCTGGAGCTCGGAGGCCCACCTGGAGGCCCAGTTGCTCAGCAGTCGGGATCTGACTTAGCCTGAGCGCTGCTGTGCTCCCTCGTATACCATCACTGCGCATGCCTGTTCGATCAGCAGAGTTCTGCGGTGCGAGGGCTTCTGTGTTCTTAATGCCGAGGAGCCCATCTGCACGGGACCTGATGCTCATGGGAGCAGAGCCCGTCCACGTGGCCTCTCTGTGTCGTGGTCAGGCCCTGGGGGCGTGGCCGCCTCCTGCCCTTTCCAGGAAAGAACTGACCCCAGAGGTACCAGAAAATCCAGTTAACAAAAATGGTTCCCTCAGGCTGCAGTTTTTTGTTTTGTTCCAGACAGAGCTGGGTCCCTGTCCTCTGAAAAGGTAGGGAGCCCAGTTCTGTGTCTCCCCAGCGGCGGGCAGGAGAGCAGCATCAGGCCGGTGAGCTGCAGGCTGACTTGGGAGGGGTGCCGCGGGGGTCTCTCATCTGATGTGCTCGTCCCAGCCTCCAGGAAGATGCTGAGAATGTCAGCCTCACACCAGACAGTGTAGTTGCTGCTTCCATTTGGGGTATAGTGAACACACACCAAGTAAAAACAGAAATATCCTTAAATATGGCATCTGTATCCCGCACATTACATAAGGTGGCAAAACACAGAGGAGATGTTTAACCATCAGCGTGAAAGTGCAGCCGTGGCCATTACCGTGAAGGTTCTTCATTCTTCAGTCTTTAAAGACAACAGCGCACTGGGCCTGGTAACTGAGAGCTCAGCCCGTCGGCCTGACCTGGAAAGCAGCACATTGATCCCCTGATAAATATCACATAACCACCAGCTGGCAGCAGCCAGCCTCTGCAGTCATGCCTCAAGGAGAGGGAGAGCGGTGGGCACCTCTGTCCACTTGGCGGGTTGAGGTGGGAGCTGGAGGAGCAGGGAGCCTCACCGGTGGGCCTTTCGGGGGCAGGACGTCTTGGTGGGCAGAAAGAAGGGGGCTCGTGACTGACTATGGTCAAAGCCCTGGACATGGCGGTGTCCTGGTAGCCCCAAATCACTGTGTGTTGGGTTTGTGGTTTTGACCTCAGTCTCTTGTCTGTTGTGAGAATCTTGCACCCCCTATGCGCCAGGCTCTGCTGGCTGAGCTGAGTGCACGGAGGAGGGGCTGGGTCTCGGGCCGAGCGGCCGAGCTCCCTGAGGGGCTGATGGGACCGGCTTGGTGGGGCAAGGCTGCGATGCTGCAGACGGTTTCCACACATTCCTCCCTGGTTCTCAGCCACACTGTGGCAGGAAGGCAGTTATTAAGCCCATGTTATAGATGAGGCTTAATAACACGGTGATGGCTGGAGAAAGGGGATGGCTGGGCAGGGGAGCGCCCGAAGGCTCAGACCACATGGCCGTACCCCGAGGACGTAGGCTCCAGGTGTGCTGTGGCCAGAGGGGTGTCCTGGGGAGGGCGGTCATCTCCAAGCCTCCAGGCCTTTGTCTGTCACCTGCACAGGAGGAAGGGCCTGTGTCCCAGGGGACGGCCGGCCTGACAGGTACATCCGCCCCCTGATGGCACCTCCTGGCATGGGGCTAAATGAGATTCTGTGGTGTCCACACTGAATGCTGACTGGTCAGACTCATGCTCAGAAATCAGGGCTGTTGTCAGTGCTTGCTACTTGGAGCCATGAGCTGGGGCGCCTCCTGTTTGTTGAACCTTCCTGTCTCTTTTGTCTTAGAAACTTCATGGAGTCCCTTAGCTACCCACATCCCTTTCTCAAGATTTTTCTAGAATCTGCGGAGTTCCTTAGCTACCCACATCCCTTTTCTTGAGATTTGTCTAGAATCTGCAGCACTCAAAGGCCACCCATCAAGGCCATAAGAGTGTGGTAGGCGGCACGTGTTCATGTGTGCACGCCTCTGTTTATCCGATGTTCTGGAACCTTCCATGGCCTCCTTGCTGCTGCCCCACTTGTCTGTCTGCTTCTCCTGAGATCCAGGAATCTCAGATGGGTCCAGACTCCTGCAGGACAAGACCCACTCAGCCACCTCTGTAGATTGCGCATCTGTGAGTCGCACAGCCTGGTCTGGCTGAAGGTGGCCGGAGCGCAGGCCCAGTCCCCGCTGTGGACACGCGGGCCCCAGGTTGCTCAGAGGCAGCTCCATGGATCCCCACTGTTCACCTGTGTATGGAAACTCAGGTTTTCTGGTCACACTTAGATAATAAAAAGTGGAAGAGGCCTTTCTATCACCAAACGCTCTAAATCAGATCCTGGAAATGCCAGCTTCATTCAGCCATGAGCAGTGCTGCTGACCGTGGAGCTGTTTCCCCCACCAGACTCAGTGTGGGTGTCTGAGTGTGTGGTGTGAGTGTGTGTAATGTGAGCCTGTGGTGTGTGTGGGGTGAGTGTGTGGTGTGTGTGGCGTGTGCGGGGTGTGTGTGGGGTATGTGTGGTGTGTGTGTAATGTGAGCATGTGGCATGTGTGGGGTAAGTGGTGTGTGTGGTATGTGTGGACTATGTGAGGCATGTGTGGGGTGAGTGTGGGGTGTGGTGTGTGGGGGGTGTGTGTGAGCGTGAGTGTATGCGTGCATTCTACCCACGTTTCCTTTCTTCCCAGGTAGGTCTCATCAGTGTCAGACCCAATGCTCCCTTTCTATCTGGAAATAAAACTCTTTGATAACAAAACCCAACCTGTGTGAATTTGGGAGGACGCCCATGTGCCCTGATCAGAAGGACCCACAGAAGGGAAGCTGCGGGCCTGTAAGAGCCACCTGTCCCCTGGCTGTCCCGGCATCCTAGGGCGCAGCAGCCGCGGCAGCTCCCCTGGATTTCTGTGAGCACGGGGCTGCAGGCGTGCTGTGGGGACCCCGTGCCTCCAGGGTGTTGCCATTGAGCATGTCCTTCCAGAGAGAGTGAACAATTCTTGACACATTTCTAAGGGAAATCTTCTTCCTAAGGGCATCTACGGGATGCCTTCTTGAGAAGTGCAGAGTGTGTTAAAAATGTGGGGGTCAATCATGGCCTCTGCAGATAAAACCAGGGTCCCTGCAAGCCTTGCAGGTGCAGCTTGGCAGAGGGGACCGTCCCAGAGGAAGTCTCTGCATCCCTGGCGAGCAAAATTGCCAGGCTAGTGACAAGGAGGAGACCTGCCCACTGCGCCCTGAGGGTGCTGTGTCCCCGGGAAGTACCCTCTGCGGGGGACCCTCTTCCCAAGGTGGGGGCGGGGCTGCCCTCTGCTGGAGACGCGGAGCATTGCGGCTCGGTCCCGGGACATCCCTGGGAGACCAAGAGAGGGAGGGGAGCTTGGACCTTTTCTTCCAGGAGATGGTGGACGAGACCCTGGCACAGGCGGTTCCCCAGCACGCAGTTTCCAGACAGCTGCACAGCCAGCACATTCTTTAAGTGGGAAAAAAGTGAAATTGACCAGGCCTGTTCTTTCACATGTCAATGCAAATTAAATGGACAAATCTCTCGTGAAGGCTGCTTTTAAGGGGTTTCAACTGTTACATTCTAAACCAAGCATCACTTTTATCAATTTAGAAAGAATGTTGTATTCTAATTTTAACTTTCCTTCTGTTTTCATATGCAAATGCCAGGTGTCCCAATTTAAGCACTACATCTGACTATACTCATCATTTTTGGAATATTAGACTGAAATAGGTTTGCCCCAAATGGTTTGGGGCACCTGTTAATATAAACCAAGTTTTTGGTCCTTGGAAAGACGACTCATCAGGGCGAAGGGGGTGAGCTCGTGCTTTGCTGACTCAGGTGTCTGCCGACGCCCGGTGTGGACTCTCAGGTGTCCGCTGACGCAGGTGTGGACCCTCGGGTGTCCACTGATGCAGGTGTGGGCCCTCGGGTGTCCGCCGACGCCCGGTGTGGACCCTCAGGTGTCTGCCGACGCCCGGTGTGGACTCTCAGGTGTCCGCTGACGCAGGTGTGGGCCCTCGGGTGTCCGCCGACGCAGATGTGGGCCCTCGGGTGTCCGCCGACGCCCGGTGTGGACTCTCAGGTGTCCGCTGACGCAGGTGTGGGCCCTCGGGTGTCCGCCGACGCCCGGTGTGGACTCTCAGGTGTCCGCTGATGCAGGTGTGGGCCCTCGGGTGTCCACCGACGCAGATGTGGGCCCTCGGGTGTCCGCCGACGCAGGTGTGGACTCTCAGGTGTCCGCTGATGCAGGTGTGGGCCCTCGGGTGTCTGCCGACACAGGTGTGGGCCCTCGTTCGTCAGAGGGCAGGTTCGGATCTCTGAAAACCCTATAGCCCTTCCTACTCCTAATGGAGCTCCATTTAACCAACATCGGCCAGGCCTTGATAGGAGCCAAGGTCTCAGAGAGGCGATAGAGACCAGCGACAAGCAGATTCCAGACCCTGTATGGCCCCCTTAGAACCACATGGCCGGGGAGGAGATGCACAGGTAGACGGTCAGACCTGTGTGTCCAGGCACTGCTTGCTGAGAAGTCTCAGTGGTCAGCACACACTGGGAACACAACAGCAAATAAACAGAGAAAATTGTGGCGCTGAGACAATATGTCAGCTATGGAGGGCGTACAGGGCAGCAGGGCTGTGGGAAAACAATGTGAGAAAGAAAGAGAGACAGAGAGACAGAGACAGACAGATACAGACAGAGAGACAGAGACAGACAGATACAGACAGAGACAGAGACAGAGAGAGACAGAGACAGAGAGTGACAGAGAGACAGACAGAGACAGAGAGAGACAGAGAGAAGAGACAGAGAGTGACAGACAGAGACAGAGAGACAGAGACAGACAGAGACAGAGACAGAGAGAGACAGAGAGAAGAGACAGAGAGTGACAGAGATAGAGACAGACAGACAGAGACACGGAGACACAGAGATAAAGAGAGCACGAGGGAGGCAGAGGGCAGGGGTGGCAGCATCACTGCAGACAAGGAACTTAATGTAAACTGGGAAGCATTCGTCACAGAGATCCCAGGAGGGCGCCAGCGGCATCTTTGGGGGCAGCGAACGCACCAGGGGGCAGGACAGAGTGCCGGGGAGTCGGGGGCTGTAGGGACAGAGTCTGGGAGGTGAGACAGGGTCTGTGGAGCCTTTTCTGAGGAGCTGTGTTTTCTGTGAAGTGGGTGCCAAAGAGTTCATGAGCTGCCAGAATGCAGGGTGGAGGGAGAATGCGGGGTGGAGGGAGGAGCTGGGAGATGGGGAGGAGGGCGGCGGCCCTCAGAGAAGGGACGAGGTGGGAAGCCTGGAGCTTGCTGGAGGAGCAGTGTGGAAGGAATTCACTGAAGCTGATGATGACGCTTACTTTCCATGGGCCTGGCTCAAAGCTCCCAGCTCCTTGGGAGGTAGGGACTCCATCTACCAGCCAGCTTGCCGGGACAGGGGTCACATTCAGCCCATAAGAGGCATGTACACATACAGATGCACACACGCACCTACACAGGCTTGCACATGCCACACACACACACACACACACACAGATGCACGCAGACACGCAGGCACTCATGCACTTACATACACAGATGTGCATGTGTATAACCACACACGTGCGCACACACACACATGCAAGTGCATGCATACCCCCCCACAGACCTGCACATGTACACACCACATGCATGCACAGTTTGTGTGGTGTATGGGGAGGGTGCATGTGGGACGCAACAGAAACACGAATGTAATCATTAGGCTTCCAGTCAAGAGGAGAGTCCTCCTATCTCACTGATTCTAAGATAAGCACCTGGAGCCAACTCGGTTTGTCGTCCCCCTGCGGTGACCTGAGCACCCTGTCCTGCTGTCTGAGCTGGAGGGCAGCTGGACCCCAGCCCTTGGAAGAGCCCCACTTCTCGCTGTGGGTTTGATTTCCTATTGAACTTTGAATTGGCTTTTGAATATAAGGACAGGAAGTGTCTGTGAGCGTGTGTGAGCGTGCTAAACAATTTAATACGTGTGCATTAAAAAGTGAAGCTTCCACTTCACCTCCTGCTTCCCTCCCCCACAGCTAACTGTGGAGCTGCACTGGGGTGACACCCAGGCTGTTCATCCACGTGTGGTGGGACAGCACAGGACATGCCGCCTCGCAGCTTGCTGCTTCTGTTCAGCGGTGTGTCGTGGCGCCCTTCTACCTTGGCGCCATTTGCTGCTGCCTTTCATTTTATATATTTTTTTTTCATGTTTTGAGACAGGGTCTTGCTCTGTCACCCAGACTGGAGTGCAGTGGCAGGATCTCAGCTCACTGCCACCTCAACCTCCTGGGCCCAAGGTGATCCTCCTGCCTCAGTCTCCTGAGTAGCTGGGACTGCAGGCATGAGCCACCACACCCGGCTAATTTGGGTATTTTCTGTAGAAATGGAGTCTCACCATGTTACCCAGGCTGATCTAGAATTCTTGGGTTCGAGTGATCCACCCACCTTGGCCTCCAAAGTGCTGGGATTACAGATGTGAGCCATCGTGCCCGCCTGTGCCTTCCTTTTAAAGGCTTCCTGGCCCCTGTGATGTAAGCGGACCTGGTGTGCTCACTTGGGCTGGCCCCCGTGACGTGAGTGGACCCCGTGATGTGAGTGGACCCTGTGATGTGAGTGGCCCCCGTGATGTGAGTGGCCCCCGTGACATTAGTGGACCCCGTGGCGTGAGTGGCCCCCATGACGTGAGTGGCCCCTGTGACATTAGTGGACCCCGTGGCATGAGTGGCTGCCATGACGTGAGTGGCCCCCGTGATGTGAGTGGCCCCCGTGACATTAGTGGACCCCGTGGCGTGAGTGGCCCCCATGACGTGAGTGGACCCCGTGACGTGAGTGGCCCCCGTGACATGAGTGGCCCCCGTGACGTGAGTGGCCCCCGTGACATTAGTGGACCCCGTGGCGTGAGTGGCCCCTGTGACATTAGTGGACCCCGTGGCGTGAGTGGCCCCTGTGGCGTGAGTGGCCCCCGTGACATTAGTGGACCCCGTGGCGTGAGTGGCCCCCGTGACGTGAGTGGCCCCCGTGATGTGAGTGGACCCCGTGGCGTGAGTGGCCCCCATGATGTGAGTGGCCCCCGTGATGTGAGTGGCCCCCGTGGCGTGAGTGACCCCGTGTGCTCACTTGGGCCTGTTCGCGGGCATTTCGTGGTCCCCACTGTTTCCCTGTTGGGGTCACTGCTGTAAAGGGTCGCCCCGCCATGGTGTTCTGTCTGTGAGATTGTGCCCTGTTTCTGGCAGTTCTCAAATGCTCCAGCTGGGTGATTTCCCCCCCCCACCCCAACGGAGTTGGCAGTTTCAGGGCTACCCTTGTCTGCCATCTCTGGCTGGCCTGAGGCTGTGCTGGCCCCGGTCGCCCTCCATGGTCTGAAGCCCTGAGTGGAAGCTCTGCCACCCACAGCCAGCCTCGTTAGGAGGAACCAGGAGACATCACGCGGCCCAGGTGTCTGTGCGCTGTGCTGGGTGGGAAGCCACCTCTCAGGTGTGTTTCCCGTCTCCACATCAGCATTTTGTTCATGGAGTCTGCTGCTTCTGAGCACTGGGGACAAGTCGCGGAGGCCCTGCCATTCCTTCCTCCGGGTTCTGCACGCACCGCGGTGACCACCTCCCCCCGAGGTCCTCTCCCCGCACCTTCCCAAAACGTGTTCCCCAGGTCCTTTTCTGTTACTGCTGTTGAATTCAACAGCTACTGACCACCTGTGGCCATTTAAATGTAAAATGAAAGCAAAATAAAATTAAAAATCCAGCCCATGGCAGGCAGGGCTGCCTCTTTTTTTTTTTTTTTTTTTGGAGATGCGTCTGGCTCTGTCGCCCAGGCTGGAGTGCGGTGGCACGATCTTGGCTCACTGCAGCCTCAACCTTCCCAGCTCAGGTGATCCTCCCACCTCAGCCTCCCGAGTAGCTGGGATGACAGGCGCATGCCACCACGCCCGGCTAATTTTTGTATTTTTTGTAGAGATGGGGTTTCACCATGTTGCCCAGGTTGGTCTTGAACTCCTGGGCTCAAATGATCCACCTGCCTCAGCTTCCCAAAGTGCTGGGATTACTGGCGTGAGCCACCATGCCCGGCCAGGCAGCCTCATTTTCATTCACACATGACCAATGGCTGCTTATTGGGCTGCACGATGGTTATGCTGGCTCCGTCCTGGAGGAGTGAGTGCCCTCACCCTCACCCTCACCCTCGCCCTGGTCTCACCCTCGCCCTCACCTTCTCCCTCGCCCTGGTCTCACCCTCGCCCTCACCCTGGTCTCACCCTCGCCCTGGTCTCACCCACGCCCTCGCCCTTGCCCTGGTCTCACCCTCACCCTGGTCTCACCCTCACCCTGGTCTCACCCGCGCCCTTGCCCTTGCCCTGGTCTCACCGGCATGAGCAGAAAGACAAGGCCCGGGGTTGCAGTGTCTGTGCTCAGGGTCCAGACACAGCTCAGAACCGACCTTCCTTGGGGAGTGACAGTCCCCGGAGGTTAGGGGCTGCTGTGGCCAAAGAGCCACAGATCGGAGGTGAGGAAGGTCTGCCCGAGGTGAGGAAGGTCTGCCCGAGGTGAGGAAGGTCTGCCCGAGGCAAGGCAGGCCCGCAGTCCCGGGCGGTGGCATCAGGGTGAGCGCCCTGATAGCAAGGGACCTATGGCGCCCACACCGGAGGGCGGGAAAAGGAGGAAGAGCATGGCCCCCGTGAAGCCCCTCGGGAGGAAGGGTTCCTGTCCACGTTCAGCACCCCCGTGCAGACCTCACCATTCCCGACGGGAACACTTGTGATATTCACTTCCAACCACACGAGGGTGCAGCTGGGCAACCGCAGCTTTTGGAAAAATGTTGAAACTGGGGCGGCTTCTCTGGGTGACTCTGACGCTCTCATTGCTTCACGTTTAATTTTTGTGTCCTGCTGTAACTACCATGTAGTGCACTTATGAATCGTGCATATTTTACTCTAAGGCCTGTCTGTAAACCCTAATAAATGACCCTACTCAGGTAAGACGTCCTGACAGTGAGGTTTTTAATATTTACAAGCCACAGAATTATTTCCTGCAGCCACAGAGACTTCCTTGGCGGGAAACCAGGTCCTCTGACCTCACCCGGCTCTGCAGTCTGTTTTGCCGTTTTCCGCCTCAAACCCCCTCTGCGATGTGCAGCTCTGGGTGTCTGATCCCTCAGGGGTCCTGTCTCCCCTCCTCTGGCCCCCTCCCTGGCTCCTTCGCCTGCTGCCTTTTTCTTCCATGAGGATGCGGTTCCCGTGTCCCCCAGGACAGCTTCGTGGCCGGCCGCCTCCATGGATTCGGGTGGGCACAGGTCCTGCAGGGAGCTCCTGTGTTATCTGCCCTCCCCGCGAAGCTCCTTGGAGGATGGAGATTTTAAGGTCTTACTGTGGTGTGAGCGATCAGAGACCCCAGTGTTTACCAGGTAGGCTCTGGGCTCAGACCCCAGCGCCCCACTTGTTAGCTGTTTGACCCTGGATATGTCATTCACTTCTGCGTTCCTCAGTTTCTGCACGTTTAAAATGGCAGAGGCCCCTTTGGTAGTGAGTCTGTGTGACAGGCGATGGGGCCTTCCTCTCTGGTACAGCAGGGGCCTAAGGGATGTTTGACCTCAGCAGGTAGAGTATCATCTCCGTGGTACAGCAGGGGCCTGAGGGATGTTTGGCCTCAGCAGGTGGAGGATGGCTGCAGGTCAGGATTTTGCATCACAAACAACACTGCTGCAGTCACATTAGTGGATTTTGTTATTATAGACAACACTCGTGTCTATAATTCCAAGGACCCATTCTCCATGCCCAGAGGCACCTCAGTCCCACAGACCGCAGCCTGATTCTGAGTTCGCAGTTGGCCAGTGTTGCAGAAGCTCACAGAGGAGTCTTTGGAAATGAGAATGACGCCACCATTCTCTTTTAATTGTGTCATAGGTCTTCCTTCCTTTTATACATAAGTTAACTGAGGCTGGTTTGCTTTCCACAGCCAGAGTTCTAAGACAATTTTAAGTAACACTTTTCTTTCGCTATTTCTTTATGAATGTGTTGGGTTTTAGGGATCACAGATGTGCTTGGGCAACCAAGGCTGCCTGTGTCTCTGTGCTCTGGGGGGCTTTTCCTACGAGCTTTGCGTGAGATGCCAGCTGCCCACAGGCAACTGGGCACAGAGAGCAGGAGAATAAAGCAGGCCAGGGCATCAGGTGGGGCTGATTCCATGGAGGGCAACGGCAGTGGTGGGGGCAAGTGCGGGGTGGGTGAGTGGCAGCAGCCACCCACAGAAGGACGCGCTGTCCCGGCCCCGCATCCCCAGGAGTGCGTGTGTCGCAGGCGACCCTGTCCTCTCACCCAGGAGCCCTCTGAGCTCGCGCCTTTCTTCAGGTGTCTGCGATATCATGCTCCCCTTGTGTTCCTCCTGCCTCCTGGCTGCTGCCAGTGGGTGGCCCCCCAACTCCTCCACCAGACCCTGACTCTCAGAGGACTCCAAGCCTCTATTTGTGTTATTCCTATCCAGTCCATGGGGTTCAGATACCAAGTGGAACTTTTAACAACCATGAATTCCTAGGCCTCACTCTCAAATCATCACATCAGAATATCCAGGAGTGGCCCGAGAAGACCTGCGTTGTAGCAAGCTCCCGGATGTTTCTCTTGCATCCATCTGGCACTGGTCTGCACACTGGTGTTTGGAACCCCCAGACTTGAACTTAGTGCCGTGCGGTCCAGCGGCCCTCCTGTCCATCTCAGTGCAGAGAGGGGCTGGGGGAGGTGCAAGCGTGTCATCCTAGAAGAATTCCTCTCGACTAACAGCCTGCCGTGTTCTTGGCATCTGTGCACAGTGGAGCCCCACAAGCTGGCTGAACCCTTGGCTTGCGTCCTAAGCTCTGTGTGCTGTTAGGATGATGATAACGACCACGATAGAAAGCACCTTGCTGAGCCCCTAGGAGTAGAAGGTGGAGGGCAGGCCAGGGCAGAGTTGAGCTAGACAGAGTGAAGAACACAAGTTCTGGGGAAGCAGGGAATTGTAACCAAAGATGAAACCACCCCTGCCCAGCGGCACCATTTGTAGGGACCTTGGAGAGTTGGTTGAACATCTGCAGAGCATGGGGTCGGAGACTCAGGTCAGACTAAACTGGTTCAGAGCCAGGATACCCCTTTCGACCTGGGTTACATTTGTCATCATTCATGTAAATGTTTCTGTTAGATGGAAACAGGTTCAAAACCCACTACCTACTTCCATTCTGGCTCTAATAGAGTATCTTGTAGCCAACTGATATTTCCACAAAGAGCAACTGTAAAACCTGGGTAAAATTTTGTTTAAAAATATGTTTGAGGGATTGAGAGGCTGCAGAGGCAGCCAGGACTTGGGGAGCCAGGTTCTGGAATTTTACAGAGGTGAGCCCCACTTTCTGCATTTCATGGTGAGGTATTGAACGCTTTGCCGCTGAGGTCAGGAACACTGTTCTCATTTCTATTCAGGATTGTGCTTGGAGGTACCAGGCAGACAACAAGACAAGAAAAGAAAAGTCTTAAGGATTGAAACAGTAAGAAACACAGGTATCATTCATTATTTGTAGACAATGTGGTTGTGTATGAAGAAAATCCAAATTAAGTAACAGTCAGACTCTTAAGCTGAGTAAGTAATTTAGCAAGATCAATGGGCAGGGGTCAATATACTAAACTTAATTGTATTTTAGTATTTTTATATATATCAATGATGTACAATTGGAAAATGAAATTTATAGATATCACTTATAATCACATCAAAATTGAGTACATAGGAATAAAATCATATCTAATAAAAGACGTGCAAGACTTCTAAGCAGAAAACTGCAAAATGTTATTGAAAGAAATTAAAGGGGCCAGGCACAGTGGCTCATGCCTATAATCCCAGCACTTTGGGAGGCCGAGGTGGGTGGATCACGAGGTCAGGAGATCGAGATCATCCTGGCTAACATGGTGAAACCCTGTCTCTACTAAAAATACAAAAAATTAGCAGGGTGTGGTGGTGGGCACCTGTAGTCCCAGCTACTCGGGAGGCTGAGGCAGGAGAATGGCCTGAACCCGGAAGGCGGAGCTTGCAGTGAGCTGATATCGCGCCACTGCACTCCAGCCTGGGTGACAGAGCGAGCCTCCATCTCAAAAAAAAAAAAAAAAAGAAAGAAATTAAAGTAGCATGAATAAATGGAAGAATATTTTAGTTCACAGATTAGAAGACAATTAGTATTATAACAATGTTAATTCTCTCTAAATAAACATATAGATCGAATGCAGTTCCCAAATAAAATTCCAGCAGGTTTTTCTTTATTTAGGTGTGAACATTGGCAGGCTGCCTTTACATTTTATATGAAAATGCAAGGGGTGAGGAATAGTCACCCAACTTTGAAGAAAAAAGTTGAAAGCTGATACTGCCAAATATTAAGACATTATTAAAGTGACAGTGATTAACACAGATGGTGTAAACAGAAGAGCAGCAGCACAGAATATTGAATCCAGACAGACCACACATCTGCAGTCTCTTGATTTATTTATTGATTTATTTATTTATTTTTGAGGCGGAGTCTCGCTGTGTCACCCAGGCTGGAGTGCAATGGTGCTATCTCGGCTCACTGCAAGCGCCGCCTCCCGGGTTCACGCCATTCTCCTGCCTTAGCCTCCCGCATAGCTGGGACTACAGGCGCCCGCCACCACGCCCTGCTGATTTTTTTTGTATTTTTAGTAGAGACGGGGTTTCACCGTGTTAGCCTGGATGGTCTCGATCTCCTGACCTCATGATCCGCCCTCCTCAGCCTCCCAAAGTGCTAGGATTATAGGCGTGAGCCACCGCGCCCGGCCATTGCAGTCTCTTGATTTATTTCTTAAGTGATACTGTAGCACAGAGGGGGATGGACGTCCTCAGTAAGAGGAGTGGATGTGATTGGCTGTCTGTGTGGGAAATTATGAATGCTGATACCTGCCTCACACCATATACAAAAGTTAATTCCAAATAGATCACAGGTGTAAATGTGAACTCTAAAGTAATATAGTCTCTATTCTCGACAAACATAGGAAAATGCCTATTTCAGAGTAAGAAAAGATTTCTTACGCAAGGTTTAAAAAGCAGTTATCAAAAAAGCAATTATCAGAAAGGAAAAGGTCAGTAAATTGGGCTACATTAAAGTTAAGTTACTCTTTTCATCAAAATGAACCATGAAGAGATCGACACGGAAAGCCACAGTGTGGAAGCAGATGTTTGCAATATGCACATCCAATAAGAAACTTGTTTCTAGCCTATACAGAGAACTACACACCAACAAGTTAAAGGAGAATCTAGTAGAAAAACAACCAAAAGATGTGAACAGGCATATCATAAAAGAGGATAGCCACTAGACACAGAAGGCTTCCTGCCTCTGGGAAATGCCAATTAAAGCCATATCAGGACGCCACTCTGTATCCACAAGAGTGGCTAAAATTCTACTGACAGACAGTATCCAGTGCTGACAAAACCATGGAGCAACCAGAAGTCACGTGCATTTCTGGCAGGTGTACATTTGTCCACATCTACATAATTACAGCAATTCCTAAGAATATGTCCAACAGGAGTGTGTATTGTGTGCACTAGAAGACATGTATAAGAAGCTCATTGTCTTATGTTCAGTTTAGCCCCAAACTGGAAACAACCCAAATGTCCATTAAGAGTAGAATTTATTAATAAATCATATTTCATCATATATGTATACCATAACCCAGCAACAAGAATGAACAGACACCCTACTGCAACAACATGGGTGAATCCCACAATGTTGAAAGAAGCCAGACAGCAAAAAAGCACATATTGTATATTTTTATTTGGACAAAATTCAACGGCAGGCAAAACTAATGTATGGTGACAAGAGTCGGGATGGGGCACCCTGGACGGTGGGAACGGCCTCTCAGTCTGGGCACTCGCTGCCGTCACTCACACTCTGTGCTTCTGCATGATGTGCATTATAATTGGACAAAGTATTCACATAAAGAATGGTGTCCTCCAAGGAAAAGAACTTAGGTGCCACCTACTCTATCCCAGATGGGCCAAGGTAACCGAGTCGCACTGTGCAGGGAGGGCCTTCCTGTGTGTGTGTGTGTGTGTGTGTGTTTCTTTTCCTGAGGACACAGCCACCCTGCTGTGCAGGGACCCTTCTCCCAGACTCCTCTTCTCATCTTGGGTGCAGGTTGACGTTTGAGAAGCAAAGACACCAAGGGTCCCCTTCCTCCCACCCAGGCCTCACGTCCCCTCAGCGCCTCCTGGCCACGCACTGTTGATTCCTAAGGTCTGCTGCCCTCTGCAAGCACTGCTCCTCCCGTGTCCTGGCCTCCACCTGCCCCTGCCCTGGGACAAAGCATCCTCCTCGCCCCCACCATGTCCACGCAGCAGAGGCAGATGTCCAGGCACTGGGGGAACGTGGTGCTGGGGCCTCCCCGCCCCACTGGTAGAGAGGAGCCAGCCTCTGCTTGCAGACCATCCCTCACGCTCTGCTCCTGTCCAGTGAGCTGTGGTTGCACCCGCAGGCCAGTGGGCTGTCTGCCCACATGGGTGGGGGACCATGGGGCTCCCAAGGTCACGAGCCCTGAGTGGTTTGGGTCTCTGTCACAGAAGACGCAGCCAGTTGGAACATTCCTGAAACTTTATGAGACCGCTGGGCCTTTTTTACTTATTTGGGCCAAAAGTGAGCTCATTGGCCTCAAACTCAGCTGCTGGGAAACTGGCCAGGGCAGCCCCTCCAAGGCCAACTGTTGCGGAGTTGGCAGCTGATGGGGCATCTATGGGCTGTGTTTGTGCCCTGGGTGCGAGGGACATTTCTGGGGTGGCTGCCAGCTTGAGTTATTCTACCCCAACTCCTCCGGCACCATCACCTTCATCCCTCTGGTGACTCTGGGGACTGCTTCCTGCTGAAACTGGGCAGAAGCCACACCACCCTCTCCCTCAGACACAGGCCACAGATGTGGGCATAGATCCGAGCTCCGTGAGCCCTGGGTCCTCACTCCTGTGAGCAGATCCAGGTCCTGCCTCACGGTTTTGGGCAGTGCAGCCTCGGGAATGCCATGGGCCGTGGGGGGGCGGGGAATCACGTGGCCCTGCCCTCATGACCACAGTCAGTATGGGGGATCATGTGGCCCTGCCCCCGTGACCACAGTCAGTATGGGGGATCACGTGGCCCTGCCCCCATGACCACAGTCAGTATGGGGGATCACGTGGCCCTGCCCCCATGACCACAGTCAGTATGGGGGATCATGTGGCCCTGCCCCCATGACCACAGTCAGTATGGGTAGAGGAGGTGCTAGGGGCTCTTTACATCCTCACGTCAGAGGCTTTTTTAGTCCAGGCTTTGCACCTTCTGAGTCAGTGTTCCCGAAATGTGGTAGGAGAGGAGACATGGGGCTGAGGGGGTGTGGACGAGTGTCCACCTGGGCCCTGCATAGGGGGCAAGGTCGTGGTGGGGGCTGCGCAGGGCAGGAGGCTGAGTGCTGGTGTGTGGGCATCTGGGGTCAGGTCCCTGCTTGGTGGGAACATTAGGAGGCCGCCAGGGTGGACGTGGCCTTAGGGGCAGCACACGTGGTGTCTGAGCCAGGTTCCCCTGTCCGTGCTCACAGCTATGTGACTTTGGGCAAGTGACTAAAGCTCTCTGTGCCTGGAGAGGATCATAGCACCAGCCTCACGGGATGGTCGCTGGAGCTTGATGAATAGCTGTAGGGCTGTTGGCACAGTGCCTGGTCCATAGCACAGCTGAGGATAGTCTCTAACCCTGAAGAAGCATGCCTCCTGCCTGCACCCCGTTCCCACACATGCCCTGTGCCCGCACCCCGTTCCCACGCGCACCCTGGGCCCGCACCCCATTCCCACGCGTGCCCCATGCCCGCACCCACGATGGTGAGCATGGCTGGGGCAGGAGGAACCAGCGCTGCCTTCCTGCCCAGGACCCACACCTTCTGCAGCTGAGCGACAGTGACTGCCCCATTAACACCACCTGGAAACCAGTCCGTCCTTCTCGTTGAGAAACTGATTTCCTAGTATGCATTTTTTGAATCGAATAAATTTATGACACCTTAGATTTCACTTGCAATTTTGACTTCTAAAAAATGTTTTAGTCGTTGGTAACTGGTTTCTCATTGAAAACGGATGCCTATTTGTGATACTGGTGTTCCCATTACAATGTAACACAAAGATTTAAACGTAGAGTGAGTGGAAGCCCCACACAGGCAGGCCGGGCGGCATCCAGTGGCATCGGGCGCCTTTTTCGTGGCTGCAGCGTCAGCCTGCACTGCCGGGTGTGAGGCAGACGCGCACTTAACGGCGTGAGAAGCCAGATGTGGGAGGCACCGGGCACTGTGGGCAGTGAGGCAGGAGCTTGGCCGCGTGTGGGGCAGAAGCTCCATGGCTAGAATGGGATGTGTTTGGGTCACGGGTCTGGGGGAGGGTGCGTTCTGGCTATAACTGGATGTGTTTGGGCCACAGAGGTCTGGGGGGTGCATTCTGCATCCAGCAGCTCTCACATGGCAGTCGTGGTCCCCGTTGCTGGTCTGGGCTGTTGTGGAGTAGCGGGGGCATTTGTGGGCGAACCCAGAGGCTGAAATTCCACCCCAATCAGAGCTCTATTCCAGGGAAAAGGGGAGAAATTGAGTCAGGCTTTGTTGTTCTGCAAAACAGTGACGCCGCTCAGGCAGCGCTGCGGGTTACAGCATACTCAGTGGCTTCATTTCACTCTCACGGTAACCGCTGGGGGTGGATTCTACGATTGTCCTCATTTTTACAGAAAAGGAAGCAGAGATGGTTCACAGCCAAGTCACCTGTCCAGGGTGATGCCTTTGCGGGGCCCACCAGAGCCCGCCAGTGTCGCAGAGGCGGTGAGCCCCTCCCGCCCAACACACAGCCCCTTGGCAGGGGCTCTTGAGCAAACCTGCAGGTGGGCAGCTTGGGGCGTTTCTCAGCTAGCATCACCCCTGCTTCAGGACTTGAAAGCATTTGACTGGGTTCGCTGGCCTGAGGATTACGTGCTCGGTGGAAATTAGTCATTCTGGGCTCTTCTCTCCTTCACTCTAGGAGGACTGGGACCCAGAGAGCTCCGGGATCAGCTCCCTGGCTTGGAGTCCAAAGGCAGCTCTGACCACGCCGCCTGGGGCAAGAGGGAGGGCAGCTGGGTTCCATCTCCGTGGCCTGGCACATCCAAGGTCCCTTTGTGGAAAAGGCACGTGTAGCACCTGTTACTGGAGGATAACCTGTAACTTTGTGCCTCTCCCAAGGGAGCACACAGGTCTACACGGGAAGTAAGATTCCCTGTACCCACTGTGTCTCACAGTTCAGAAAAAGTCGTCAAAGTGCTCAGACTCAAGAAGTAAATAAGGAAATATGAAAACATGACTTTATTTCTTTCTTTTTTTGAGACAGTCTCGCTCTGTTGCCCAGGCTGGAGTGCAGTGGCACCATCACAGCTCACTGCAACCTCAAACTCCTGGGCCAAGCAATCTTCCCACCTCAGACTCCCCAGTAGCTGGGACCACAGGCATGCGCCACCACACTCAGCTAATCTTTGTATTTTTCATAGAGACAGGGTCTCATCATGTTACCCAGGCTGATCTCGAACTCCTGGGCTCCAGTAATCCACCCACCTTAGCCTCCCAAAGTGCTGGGATTGCAGGCGTGAACCACCACGCCCAGCTGAAAATATAACTTTAAAAAAAATCTTAGCTCCGTAAGAACTAAGCCAGATCAGAAAACGAATTCTGTCTGTGGCCCCCACAGCTGTGAAATGGAGTCGCTGACTCGCCATGCTCGTGCACGTGCTTAGTGCCCACTGCAGAAGGCTGCTTTGAATGAAAGCTAGTGTTTATTCGTGTACTCACCCAGAAGGTTTCTGCTGTTATTGAATCAAATTACCCTACATGTGAGGCATTTTTCACGGCCAGATGCAGACAGGGACACAGACGCAGCAGCACCCACCACACATGAACGTTCGGGGGTCACTGCCTCGTCTTCATGTCTTGGGAGTTGCTGTTTCTGTCTTTAAATCCGAGCGTCAGAAGGATCTGAGACACCCGATATAAATCCCTGGCTTGTTAATGATGCTCACAGAGAGCGGCCACGCCCATAGACTGCATAATTTATCTCCATCCTGCAGAATTCTGATTTTCATGTAAACCTAGGACATGTTCAGAGACTTGGAAGTTAGCGATTCTAGCCCCTGCCTTAGGCATGCCCGTGTGGTTGTTTCTGCTTTGGATTGGCTGGTGGTAGCAGCTGCTGGCATCACGCAATTGGCTTGGCTGCAGAGTGAGCCCACGGAAGAGGGCTCTCCGCACCGACTCTGTGACTCAGGCTTCTACTACCAGGCTCATCCGAGGACGGAGGCTGTCGTTATACAACGCGCAAGTGTGGTCTCTGTCACAGATGTGGCTGTCGCAGAGAGTGCTGCCTCCTCTCCCGTTTCCAGCAGATGCTTGGGAACCTTCAGAAGTCTTGGGGATTTTCTCCCAGCACCGTAGCCATGCCACCACGAGTGAATCCTTAACGTGGACCAGCACGGGCACCTCAGATGCCAGGACCGGCGTGATGTATGCGCCATAAGACTGTTTTGGAGGGTTTAGTCAGCTGGTCACCCAGGAAAGGAAAATGACTCGGCTCTTACTGTGGAATAGCAAATGACTGAGCTCGGGAGAGATGGTTCTGCCTCAATCTGTGACTCGAGGTGGTTGGTGTTAGGCTGAGAAATAAGAACACACCAAAAGTGCCTGCCCTTCCGTAGATGAGAGCAGGTTCTGGGACTGCGGGGATGGGGCTGCCGGGGCCCCCGTGTGCCATGCCTCTCACCTGGTATTGCAGAAATGGCATCATGAATATGGGGGATCGCTCTCCCAAGAGGTTTTCTGAGGGATTTCGTGGGCAGCCGGCTTCCCACCTGCACACATTAACGGCGGCGTCTCTTCCTCACTGCAGCCTGCAGGACGCTGGCATCGGATTCATCCTGGTGATAGACCGGCGACGGGACAAATGGACCTCCGTGAAGGCGTCCGTCCTGCGCATCGCAGTAAGTGCCACCCGGGGCTCTGCCCTGCGCCCGGCCCCTCCCTGGGCTGCATGACCGCATGGTGCCCTTCCTCTGTGTCTGCCGCAGTTCCTGCTTTGTGCTGAGTGGGACAGAGCCCAGTCCCGGCGGGTGGAGGCCGGCGCCAAGGCCCCCCCTGCTTGGGCTCCCAAGGCACTGGTGCCTGGGTGTGAGTTTTCCCAGATGAAGGAACTCTTAGGGAGCCCAATGTGACTTGCAAACAATTTCCCCAGGCAGAGCAGCCCATATGTTTCCGAACACCAAGTCTGAGATGCTCGGGACTGAATATGCCTCTTACATATTTATACATTAGTGATTTTCTCCTTTCCAAATCGGGCCATCTATCTTTAGCTGTGACACTGAACGAGCCACCACCGCCTCCCTTCCCCAGTGGGATTGAACATGCACTTCCTCTTACACAAAGCACAACAGTCCTGACCAGGCAGGACGGGGGCTGTGTGCAGAGACGCTCCAGGCTGGAAGTTGGAAGTGGTACTGCACAGCTTTCCTATGTGATTTTCTCCTTTCCAAATCAGGCCATCTAGCTGCGACACTGAACTAGCCACCACCGCCTCCCTTCCCCAGTAACCCAGCCTCGCATGTAGCCACCCTCCTTTCCAAGGACTTTCCCTTGGCATCCGAGAGTCTGTTTGCAGATTCTGCACGCTGCCTTCCATAGCAGAAGGGGAGCTGGGTTTGCTGTTGGTTTTAACCCAGAGTAATCATTTAAGAGGGAAGAGATTAAGTCAGCAGAAGCCCCCAAATCTTATTTTTGTCGGTAGCTCCCACCCGTATGCATGACCCCGGCATGGAGCATTTTTCACCCACGCTCGCTCTCCCCGCCTGTCCGTCCAAATTTCATTGCTGCCAAAGGACCAAAAAAGGCTGCCTGTCTGCCAAGAGGTGACCCAGAGCCTGGGTCCAGGCACCTGCATGTTCTCACGCCCGCCACAGCCCGTCCCTCCCAGGCTCTGGGACCCTGGGTCCTCAGCTGTGATGGCACAATTGCTCCAAGCATTCCCCAGCACCAAACCCCAGTGAAGTCAGATTCTCCCAGTGAAGTCAGATTCTCCTGGCCTTTCCTGGGTCCCGCGTTCAGACTACCTTTGGGTTCCCCAGCCTCTCGGTGGCTGCTGGCTGGTGCGCCAAGGTTTGAGGTATACTGAAAAAAGTCATTCCTTTCCCCGCACATTGCCTCATTCCTTCATCTTTTACAAGAATTAGAGGCCCCATATCTGCTCCGATGCCCACAACCTTCATCGTTTTGGTGCAAGCCTGTCCCTGAGCCGCTGGTTCTCATCGAAGTCTTTAGGATGAGGCATCTCCTTGCACCCCCACGGCACCTCTCTGCCCCTCGCCGCGGCGGATCCCCGTTCCTGACCCTGACTCAACCTGGCACACACCACCTATGGCATCGTTATCTGAAATAATTCAAAACGCTTCAGGATGCTTCCAAAAAAGTAGACGTGTATAGAATCGGTCTTCCTTTGTTTTAACAGTGCGTTCGTTTGCTTTTGCGTCACTATAAAGACGTACTTGAGCTGGGTAATTGATAAAGAAAGAGGCGTAATTGGCTCACAGTTCTGCAGGCTGCACAGGCTTAGCACCTGCATCTTCTCAGCTTCTGAGGGGGCCTCAGGGAGCTGCCAGTCGTGGTGGAAGGCAGCGGGGAGCCGGCATCACATGGTGAGAGAGGGAGCGAGAGAGAAGGGGGAGGTCCCAGACTTTTGAACAGCCAGATCTCCAGTGAACTTACTGAGCGAGAACTCACCCGTCACCAAGGGGATGGCGCTGAGCCATTCATAAGGGGTCACGCCCAGACTTAATCACCTCCCACCAGGCCCCACCTCAGCACTGGGAATCGCATTTCAACATGAGACTTGGAGGGGACAAAAATCCCATCCATATCAAGCATCCCCAGAAATGCAGAAAGTTCTTTAGATAAAAGCCATCACCAGCTAACAGCCATGTGTGCCTTTCATTATTGTACGTCTTAAATGAGTTTGCACATGAAGTCATAGGCAACTCTAAAAATTAAATCATAAGAACCCACGGGGTCAGACACACATGGACGGACAACAGATACTCTTGGGAAGCACCCATCCGTCCTGGGCGGGTCCCACAATGCTCCCAGCAGGCACGTCGTCGTTTAAACAACAGACAACACCGTTACAGCCGCATCTTTTATGCTTACCTGCCGCTGATATAAACCAGCCATCAGGACGACTCTTAGCAACACGTGGGTGTAGGAGTCGGCCTCCCTGCCAGGGCACTTGCGGTGTCAGGACGCACCTGGGTGCCTTTCATGCCCGTGGGGTCCAGGCACCTGCATCTTCACACACCTGCCACAGCCCGTCCCTCACACGGCTCATGCCTCACTACATGTGCCCCGTCCCCTCTGCTCACGCCTCGCTACGTGTGCCCCGTCCCCTCTGCTCACACCTCGCTACGCGTGCCCTGTCCCCTCTGCTCACGCCTCACTACGCGTGCCCCAGAGCCTCCGCTGATGCCTCGCTACGCGTGCCCCGGCCCCTCCGCTGACGCCTCGCTACGCGTGCCCCAGTGCCCTCGCACACACATCACCACGTGTGTGTCTCAGATTAATCAGTCACTCCCGGGTTAGATGACAAGAGCTTCCCCAGATACGAGGTTACTTTTTAAGAAATACAAAAATCATTTTCTAAAAGCAAAGTATTTCTGCGAGGTCACCCTACAGGATAGCGAAGCAGCCCACAGCAGACCCGTGATTTAGGTGTCGATCTTCAGCTGCCGAGTGTCCTGTTCCGTTCACCGAGTGTGTGATCGGATGAATTTCTTAAGCAGGTTGGCTCATCTTGAAAGCTCTGTCTTGTGAGCATCATAACTGAACAGTTAGTGTTTTAGTTTTTATTTTTGCATTGATTCTTACACCATAAAAATATGGCTTTTTCTGTCCTTCCTTTAATTCTCAGAATTGACCAACATTGGTTTGGAAGTAACAGAAGCCAGCATTTTCCAGCAAAATCACCCAGAATTCTCTCTGAACACCAGTGCTTTCTTGCTATAATAATTTACGGTCTTTTTTTTTTTTTTTTTTTTTGAGACGGAGTCTCATTCTTTCGCCCAGGCCGGACTGCAGTGGCGCGATCTCAGCTCACTGCAAGCTCTGCCTCCCCGGGTTCACGCCATTCTCCTGCCTCAGCCTCCCAAGTAGCTGGGACTACAGGCACCTGCCACCACGCCCGGCTAATTTTTTATATTTTTAGTAGAGACGGGGTTTCACCCACGTTAGCCAGGATGGTCTCAATCTCCTGACCTCGTGATCCGCCTGCCTCGGCCTCCCAAAGTGCTGGGATTACAGGTGTGAGCCACCGCGCCCGGCTTATGGTCATATTAATACACAGACTCTGTGTAGTTAGCACGTCCTGAGGCTTTTCTCTGTCCCAGGCACTGCCTGGGCATCACGGATGTGAGGGAGGAAGTGAGCAAGGCTCACCGCCAGCTGGGTGAGGACAGTTGAGGGGCATCACAATGGGGTCACAGGCAGGGGCAGCAGGGAGCAGCCAGGAGGGTGGCTGAGCCATGGGGAGGGGGCAGAGTTAGGCCCCACATGCCAGGCCCCATCCACCTGGGCTGTGACCCTGGAGAGGGCGTCTTCCTGTCCCCAGGCCCCTGCTACCCAGGAGCCCGCCGCCTCCAGAAGGGTTTGGTGCAGGAGGGGCATGAGAAACCGGCAGGAGATGATGATGGTGGACATTGGATGGGCCAGGAGACATGGAGCTCACAGCCCTGGTTTCATGAAGGAGAAGTGGGCCACAAGGCCAAGGAGGCAGGAGGCGGGCAGTGGTGGCACTGTCATAGGAGCTGGTTGTGCATGTGCTGAGGCTTAGAGGGTCACTGGTCAAGGGAGTGAGGGCAGCTGTGGACCCAGCCAAGCCTAGGTCCTGGGCAGACCAGGAGGGGTGAGGGTCTCTGCAGTGGGGAAGGGGTGGGTGGTGGGGCTGGCGGGGAGGCCCCAGGCTCTGTCCATGAGCCACGCACTCCTTGGAGAGGGCAGACCAGGGATGACCCCTTGGGCATCTTGATTCAGTTTTTTGGAAATGGTGCAGTTGACCTGACGTGGGGACACCAAGTAGTGGCTGCAGCGGGGCACCTGGACGCCAACCCCTGGGCTCCAGGCCTTGACAGCGAGCTTTGGCTGGCCTAGGCTTCCACCTAAAGTGGCTTTGGGAAAACTAGCACTTAGCAACAGTCCAGGCCAGCCGAGCCCTCAAGCAGGTTTCCAAACAGGCACAGGCTCCAGCTGCCCGACCCCACCAGGGTGCCCAGCTCATGGTGCTGCGGGCGCCACAAAGCAAGCCCGTGGCAGAGACTTGCCTCCAAGCGCTCGGCCACCGAGGAGGACGCAGCGCTTACATAATGTGCCGGGATCCGGGGCTATTTTTAGCCACCATATGTGCTGTCTTAAGAGCTGAGCTCTCCCTAATTTGGGGTGTTCTTTTTTCTTTTCTGGATGCCTTCAGCATGGCTTGGAATAGAAAAATTAGACATTGGAAGAGCCAAAATCCAGTGTTCCTAAAACCAGGCTCCCAATCGAGAGCAAGACCCATGTGATGCTGAGGGCGTGTGGGAGAAGGATAGGTTCACAGCTACCCACCCAGGGGGCAGAAAGATGAGATCCTCTGAGAACTCACGTCTCTTCTCCCTTAGGCAGTTGTGCGGTCCTCAGATAGAAGCATCTTTTATAAAATGCTGTTGCAACATCTAACCCTCTTCCACTGTACTGCATGTGTGAGTGTGTGAGTGTGAGTGTGTGACTGTGTGTGTGTGCGAGCGAGTGGGAGTGTAAGTGAATGTGAGACTGTGTGAGTGTGTGAGTGTGTGCGCGAGTGGGAGTGTAAGTGAATGTGTGTGAGACTGTGAGTGTGAGAGTGTGTGTGTGTGAGAGTGAGTGTGTGTGTGCGTGTTCACATTTTGGGAATTTGTAATAGAGTATATATATTCATGTTTAGAGCTAGCCTAAATCAAACTAAATCTAGATCCTCAAGTAGGTGGCTGGAGAAAGTGAATCTGATTTTTAGACTGCATGGGGCCACAACTCTCTTTCCTGTAACGCCGGTGCAGTCTGTGTGTGCAGGAAAGGTAGAAAACAAGGTGTCTGAGGGACCCCGGACTTCTAGGTCGTCCAGCAAATCTTTCACATTTGCAAAGTACGATTGTATGCGGCCCCCCTGTGCCAGCTACTGGGGCTCTGGGGAGGAGCTCACCGTGGGGGCGGTGGGGGCGGTGGGAGCCGTGGGGGCCGGGGCGGTGGAGGGGGGGGTGGCTGGGGGAGCGGGGAGGCGGGAGGAGCAGGGGGGGCGGGGGCGGGGGGGGCGGGGGGAGCGGGGGGGTGCGGGGGGCGGTGGCGGGGGGAGGGGGGCGGCAGGGGGCGGTGGGAGCGGTGCTAACTCCAGGAGGACTTCCCGGCGGAGGTGATGCTTGGTGAGAGCCTGACGGGAGGAGGAGTTGTCCAGATGGAGGGGGGCGAGGAGCTTCCCCTGGGAACACAAAGCAGCTGGCTGCCGAGGGAGAGAGGGCCAGGTCCGTGTGCCCCTCTCGGAAGAGGCGAGACCGTCCCCCAGGGCAGGGAACTGAAATGCGCGCTGCATAACTGCGGCGACACGGGGGTGGGGGACCCAGCTCTTCCCGGTGTGGCTGAGCTTTCTCAGAACACCGCTGCTGTGTGCAGCAAGCACCTGCCCAGGTGAGCACAGTCCCCCCGTGGTGGACAGAAGGGGACCAGGATCTGCAGGCTGTCTCCTCCGCACCAGCTGCTGTGGCAAATGCGTTTCAGCGCACCCTGCGCGTTCACCAACCGCCGATTACAGGGGAGGAGCTGGGCTTCGGGGCGACGAGGGAAGCTGCCGATGGGGTGGGGCGGCTCTGGGGGCGGCCTGGGCCTTTCTGTCTCTGAAGCCCGAGCTCTCTCCCTACTCCGGTGGTCCCAGGGCCACGGCGGTGGGCGGTGCCGGTCATGCAGAATATTGCAGGGGGAGGCAGCCCGTGAGGCTTCCACGACGCTGAGAGCGTCTATTTAAACGACTGTCCTTCATCCGAGGGTTCGCTCCTCCCACCTAAGGGTGGATTTGACAGCCTTGGGGTATCCAGCAGGGGTGGGAGATCCAGAGGCCCCAAGCCCTTCTTCACTGTGTATTTCCTGGAACATGGAATCCAAGGGTCCAATAACGGGCGGCACGAGCCACTTTGCTCTCTCTAAAGACCTCGGAGGCGACACAGTGAATAACAAGGTTGTCTTAGTCCGGGTCTGCTGCTTATATGTCAAGAGTATCTGAAACTGGGCACTTTACAACGAAAAAGAATTCATGCCTTACAGTTGAGGAGCCTCACCTGGTGAGATCCCTCTTGCTGGTGGGTCCTGAGGCGACGCGGGACCTCACCTGGCGAGGGGAGAGTGAGCCAGCCCAGGGCTGCCCCCGCTGCTTACAAAGCCACCAGGCCCCCACCCACCCCCACGACAGCCCGTTAATCCGAGAATCCGTGAATGGATGAATCCATTCATGAGGGTGGGGCCGTCCTGACCCAGTCACCTCTGAAAGGTACTGCCTCTCAATGCTGCCATGAGTTTCGAAGTTTGGTAGGGACGAACATTCCAACCACACCAAATGTATATTTCAGAATTGCTAAAAGAATCCATTTTAAATGTTCTCAGCACAGAAAACTGGTGAGTGGGTGAGGTGACAGATCGGTTAATTGGCTTGATTTAATCATTCCACTGAGGATACCTATAGCAAAACATCACTGGGTGCCCCGTAAGTAGATACAATCATGATTTGTCAGTTAAATGTAGAAACATTTTTTTAAAAAGATAAACAGAGAAAAAGAAAGAGCTCTGAGACCCGGGCTCGCTCAGCGGTTTTTTCTCGCAGAGAAGAGGAAGGAGCCCGGGGGTCCCTGGGACCAGGTGCCTCATGAGGCTCCGTGTGGGCCGTGGACCCTGCAGGCCACGCCGGCTTCCCTGACTGATAAACCCAGAGCCAGGCCTTGCCGGTGAGAGGCCAGGGACTGCTGGCTGAGCTTCTCCAGCGCTGCTCTTCACTCCCCTGGATGCCTGGAGCGAGACTATTTGCCTGGTTTATTTTTTTCAGCTTAGAGCTCGTTGCACGGAGTCAGAACCCCTGCATCCCGGTGGCTCAGGCATTTGAGTGAAGGTCGGATCAGGAGGGAGGGGAGATGCAGCTGCCCCACGCATGGAGGAGAAGAGCTGTGAGCTGCAGCAGCCTCGTGTCTTTTTCCTCTCAACTTTCAGTTCAGAAAAATTTCAGACCTACAGAAAACTTGGGAGAGTCTCACAGTGAACAAACCTCAGCTGTGGCCATAAACAAAGTGCCCATTCGTGTGTGTGTGTGTGCGTGTGTACAAAAACACACAGACATAGACACAGACATGTACACACATCACACAGACACATCACACAGACACAAAACACATCACATAGACACATACACAGACACACACATATATATACACATATACCCACACATACATCACATAAACACACACACATATCACACAGACATGCATACACTCAGAGACATACATCACACAGGCACAGAGACACACATCACACACAAACACACACATATATGCACATATACACACATCACATAAACACAGACACACACACACATTTTGCTGGTGAGAGCCGGCTCTGCCATCGTGTCAGTTCATCCCGGATTGCTGACATGGTGTCTCCTGAGTGGAGCTGCCCTCTGCATAACCACAGGCGAGTCTGCATCGCGGCCACACTGCCCTCTGGATGCCCACACATGGGGCTTTCTCCACGTGCCCCGTCATGTCCTTCCTGTATTTGTTAAAATCCAGGTCCAGTGAAGGACGGCGCCCCCGTCAGCTGTCCACCCTTCTCAGTCGTCTCTAATCCACCCAGTTGTTGGTTTTTGTTTTGCTTTCTGTCTTTTGTGAGATTGAGATTTGCGAAGGGTTGAAGCCAGTTGCTTTATGGAATATCCTTTCATCTGGTTTCCTTGTAATTAGGTTCCACGTGGTCCTTTGGGGCGGGAATCCTGGTGGGTGAGCTTCTGGGGCAGCCCGTGGAGGCCCAGGATGTCCATGTGTCCCGTGATTGGGGCGGTGTTGTGTGCTCAGACGGCCAAGGAGGCGTCCGGATTTCCCCAGGAGAAGGTGCCTCTCCTCTTGGTAATCAGTGGGTCATGTGTGGTGATGCTCAGGACGGGGCGAAGGTCCCGTGGCTGAGGTGTCCACTGACCGTTTCTGCCTGAATGGGTGGTTCGGTGGTGGTTGCCACAGGGCTGTGTTTTCAAGGGGAGCAGCAGGTGCCTGGCGTCTGCATCCACACCTGCCTGGAGCCTCCTTCCATTTGTTACTCTGTCTCCTCCTGTGTCCCTGCAGCTGTGTCTCCAGTGATCTTGCCTGTACTCTCCGCCTCTGCAGAGTGAGGTTTTCACTGATTGCAAAGTAAACATGCACGCCCCTTCAGGGTCCTGGTCCTTAGGGAGCTGGTTAACAAGTTGACCAGAAAAACAACCCGAATACTCCTCAACTCTTGATGGGAGCTCAGTTCACACGGCTCCGAATCGGCGAAACGCAACCAACGCTGGGCAGAACCTTGGCACAACTTTGCTGGTGTCTGCTGAGAAGCCGAGGGGAGGTTCTGGGGCTTGGCTTGAGCTGCGGGGTGAGTGTGGGAGAGACGGCGAGCTCCCTCCCATCAATCAATCAACAGACTGTCCTATTTTCATAGTAGTCCCCACCCAAATGTCATTCGAGTCCAATCTCAGGATCCTGGATGCACGCCTGTTCTCCAGGTCTGCTTCCCGTGAAATTCGTGGAGATTATTGTACATTCGGGAGTGGGAGTGCGATTGGATGTGTGTCTGCAGATTCTCCCTGTATTTTCTCCCAGGCTTTCTAGAGGACCATTTGCTAGAGGACCAGTCCCCAAACGGCCGCGCTTTTAGGATTGGTTTTAGGAGTGATGGCCTCACGCACACGGCAGCGGCCATTCTGAGCACTCGTGTCTGAACATCTGCAGGAACAGGGTCCACGCCCATTGTTTTCCTCACCCGGTCCAGCGTCTCTGATTCCGGCTCTAACGTCTTCTTCATCTGTTAACACAGAGACACAAACAAACTTTCAAATGCATATTTTTTATATAAACTTGTGTTTACTGTTTGGCTACTGTCAGACAAATGTAGTTGGTGAGGTTTCAGTTGCTCTGAAATTAAATATATAATGTCAAGCTGGATAGGTGTGGCTTGGAGCAGACCTTAAGGAAGGTGATTTGAACTTGGGGAGGGTTTTTCAAACAGGGTTCCCCAAAGTACCCAGTTCTACAAAGTTCCCAGCATGTCCTGTTGCTTTAGCTGCATTGGTAAATACATGCAGCGATTGTTTTCTGAGTCTCTAAGAATATTAACTCAGAAACCAGTGAACTCTTTTTCTATCTCCAGACTACAGTGCTGTGGTCATCACACATATCTGTTCCTAAGTTCATCCAGGTCAGCCCAGAAAATGAGCAATATTGTTTTCATGTTAGATAGAAACCTATAGGATTACTTTACTGTTGAGTAATTTACAAAAAGACTTGACAGCCTCCATCCCAAATTCTTCATCCAGTTACCATTTATACTTACCCCCATCTTTTAAAATAAAGTTTTTATTTTAGAACTTTCCCCAGCTTTTAATACAAACGGTCAACTCCAATTCAGAGAAAATTTTATTTGCTGTTATATTTATTCAAAGTATGTGTTTGTGTACATCGTTAGCACCTTCTCACTCAGCTAGGATCTTCCAATTTATTCTATTTAATATAATGATCCAATAACTTAAAATACGAAACCCTAAAACTGAGCCAAGGAAGAGGGGGTCATGTTTGATGCTGGCAGAGCCTCAGGGACCAGCCTTGCTGCAGGGGTATGCTTCACTCCCAGAGGCTTTAGGGGCAAATAGTTGCACCTGCTGGAGACGTGGACCCCCCCCCCCGCCACACACACACACACACACACACACACACACACACACACACACACACACACACACACACACACCTGGCTTCATCTCTGAGCTTCAGGCTCTCAGCTTGTCCTTAAAGATCCAGGTGATAAAAACGACAGTGAAACGTAGAAGAGCGTGATTCATCGCACCATCAGAAAAAGACTGGTTTTCCGTAAATAGTGGTGTCCAATTTCACAGCAGTGTGAGGGATTTTCAGTCCGCCCCTTGCTGAGACACAGAATCTGCCCTGGGGCGTCCCACTCTTTGGGGCTTGCTTCTCGAAGGAGGACTGCCCAGGCGCCTCGTCCACCAGGATCACACTCCTGGCAGATGCTCAGCTCACGATTCCCTGCTTGTAATTCAGCCTGTCCGTCACAGCATCTTACCCACACGTGCTCCCTGCAGAAGGTGAATGGCTGTGGCCTTAGTCTATGTCCAGGCGTCGTGTGAGATGGTGGGGCAGAGAGGGCGCAGATGCAGGGCCCCTCCAGAGCACTTCCCTGGGGGCCGAGGCTGGAGAGAATGGGTGTGGAGAGCAGCGGAGACAGGAGAGTCCCCCGGAAGCCATCAGCCTCCCCTCCCTCATCCACTCCGCAGCAGACACCCGCAGAGGACCTGCCAAGTGTGCCGGCCACTGAGGGCCGTGGTCCCTGCCCTCCCCACGCAATGCAGATGAAGCAGAGGTCTCCATGGGAGGGGTCCTGTGGGAAAGGTGTGCAGTGTCCACCCAGTGACAGGACATTGTCCACCTGCCCTGGACGGGGAGGGCAGCCGCCCAGTGACCGAGCCCTTAGTTTATGCACAAGGGGCAGGGGCACATCTCTGGTTTTAATTCCTACAAGGCAGGTGACCTGGTCCATGTTTGGGTGCTGAGTGTTTGGGTGCTGTGTGTTTGGGTGCTGAGTGTTTGGGTGCTGTGTGTTTGGGTGCTGAGTGTTTCGGTGCTGTGTGGGTGTGGAGTGTTTGGGTGCTGAGTGTTTAGGTGCTGTGTGTTTGGGTGCTGAGTGTTTTGGCACTGAGTGGGTGCTGTGTGTTTGGGTGCTGAGTGTTTCGGCGCTGAGTGGGTGCTGTGTGTTTGGGTGCTGAGTGTTTGGGTGCTGAGTGTTTCGGCGCTGAGTGGGTGCTGAGTGGGTGCTGTGTGTTTGGGTGCTGAGTGGGCACTGAGTGGGCGCTGAGTGTTTGCGTGCTGTGTGTTTGGGTGCTGAGTGTTTTGGCGCTGAGTGAGTGCTGAGTGTTTGGGTGCTGTGTGTTTGGGTGCTGAGTGGTTGGGTGCTGTGTGGGTGCGGAGTGTTTGGGTGCTGAGTGTTTAGGTGCTGTGTGTTTGGGTGCTGAGTGGGTGCTGAGTGTTTCGGCGCTGAGTGGGTGCTGTGTGTTTGGGTGCTGAGTGTTTTGGCACTGAGTGTTTGGGTGCTGTGTGTTTGGGTGCTGAGTGTTTAGGTGCTGTGTGTTTGGGTGCTGAGTGTTTCGGCGCTGAGTGGGTGCTGAGTGGGTGCTGTGTGTTTGGGTGCTGAGTGGGTGCTGAGTGTTTCGGCGCTGAGTGGGTGCTGAGTGGGTGCTGTGTGTTTGGGTGCTGAGTGTTTGGGTGCTGAGTGTTTCGGCGCTGAGTGGGTGCTGTGTGTTTGGGTGCTGAGTGGGCACTGAGTGGGCGCTGAGTGTTTGGGTGCTGTGTGTTTGGGTGCTGAGTGTTTTGGTGCTGAGTGTTTGGGTGCTGTGTGTTTGGGTGCTGAGTGCTTGGGTGCTGTGTGTTTGGGTGCTGAGTGGGTGCTGAATGTTTGGGTGCTGAGTAGGTGCTGTGTGTTTTGGTGCTGAGTGTTTAGGTGCTGTGTGTTTGGGTACTGAGTGGGTGCTGTGTTTAGGTGCTGTGTGTTTGGGTGCTGAGTGGGTGCTGTGTTTGGGTGCTGTGGGTGCTGAATGGGTGCTGTTTTGGCACTGAGTGGGTGCTGAGTGGGTGCTGTGTGGGCGCTGAGTGTTTGGGGGCTGTTTGGGCACTGAGTGTTTGGGTGCTGAGTGTTTAGGTGCTGTGTGTTTGGGTGCTGAGTGTTGGGCACTGAGTGGGTGCTGAGTGTTTTGGCACTGGGTGCTGAGTGTTGGGTGCTGAGTGGGCGCTGAGTGTTTGGGTGCTGAGTGTTTGGGTGCTGAGTGTTTAGTAGCTGCGTGTTTGCTGTGTGTTTGGGTGCTGTGTGTTTGAGTGGTGTGTGTTTGGGTGCTGTGTGTTTGAGTGCTGTGTGTTTGGGTGCTGAGTGTTTGGGTGCTGAGTGTTTAGGTGCTGTGTGTTTGGGTGCTGAGTGTTGGGTGCTGAGTGTTTGGGTGCTGAGTGTTTTGGCACTGTTTGGGTGCTGAGTGTTGGGTGCTGAGTGGGCACTGAGTGTTTGGGTGCTGAGTGTTTAGTAGCTGCGTGTTTGCTGTGTGTTTGGGTGCTGAGTGTTTGGGCACTGTGTGGGCGCTGAGTGTTTGGGCGCTGTGTGTTTGGGCACTGAGTGTTTGGATGCTGAGTGTTTGGGTGCTGAGTGGGTGCTGTGTGTTTGGGTGCTGAGTGTTGGGTGCTGAGTGTTTGGGTGCTGAGTGTTTTGGCACTGTTTGGGTGCTGAGTGTTGGGTGCTGAGTGTTTGGGCTCTGAGTGTTTGGACACTGAATGGGTGCTGAGTGTTTAGGTGCTGAGTGTTTGGGTGCTGAGTGTTTCGGTGCTGTTTGGGTGCTGAGTGTTTGGGCGCTGAGTGTTTGGGTGCTGAGTGTTTAGGTGCTGAGTGGGCGCTGTGTGTTTGGGCGCTGAGTGTTTAGGCACTGAGTGGGCACTATGTGGGCATTGAGTTTTTGGGCGCTGTGTGTTTGGGCGCTGAGTGTTTGGGTGCTGAGTGTGTGGGCGCTGAGTGGGCATTGAGTGGGTGCTGAGTGTTTGGGCACTGAGTGGGCGTTGAGTGTTCGGGCACTTTGTGTTTGGGTGCTGAGTGGGTGCTGTGTGTTTGGTCACTGAGTGGGCGCTAAGTGGGTGCTGAGTGTTTTGGTGCTGAGTATTTGGGTGCTGAGTGGGTGCTGTGTGTTTGAGTGCTGTGTGTTTGGGTGCTGAGTGGGTGCTGAGTGCTTAGGTGCTGTGTGTTTGGGTGCTGAGTGGTGGGAGCTGAGTGTTTGGATGCTGAGTGTTTTGGCGCTGTGTGGGTGCTGAGTGTTTAGTAGCTGTGTGTTTGCTGTGTGGTTGCTGAGTGTTTGGGTGCTGAGTGTTTAGTTGCTGTGTGTTTGCTGTGTGTTTGGGTGCTGAGTGTTTGGGCACTGAGTGGGCGCTGTGTGTTTGGGCGCTGAGTGGGCACTGAATGGGCGCTGTTTGGGCACTGAGTGGGTGCTGTGTGGGCGCTGAGTGGGCGCTGTGTGTTTGGGGGCTGAGTATTTGGGGGCTGAGTGGACACTGTGTATTTGGGCACTGAGTGGGCGCTGTGTGTTTGGGCGCTGAGTGTTTGGGTGCTGAGTGTTTGGGTGATGTGTGGGCGCTGTGTATTTGGGCGCTGAGTGGGCGCTGAGTGTTTAGGTGCTGAGTGTTTGGGTGCTGAGTGTTTCGGCACTGTTTGGGTGCTGAGTGTTTCAGCGCTGTTTGGGTGCTGAGTGTTTCAGTGCCATTTGGGTGCTGAGTGGGTGCTGAGTGTTTGGGTGCTGAGGACAGACTTGTCAAGGTCTTGCTACTAGGATTCCACAACTGTGGAAAAGGCATTGTATAATCCTAAGTGAGGTCCCAGCCACTTATGTTGCAATCCCAGAGCTGGGTTGGAACTTGGGGTGCGCGATCTAGAATTCCCGCCTGAGATCATGTTGTCAGCAGTAGAGATGAGCCCAGGTGTCCCTGCAGCCAGCGTGGCTGGAGGGCCCAGACTTGGCCCACGCCCCACGCGTCCCCTGACTTCAGACCCTACCCCAGCTTCCTAACCTCAGGGCCCTCTTCTTATGGTCCTCGCTAGGCCAGCCTGAACATTGGAGTGTGGCTGGGGCAGTGCCCAGGCAGGACATCCTGGTGAGTCGGTCACTCCTCCTCTAGTCCTTGCTGCTATATTCCTTTCGGGCTTTAGGGCAATGCCATTCTTTTCTATATGTCATATTTTAGGTGCATTTAACTTAGTTATCCAGAAATCAAACTCAGTTGCTTCAGTTTCTTTTTTTGGTGATGGGGTCTCCCTGGATTTCAGCATCTGGACATAACTTGGTGTCGAGAGCAACCATCACTGCACGTCTGTCATCGCGGCTTTTGAGCGCTTCCTTGGTGCAGGTGTCCACTGAACGCCACGCACGCCTTGGTCCATTTCATCTTCGAAAGGGTGTCATGAGTAGGCACTGCCGGTCTCCCCACTTTCCCAATGGAGAAGCTGAGACACAGAGAAGGGGAGTGACCTACCCAAGTTCCCACGCCTTGTAAGAGGCAGAGCCAGTTTCCAAATAAATTCATGTAACTGTGTCCAAGGCCGTGTGTGCACACCAGGGCACAAGATTATTTTTATTTTTGTAGGTAACACACACATGTGTCTATGTTGCTTTTATAAAATTTGACAAGTGTCTTGGTTTCCTGGGGCCATGGTAACAAAGTAACTACAGACTGACCACTGGGCGCACAGAAGCTGTTCCCTCCCAGCCCCGGAGGCGGAGTCTGAACTCAGGTGTGGCCGGAGGGGGCTCCTTCCAAGGCTATGGGGAGCGTCTCTCTGCTCGAGGCCTCTCCTCAGCTTCTGGTCTGGCTGCCTCCTGGGTCTCCCTGGGTGTGGAAGCACCGCCCCGGCCTCCACCAGCAAATTCTCTGGGAGCTCTCCACGCGGTGCTGGGATCAGGGCCTGCCCTAATGACCTCACTTTAGCTTGGTTACCTCTGTAAAGACCGCGTCACCAGCCAAGGTCACGTTCGGAGGCACTGGGAGTTAGGCTTCGACATCATAATTTGGGGGGACACAGCTCAGCCCCTAACAACTGTCGTAAGCTTTGGACTTTTACATTTGTAAGCAGCATAACGTTCTGCCAAGACATGAGGCTTTTCCTCTTTTCTTTTAGAAAAGAGATGCCTTTCACAGAGGCCAGCATCTCTACCATGTTTATCTCAGCATAAACCTGCTGCGTTGAGGATGCCTGGCCGCTAGCTGCGCGCCCCCGGTCAGCCCAGCGTGCAGGCACCGCACTAGGGGGGCTGCTGTCTGCAGAGCACGCTGCAGGCCCTTGTCTCTCGCCCTCTCTCACAGGCATCTTTCCCGGCAAACCTGCAGCTCGTCCTCGTGCTTCGCCCGACGGGTTTTTTCCAAAGGACTCTCTCCGACATCGCTTTCAAATTCAATAGAGATGACTTTAAGATGAAGGTGCCGGTAAGTGCGCCCCGCCTCCATCCTGCGGTAGCAGAACGGAACTCATTGCCGTCCTGGCCCATCTGTGATCATCGAAATCCTCGAGGAGCTGACTTCAGGGCCACACGGTCAACAAAACCCCGCAGGACCTGGCGGGAAGTTGCACCTCCTCAATGCTGCCAGAAGCAGTACAATCCTTTCTTCCCCCACCCCCGCCCCCAGCCCCCACCCCGCCAGAGGTGCACAGAGCATCAACCTCAGAGAGGCCACCGTGTGGGCATCCCATCAGGACGCGGGTCACGCGACATTCATACCCCCAGGAGAACTACAGAACTTGAGACCCTAAGGGCTGAGAGTCCGCCTGGCCCACCCGCGAGGAACTCAGCCCAGGCCCTGCCTGCACCCCAGGGATGAGAGAAGGGCTGGGGAGGGGGCTGTAAGCATCTCTGGACCTGGGAGGGAGCACCCACTGCTGACAGGGATGGGCCGGACCTGTCCTGGAGCAGCCAACAGGGTGACCCCTGCCCCATCGCCACCACACTATCCCGGCACAGGGCAGCATCTCCCAACACTGCCCACTGAGAAAGCACCTTCAGTCCTGATCTGCTGTCCTTTAAAGAACAAAGGCTTCACAAAGTCCCTTAGAGCCTGTGGAGCCCGGTCACCAGCCCGAGCTGTGTAGCTCCCCCGGAGAGCCCTGGTCAGCTGCCTTGGCGAGCTCACATCTTCTCTGCCACAAAGAGAACAGAGACATATGGGCCAGCACCAGGCACCGCAGAGCACCCCATGGCACCAGCCAGATGCTACTGGAAACCAGGCAATCTGGGGTGCAGGTCGCTCACTGTGAAGCTACTCCCTGTGCGCTGGGAATCAGGTGGCACCAGCCCTCCCTCCCCACCCTCGTTGCGCTACAGCCTCAATGCCAAAGGTGCAAGAGCCCTTCTCTGACAGGGAAGAAAACGGCCTGGGGCCTTTCCCCATGTACTGCCCCCTTCCCCTCCCCTCCCCTCCCCCTTGCCCTCCCCTCCCCCTTGCCCTCCCCTCCCTCTTCCCTTTCCCCTCCCTTCCCTCTCCCCCTTCCCCTCCCCTCCCTCTCCCCCTTCCCCTCCCTTCCCTCTCCCCCTTCCCCTCTTTTCTCTCCCCTCCCCCTCCCTCCTCCTCCCCTCCCCTCTTTTCCCCCTCCCCCTCCTCCTCCCCTTCCTCCTCCTCTCCCCCTACCCAAGACAGCCCTGGGGGTCACAAGGCCCCATCCACTCTGCCCACCCCCACGCAGTCCACTCTGGGTGTCACCCGTGACCCTGGTGCCTGGCCTGGGGCAGTAACTGCAGGTGCAGGGTGTTCTGCATGGCACCCATGGGGCTCTGTGCCATCGTGCTTTGGTGGCCCCAGAACCACCAGCTTCCAAGCCATTGGGAAACTCTGTGCATGTACCGTTTTTTGTAGCCTTGGAGAAGCCTTAGTGTCTGAACAGTCCATTCCCTAGAGACGACCAGCGACAAAACCGTGCAGAGCAGGGACTCGTGGGCAGTGGGAGGCTCATGTCCTGACACCAGGATGAGCTAGGCATTGCGTGTGCAGCTCAGAGCTCCTCTGACAGCTCCTCTCGTGATGGCGTGTGCAGCTCAGCACCCTGCAGACAGCACCTCTCGTGGTGGCTTGTGCAGCTCAGCGCCCCGCAGACAGCTACTCTCTTGGTGGCTTGTGTGTGTTATGGCCCTTATGATGGAGATAACTCCGTGCGCCCTCCTTCCCTGCTATTTGGCAGGCACTGCACACTAGCCATAGGCTTTGTGACCACAGACGTGTCACGGGGAGCAAGACCGACCTCACGGGTCATCCATGCCACAGGCTCCCCTGCACAACGGCTCCACAGCAAGCCGTCAAAATGGGTTTCACAGAAATCACCGGCATCTTCAAACTCACAGCCCCACTTAGATAATTCTTGAAATTAGAGTGGATGATGTGAAGGATGCAGTTGTTGACACGTGTGTGTCCGTGTTTCAGTGCCGTGTGCTGGACTCAGCCATAGAAAGGAGACATGAGGGAGAACAGTGGCCCCGGCACCTCTGCTGCCGTGACTGACTGTCCAAACCCATGGATGGAGTGACCTCAAAAAGGGCAAGAGAAATGCAGAAAAATGAAGACAAGGCGTGTGTAGAGGAGCTTATGCGGCCGTCGCAACCACAGGTTTTCCACATAACCATAACCGTGTGGGAACTGCCAGCCACTCTCCCCGTCCGGCCTCAGTGGTGGTGTGTTGATTTCAACTGGTGTCTACAATGACCGCGGGGTATTTTCGGCAGGAACAGGGACAAAAATGATCATCTCTCCCATCAGAGCACTGTTTGATGATGTTGCTGGAGGAGGTGTAAACGCCTGTTGCATGTCCTTGGCCATCACAGGCCGCACTCGTGTGGAGTTTTGTGCACCTCCAACAGCACCATTTGCTGCTCACCGTGGCATGATGAG